>NC_000020.11:37223809-37526840 GCF_000001405.40 Homo sapiens | reverse complement strand
AAGTGTTAGATCTTGTTTGCTTGTTTGTTTTAAATCAGAGACTAATTAATGTCAAGCAAATCTGTTAAAAGATTTGATCACGGGAAGCCTGGTCGGTTTCCAGTGACCAGGTCAATTCCATATCTGAAATTAGTCTTGTTAGAGTTGCTGCCAAAAACAGTTTAACCTTTAATCTGTAATATGTTGTTTCAAAGAGGAATCTGGGTTAGACTGTCTTTTTTTGTTGTTGTTCTCCTATCTTTGAAACACATGCATTCCATTTCAAGCCTGTCCCTGTGCGATATACCAAGAACCACGCGTTGCCTGCCTCTCTGACTTCCTGCTCTGGAAATGCTCAGGAATCTGGATCCTGCTGGGGCATGCATGGGCCCTGTGGGAGGGCAAGTCGGGGAGGGGAGGATAAACAGGATCACTCCCAGGGAAGATGGTGACAACGTGTCTCTGGGGCATATAGAGGAAGTCAGAGGTTACCGGGGGGAAAAGAGATTGTTGTTTGACTAGTGTTTTGTGTATGTGCATGAGTGCACACGTTTAAATCTCTGAGGGGGGGTGGGGGCGGTGGGGGGGGGAAGTTAACTGCAAATTCAGAATCTCCCTTTGGGGTGTTGGCTCCTGAGGAGATACACATTTCAAAATAGATATCTAGTAAATGGCTCACAGCAAACCTGCTCCCCGATCCAACAGTAATCCGTTGCCCAAGCTCAAGGAACTTGCCCCTGCCCTTCCCTGACAGCAGACATCCCTTCCTTCAGTGACAATTCAAATATTCCACAGATAAAGGTAACAGTGTCACATAGCACCCTGCACCCCTAAAAGTCATGGTACCTAAACACCTCTGGACTTAACTTCAGTTCGTTAGGCTAAGAAACTAACATCCTGGAGTATTAGTCTCAAGGGTCTCTCACCTGTTGCTGGAGTCCCACAGAGCTATTCCCAATTCCTTCCCAACCGATCTGCTCTGTCCTTGGCCTTGTGGGGGCAAAGTCTTCTGGGAGCAATGATGGTTTAGGCAAAGGGGACGTTCAGCACTGTGACTAAGGGCTGTGCAGTAAAACACTAGTCATTTTCAATTCTTCGCATTGCTCTCTATCAGAATAAAATGTTTAATGGTATAGTTTGTGGAAAAAATTTTATAAACAAGGTGTGTTTGGACCATCTAGGCATTGCATGGCATTGCACTGGATGGAAAGTGAATGCACTGTCTTCTCTGGTGGGTTAAGTTTGCTGCCAGAACATGAAGTTTTGTGGGTGGAGGATGCAAATGGGGAGTGGACATTGCACATTGAAGCCCACACGTGCAGGTGCAGGCCACCAGGGCAGCCCTTGCCTGGAAATCTGTCATCTCACCTTGCCACACTCACAGCCCTGCTGATGGACGGATGGAGGAAAAGGGCTTTGCCAAGATGATATGGAAAGCTCTGGGGCTACCAGGAGCCTCTTGTCCTCTAAGTGGGGGCACAAGAGGTGCTGTGTCCAGAGCAGCCAGCTCTTACCATGCTGCTTTGGCCTACCTCCCTGAAATCTGCTACCTTGTCACTTGGGCTGAGGTTAGAGCATCAAGAAGGGCAGTGGGGCTATGGGCATACCCCTCAAAAGCTCCGAAGGGAGGGTCAGCCTTCATGGAGAACACATGTTGGTATGTTCATGATTCTGTGGGTTTAGTGTGGAAAACCACAGAAACTCCCAGTTTTGAGGCCTGCCAAGATATGGGGTTCAGAAGGGAGGAGGTGTGGGCATTGCCTGCTGATGAGTCACACTGGGGCGAGAGGAGACCTGCCTCACCTTCAGGCTATGGTAGCAGCTATAGCCACCCAGCCTAAGAAAGATGAAGTCTCAGATTGCACATCCTCTTCAAGTCCTGATGAGTCCTGATTGCCACTGCTATGGCAGTTTCTAGCGTGTTAGGGTTCACTGGCATCTCAAAGGCCCTCTTCGAGAGGGAAACTGGAGATGAAGGGTACAAGGTGACATGTCCAGGTTCCCTAGGCTGATTGATGGCAAAGTCAAGACCAGAACCGGGATCTGCACCTCCCCACCCCTATAATTCTCTGATACCGAATGAAGTTTTAGATGCCTTTAGAGGTGCTGGTGATTGGGCTAAGAAACTTAAGGGCTTGCTTAGGGGAGGGAAACATGATCAGGCTTAAGGGGGCAAGGTACTTTGTGCTTCAGAAGTATTTGTGACAGCTGTGACTAAGGGATTCGAAGAAGTGGCAGGAAGAGAGATTTATGGCCCTCCAACTCCCTCCCTTGGTGTTGACCCAGCAACAGGTGTGTAGTGACAGGGACACATAAAGCCAGAGACAAGGCTGAACAGGCGGCAGGGCCATTTGGTGAGACAGTCAGCTGACCCCGTGTAGAAAGAGCCCTGACTCACTGGGGAGTGGGAGAGGAAGACAAGTCCGAGGCCGAGCACTGCCCACCCTGACGTGATGGCAGGGGAGAGCCCAGGGCCACGGACCTGGTAAGCATTCCTAAGAATACGGAGGCTGGTGCTGGGAAAAGCAGAAACCCAGTATTGGGGAGAGAGGTTTCTGGGGTGAGGTGGGGCCAGGAGACCCTGCAGAGTAGCAAGGCCAGGCAGATTGTCTTTGTAGTGGTCCTGGTGGATGTGGGGCCTGCAGCATTAAGCTGGGTGAAGAAGGCGCCACGCTGCACCTCTTATCCCATACTCATTGTCTAAGCCACTGTCCACCCTGCCCACTACTCATTTCTTTGGGGCTCCTGGATGGAGACCTGAAGTAAGGCTTTGTGTTCTGAAATCACCCCCTTGGTCCCTAGTACCTCTTTGGAGGGCTACTCCCACCTTTTTCCCCTCCTCTCATCTTTCCCAAAGTGATACTTGCTTTGGCCCCTTATCCTAAGACCACAAGTAAAGCACCTATCCCTTTGGGGAGGGGGAAGTGGTCCCTTATTCCAGGACCACAAGTGAAGATGTCAGCCTTTCTCTTTGGGGAGAGGGGGAGATGGTCCTTTATCACAGGACAGCATTGAGATGGGGTTGGGTGTGTGAGGGGCCCAGCTTATTGCAATTTTGATGGCCCTCCTTTTCCTCCCTCCCCCAAGCAGTGTGCCTGTTCCACAGTGGGCACATCAGCTGAGTCTTAGAAGTGTATGTTGATGCCGCTAAAGAAATCACAAGAGACAAAGTTTTGGTGCGCCTCTACTGCACCGCAGGGTCCTGGGACACTGTGCGAGACAGGGGAGGTACTTTTTTTATTTTTTGTAGAGGTGGTCCCTGTCCTCCAGGAGCTTACAATCTAGCTGGGGAGACACAACTAATGCACACTTAAACAATCAGTACAATTAGCGATTACCACAATATTGACCACAACTGCATGAGACCAGGGAAAAGCAAGATCAGTGAGGGGCAAGGGGGGTTCAGAGAAAGTGTTTTAGTAAAGGTGGGATTCATTTACTTTTACTGCTTGAATAGTTCCAAATCAAGTGACACATTATTTTGGAGTAGGGTGGGCTTGGGAGGCAGTGAGGAGGAAAGGGGAATCGAGAGAGCAAATGCAGCGAGGCTGGAATGCAAGTGCCCTGGGCAAGGGACAGCGAGAGGGCCCCACTGTATTTCTTAACCACCCTCCTTCCTCAACTGTGCCCTCCAGTCCCGCCACACAGGCACGCGGTTGGTGCTGCACCAAGATTCAGGGCGTCGGCTGGCGATGTCAGAATGTCCATTCTGCTGGCTGGTGCGGTGTTTTGATTTCCATGGTGGGGCCTGCTGGCATGGCCCTGGCTTCGGGGCTGGGATGGTGCTGTCCCGACTTTGTCCAGATCAGAATGCGGTGCCTATGCCCAGATCTCAGGGGTCTGCTCCCCCTATCCCCCCTCCTCTCTCGACCCTGCCCCTTAGTGGGACCGGTGCAAAGGGGTTGGGAAGGGATCTGGTATCTTCGTCATTGTCGGTACTGCTTCTCCGGGGGTCTACTGGCCCCTCACTGACCTTGCCAAGTGCTCCTCTGGCGAGGGAACACAGGGGACCCCACATTCCTGCGCGGCACTGGCTCCCGTGCTGGCCGAGATGCACAGGAGCACCTGATGATACGGCCGCCCAGGGCTGGGAGCTGGGGCCTCAGTTGGGGGCTCGCTGCCTGCGCTCCCCCAACACCTGCCGCCCGGTCCGCGACACCGTGTATGCCAGCTTCTGCAGGGAGTACCTGAACACCTGCGACGAGAAACCCAGGACCCACCCTTAGTGGAGAGCACCCACAGCATGTCTGTGGTGCTGCCGTGCCCACCCCCGCCCCACCCCCTGCCCCGCCCGCCCATCCAGCGTAGGCTGGAGAGGCGGGCGCGGGCGCAGCTTGTCCACGAGTCAGGGCAGCTGGAGCTTTTCCAACTGTGCTGAGAGCTGCATGGCGGCAAGCTGATTGGACCCACAACTTAGGTATACCTCACTTCTCGCAATGGGCTGTGTCCCTGGAGGATTTCGAAAAGCGAATCCTACCCAGTAAATGCAGCATTCCAGGAACACCTTGAAGGAAATATGCGATTCCTTTGGCAAAGGATTCCTTTAGCAGGGAATTCTTCCTGCAAAGGGAGCTTTTAGGGTAAATGATTTTATGGGCAAAGCGCTTTCTTCTGATTTATCTCTTTTTACACCAAGCGCTTTTGCCTCTTTTTTATTTTTTTTATTATTATTTTTTTTTTTGTAAAGCAATTGTCCTTTTTTGGAAGTGCTTTTTTTCCCCTTCTATTTTTCTCTCGAGGGGCTTTTTCCTCTAATTTTTTTCTTTAAAGCGTTTTTGCCCGATCCATTTTTTTCCGTTAGCTCCCTTGTCTAATTTTTTTCTGCAGTGCGTTTTTAATCTAATGCATTTTTTTCTGCCAAGTGCTTTTCTCCGATTTATTTTTCCTGCAATGCGCGTTTTTCTGTTTTCCTGTGAACTACTTTTTCTCTAATTCGTTGTAGGGTTTTTTTTTTTTGCGAAGTAATTTTTATTTTTTCTGAGAAGTGCCTTTTTCTAACTTATTTTTTGTTCCACCCCCGCAAGCGCTATATGTTTTTTTAAATAAAATTTCTCCGCAATGCGCAATTTTTTAAGGTGGAAAATTTTCACTCTGCGAGCTGTAAAGTCTTTCAACACAGTAGTGCCCCGCCTCCCTCCTGGGGTCGAGTCCGGGTGTAGCGGGTTTTTCTTACCGCGTAGGTCGCTAAATGCCTGGGTGATCGTCCGCAGCGGTCGCCCGCCGCGCCCCGAGTCTTTGTTCCCTGGCAGGCGCGGGCGCACTAGGGAGGGTCAGCGCGAGGAGGACGGCGCAGGGAATGGGCAGGGGGCGCGCGGTGCCGGCAGCGGCACTTGGGCAGGCAAGGATCGCGGCAATCGGAATAGGACGGGTCCGGGAAGCGGCAATCGCGACGCAGTCTTGCGGGTTCTAGGGGCGCGAGTTGGGAACCCTCTCCCACCCGAAACCCCGTCAGACTTACCTGCAGCAGCACGCGGAAGATGTACCAGCCGATGATGAGCAGTTCAGCCGAGGCCGCCGCCACTGCCGCCATGGTTCCAAGAATGGTAGGTGGGTGGTCGAGAAAGAGGGTTTGCCGAGATCCGCTGGTCTCGGAGTCCGCTGTTGGGCGCACTGCCGCAGCCGCGGTGGCCGCGCCTTAAGTACCCGCCCGCCACCTAAGTGCGCATGCGCGCCTTGGGGGGTGTTTATGAGGAGGGGTGGCTGGGGGCGCTCCTCATTCGCCAGGAGAGGAAAAAAATAATCCATCTGCTCTTTCCATACCGACCCCCGCCTCCTGAGTTCCATCTTAGCCCCCTTCCAGAAGATTCCGCCGTGCTTGCTTTTGGATTTTGCTTTAAAATGGAGGGGTACCACGACTCTGGGTAGAGTACAGGGCGAGAATGGGGGTGCAGGTCTCTTAGTGTGGCGCCCTTCTCCCCAGTCCCTGGCCTGCAAATTTGAGCTCAGTCTCCGGTGCCACTCCAAAGCCTACCTTGGGGATGGATGGAAAACCGAAATTAGGGAGGGGTCATCTGCCCCATAGAGCAAAAAACGTGGTGCCCCTTTCAGAAGCTTTGGCATAATAGGCCCGTGCTCGGCGCTCTTTTCCTGATACTGAATGAGTTTTAAGCCCAGGTCCTCTGCTTCATGAGGGTGCCTGAGCGCGTAACCCGTCTGATTCTTTACATCTCTCTTACGGTAGCGAGGAGATGAGAATCTGCGGTGGAGGTCGCTACTGTAGGGAGCTGAGCCAGAGCACTGCGCTTTGGGCGCAAAAGCAGTAGTCACCCGGTATCTGTAGGAGGGATACAGGAAGGATTGGCGCCCTTCGTATGCACGGAAGGAATGAGCTCTACGGAGAAGTGGTTGGAATATGCTTGGGGATAGTTTTCTGCTGGACAGGTCGTTTCGACCTCAGTCTTCCGCTCCCCTCCCCCAAGCCCTGGTAGGTCGGCCTTAGCCAGTGGGGTTCTTTGTACCCGTTGCGCTGTGCGGCTGGATCACCGAACGGGGTTACGCTACCGCTACCGGAGGGTTGTGGCTACCGCAGCCCCGTTTCCAAGTGAGGCGGGTCCCTTTTAGACCGCCAGTCTTGTGGGTCCCTCGCACAGCGCGGATTTTCGGGCGGGAAGACCGGAATGCGGTTTGTGAGTGTGGTCCCCGCGCACCGGTAGCCAGCCGAAAGCACCTCTTTCCAGCAAGCTGCCTGGCCCAGGGACCAACTGGCATTTGCCCCTATGTGGATAGAAAATTAATTTTCATTAAAAGCTCCCAGAGGTCAGGTTCTATACAGTGCCAGCAGCAGATGGAGGTGTAATGATCCAAACGAGTTCAGTTTGGACAAAGTAGCATAGTGACTTTTTTTCTACATTGACTTTCGGAGAAGTTGGCAGATTCTGGCAAAGTGACGCTGGGCTGTTTGAAAAAGGCAAGCTTAGCCTAGGCTGCCATCTTAAAATATTTCGAGGCTGTAGCTGCCTCAGGATCCTTTGCCTGTGGTCTGGTGGCCGGCAGTGCCCCGCTAACAGCTTTAACTCTGCACTTAGTGCCTGAGCACCTATGGCTGTGAGAGATGCTAGATACAGAACCCTGTCCTTACCACGTGGGGGCACAGCAGGGAGCCCTTGGTCGTCCTTTGGCAACCACTGGGCGGTATTGTGAGGTCTGGGCCCCTTGAGGACGGGCTGCAGCCCCAGGAGGCGATACATGATCTCTGCTGGGCAGGGCCCAGGCAAAGCCAGCCCACTGTGTGAAACCGTGCCAAAGAGCCCTCTCCCCGATCCCCCAGGAGAAGCCCCGGGGAGACATCCCAGGAAGCTTCCCGAATTAGTGACTTGGAGAGGAGTAGAACTTTCACGGGTGGGCAGGGAGGAAAGGGCATTTCACATTTGCTGTTGTTAACCATGATCCATTTTCCCAAATAAGTATACATTCTGTTCCTGTTTTTTTTTTTTTTTTCTTTTTTTTTTTTTTTTTTTGTCTGTCTGTCTGTTCTTTGTCTGTTTGTCTGTTGTGTTGACTTTTCTCTTCAGGATCCCTGCTGCCTTGGTGATCCCGGGCTGACAGCCAGAGAGCACAGCGGCTCAGCTCCTGGAGAGTGAGGGTTGAAGAAAGCGGAGGGCAGCCGCCTGCGCCCGCTGGCTCCCATTAGGTCGGTTCCTGCAGCGGTGCCCGGCAGCCTTGGTGAAGGCCCTGCCCGGCAGAGATCATGTATTGCCTCCAGTGGCTGCTGCCCGTCCTCCTCATCCCCAAGCCCCTCAACCCCGCCCTGTGGTTCAGCCACTCCATGTTCATGGGCTTCTACCTGCTCAGCTTCCTCCTGGAACGGAAGCCTTGCACAATTTGTGCCTTGGTTTTCCTGGCAGCCCTGTTCCTTATCTGCTATAGCTGCTGGGGAAACTGTTTCCTGTACCACTGCTCCGATTCCCCGCTTCCAGAATCGGCGCATGATCCCGGCGTTGTGGGCACCTAACGGCCTGCCCTGTTAGCTTTCCAAGGAAGCAGAAGACGGGAGGGGAGGCATTGACATAGGTCATAAAGCATTGGAGTTTCAAATCCCGCAGCCTCGCGGGTGTCACATTCCTGACGGCGCCTTTTTGGCCTGTGATGTTTTATCCTTACAATGTGAATAATGGCACTGACCGGTGCTTTTATTGTAAAGTCCTATAGTCGTGGGTGGTCTTGTGGTTGTGTGTGTTCTGTCCCCATCTAGGTCCTGGCTGGCCGCATGACCACCCCTCTCGCCTCATTACTGTGAGGAGTCTGGGTCCATCCTGGTCAGCTGCCCCAATGTGACCTGGGGCAGATAAAATGCCAGTCTCATTGTCACCTCTGTGACCCCTCCTTGTCAGGGTCTCCTTCCTTCCCAGAATGTTACTGACTCCTCAGTCCCTCTTCTGGTTTCCCTTTATTTCTCTTCTACCCTTTTCCTTTTTTGGGGAGTACCTGTCCAAGACAGGGCTCATTTTTGCACTTATCTCGAATTTGAAGAGATTGCTGACGCCCGAGAGCCTCGCTTTTTCATCCTTCTTTCCTTGTTCAGCAGGCTAGACAGAAACATGTCTTGACTGTTAGTTGTCCACAAATCTTCAGTATTTTCTCCACTTCATTTTTAAGAAAGGAAGCAACAGATAGATGTTGCTCTTTCACCTGGGTGTCTGGGCTCAAGCTTTCCCGCCCAGCCTCACTTCCTTTGCCCTTCCTCCTGCCTTTCTCAACTGTCCCAAGGAGGGGGCCTCATTGTGTCTCCCGTGCATGCTCTGCAGCATTGAAGTATGGTGTGTTCACGTAGTTCTAGCAGTCCCCAGCTGAGTGAGTGGGAGAGTACCTGTGTGTTTCGTAACGGCCTTGATCCCCTTGATAGATGTTTGGATATTTTTTGGTGTGCCCTGTGTGTGTGTGTGTACAAATACATGTGTATATTCCTTTTAAAGAAGCTTTATCGAACGTGGTCTGATTTTGAGGTTTAGCAATAGCTAGCTATATATGGTAGGTGCCGCTACAGTTTTTATTTAGCATGGGGATTGCAGAGTGACCAGCACACTGGACTCCGAGGTGGTTCAGACAAGACAGAGGGGAGCAGTGGCCATCATCCTCCCGCCAGGAGCTTCTTCGTTCCTGCGCATATAGACTGTACATTATGAAGAATACCCAGGAAGACTTTGTGACTGTCACTTGCTGCTTTTTCTGCGCTTCAGTAACAAGTGTTGGCAAACGAGACTTTCTCCTGGCCCCTGCCTGCTGGAGATCAGCATGCCTGTCCTTTCAGTCTGATCCATCCATCTCTCTCTTGCCTGAGGGGAAAGAGAGATGGGCCAGGCAGAGAACAGAACTGGAGGCAGTCCATCTAGGGAATGGGACTGTGAGGCCATACTTGTGAAACGTCTGGACTGCTATTCTAGAGCTTTTATTTGGTGTGTTCGTTGCACAGCTGTTTGAAATGTTTAATAAAGCTTTATAAACTTTACTTTGTGGTTTTATGTGGCTGCAGTCCATTTGGGTCGTGGTGTTGGATTTCGGAGTTGGTGGGGGGCAGGGGGAAGCATGGAGGGGCTGAGTCTTTGGCGCCAGAGTACCTTAGCCTGAAAATTTGATCTGCTTTCTGGAGAGCAGATGGTGGGGATGGGGGAGGGGGAGCAGGGGGCAGGACAGGCGGTGAACAGGAGGGAGTCTGAAAGTTTTCAGAGATGAGACATTTGCGTTTCTCAGCTCCCATGGCTTCTTGCCTGAAATTGTTTCCCTCCATAGGAGATTTGAGTAACCGATCCCTTGACAAACAACTTAAGACAGCTGGAGCTCTAATCATCAAGGATTTTTATGGTGCTGCTTTTGAAGTAAAAATAGTGAAACCCCTTATGGCATTTCAAGTGGAAAAATAAATAAGACTGGCTGTCCAACCAGCCGGATGTAAGGTGATGGCTGGAAGTGCCGAGAGTGGTGTGGTTCCATGTTGTAGGTATGCACGTGCTCCCATGGCCATGACCTTTGAGACAGTGTAGGCTAGTTTGTCAGGTCCTGTGCTGAGTATTCACCTCTGAATCTCCTTCTTCTAGAAAGCATGGTAGGAATACTGCCTGTCCAAGGCACAGGGCTGTCGTGAGGTTTTATTGAGTCACAGTCGTGAAGGGCTTTGGTAATTTCATAGAAGATCACCTGTTCTACCTAGGCTTTAAATTTGTTGCTATAAAATTGAGTATGGTTTTCTCCTGTTCACTTAAGTCTCCCCATTGTCACTTTATTCCTTTTTTCATTCAAAACTTGCCAAAGATTTGTCTATTTTAGAGGTATTTTCAAAGAACCAAACTTTTATCGATCATATCTGCTGGGTAATTTTCTTACCTGATTCTTTTATGCTTTTATCTCTGAATTCTTCTTTTCTGTGTTTCTGGATAGATTTCGTGGTTCTGCAAAGTCTTGACAAGCTGAGGAGTCATACCTGGAAAGGATGGTTTGTTCAACAAACATTGAGACCCTGTACTAGGCTTGCTGGGGATTTCAGGGGCAAGACTCAGACCTGACTCTTCAGGAGCTCATGATTGTAGCCTAGTGGGAAGACTTAACAAAATAGACAATTGCAAATTCCAAAAACAAAACAAACAAAAAAAAGGCTTTTGTGTCCCTACTCTCCTGTGGCGACACCTGGATGATAAATGAAGCCAAGATTATTGCTTATTTTGCTCTCCCTCGGAAAGCAGCTTTCTGTTTTAGGTCAAGCCCGCTTAAGAGTCACAAACAGGCCTCCCTCTGAAAGATTTGTGGCCCTTTCCAGCAGGGAGCCTGCAGCCCACCCCTTCCCAAAGTGACTGCCAAATCAGCATTCTGTCACCCCACAGTGCTTCCTACCTTGCCAGGCAACCACCCCCTCTTCCTGAACTGCCTTTTAGGAAAATGAAAAGTAGATACCTTTTCTGGAAAAGAGTAGGGGCAGCAGGCCTTAGAAAAACACACAATTACATTGGTCACTGTGGCTCAGTGTGAAACGGTTGCCCACATGGTACCTAGTGACCACAAGACACCATAAGGCCTAGGTCTGGGCTTCTTTAGGAACTGGTTCTTACCCTGCTGTGGGCCCCAGTTTCCAGAGAGGTAAAATGTGGTCTTTGGAGCAGACAGTTTTTCTAGTCCTAATATCCTGGGAGTTCTTTCTCCCAAGATCTAGGGTCTTCCTGGACCCATTTGAGGATGTTAGCTGGGCTCTGAGTAGGTGGCAGTGCACTTTCAGGATGGCATGGGCTTTATGCTTTAGTCAGTGTACCATGTGAGCCCAGGTATTTCCTCTGTCAGGAAGCTTCCCTGGATTTCTTCTCCCTGGGGATCTACTTGACTGGAGCGTTTCACTCAGCCTTCTGTTGAGTGCTACTGCTAGTGTTACGCAGACTTCCCCTTCTGTAGCGACTGAGTTCATGGGCTCCTCTTGTCTCCCAAGGGGGCCTGCATTGTCAGTCATTTGGCTGGTATTTGGCAGAATCCCATGCAGGAATAGGCCTTGAGACTACAGGGTGGACAGTTCCTGCCATTAGGGAGCCCTCCAGGCTAATGGGAAAGGGCACAACATTGAGCAGATAATGCCAGCGATACACAACCGTGGACTGTGTCAGCTGCTAGAAGAGAAGGTCTAAGAGGGGACCCAATGTAGGCCTGGAAGGATTGACTTTCAGGTGGAGACCTGAAGAACAAATATAAAGGTTTGAGCAGTGAAGTAATGAATGAGATGTTATTATTATTTTACCATCTAATCAAGCATCTCTGCTTACAGATAAAGAGACTGGGATGAAAGTAAAATGAAGGACCACCACTATCTGGCTGCCCTAGAATCAGAACCCAAAAAGGCTTTTTGGGATAAAGAGGTCAGTCTATCTAAAGCTAGCAAATTGTTGGGAGATACTAAGGAAATCTAAAGCTGAAATGCTATTGGCAGGCCCCTAAACTCAGCCCTAAGAACTCTTCATTTCCATCCAACTGGGAACCATCACAAACGAGGATCTGATGGGAGTTGGGGAGTAACCCAGTCAGAACAGCCTTTGAGATGGGATTCTGTCGGCAAGAAACAGGACAGCATTTGAGTGGTGACAGTAGCAGGGCCATGGAGAAGGCTACTGGCTTCTCTAGATGACTGGGAATGGGGAGAAGTAGACATAAGGAGTGAGTGTGGGTGAGGCAGGGACACAGGAGAAAAGGTAGGCTGGGGAGAAGGAAGCAGTGAAAGATGATAGAAGGAAAGCCAACTCCTATTGAATAGCTGCAGGAAAGGAGGCCAGAGAAGGGCTGTCACCTGTGTCCATTTGGTGGGCAGAGCCAGAACCCTGTCTTCTACCATCCAATGCAAAGTTCACTCCCCAACGCACCAAAATGTGTGAAAGGGCCACTGTTCTGAAAAGAGGAATGACTGAAGAAGTGCTCTCCCTGATGGAAGATGGTCCTGCCTAGGGAGCTTGGCCTGTCTCAGCCCAGCAACCCTCCCTCCCCAGTATCTTCCTGAAAGTCCCAGGAAGAACACAGTTTGATCTGCCAGGCTTCAAGGGGAGAATGAAGTATGTTGAGAAAAACTTCTATTGTTAGGCAGGCTTGAGGTGAAGAAGAGAACCTGCCTAAGCAGCAACTGAAGGCTTCAGACAGAAGCCTTGGGTCTCCCTTTGGGATCCTGGAAAAGGGACTCAGAGGCTGGGCAGAGATAGACTTTAAGGACTGAAGAACCTTGATGCAAGGCTTGAGAGAGTCCCAGCGCTTACGCCCTGCCTTTGTGACTATACCTCACCTGTCTCATAGAGAACACACCACCACTACAGCATCGGCCCCAAGGCACAGTCTCCGTAAATGTTATTTCCTCTGTTTTATGGCTCCCTGCCACTGGCCTTTACTAAGCTCCAGCCTGTTAGGGATGTGATCTGATCCCCCAGCTCTCCCTCTCATTCATTCATTTGAGGAGCATTTGCCAGGCTCTTTTCCAAGCTCTGAGAAGCTGGTGCAGAATGACTGTGCCCTCCTTGAGGAGCTCAGATCAGCAGGAGGGAGGGCAGAGTCATTCTTGTGGGTAGATAATACCATGTTATTAGGGCTTTAGTGGAGTTAGGTAGAGATTATTTGGGAGACCATATCTCAGTACCTCTGTGTGAAGTCCATTAATTATTTTTTACCTTCTCTGCAAAGGCAGTATCCTGAAAAGGAAAACACCAAGGTGTAGCTTTCTTTCTGGGAGACCAAAGTCCTCAGTTTGAGCCCCTACTTAGCCACCATTTTACCCAGCAACCCTCCATGGATTTCCCTCTCTTGGAGAGTAACCCCTGTCTGTCCAGCCTCCTCCCAACGAGGAACCAGAGGAAGCATATGTTTGAGAGTGCTTTGTCAAATATCCCAAAGGGTCAGATATGAGTCTTCTTCAAAGACTAATCTTCTGGGTGGTTCTGGCCTCTCAGTACTTTTCCTGAGCAGCTTGTGTGGAGCCTGTACTTGGACAGCTCAACACCTTTTCCAAAGCCAAACCCTCTGCCAGCCTCCTGCCCCACACTGGTAGTGGTGACCCTCCAAGGAGGGGGCAGGCAGGCAGGTGCTAAGGCCCTGGGACTGATTCCCATCCATTTTCCATGTGGCTTTGCTCTCCTTACTGTTCTCTAGGCCTCTGTTTCCCCATTTATAAGTCAAGGAGGGGGCTGGACCAAGATATCTTTAACATTTCCAAAGCTGTCTTCTGTGAAACATCAGTGACATTTATCTCCTTGTTATTTTAGTCTTAGAGACAGTGGTTGAAAGAAAGTATATTAAGACAATCAAGTGTTTAATCAAAGGATCTTTTGCATTAAAAAATAAACTTGAAGTCTCTTGGGTGCAGAACTGTCAAGGATCTTAGCTTAGAGCCAAAGAAGACATGGAAGTGTCTATGAGGCAGGAAAGACAGACAAAGCCCTTCAGTAATTCCATATTGTTTATGGGCCCAATCCCTTGGCTTGGTCATCAAGGCCCTGCACAACCCTTGAAGATAAGGGGCTTAGTCTTTGTTCCTTGACCAAGCACAGAATTTACCTGACCAGGCCTGGCATAGTACCTGCTGGTTGGCTGACCTGGTGGCTAGATGAATAGGTGGTTCAATCAATTGCTAAGAGTCCCTAAGTAATTGGGTGGCCCAGTCTTTCCTAGAAGGAAAGGAACTCTGTTTGCCTCCCAAATCTCTTGGCAACTCTGAAGTGACAGAGATTATTTTCCAGCCTCCAGACTAGTATTGTGAACAAAGATATGCGAGAAGAACCTTATAAAAGACTGCCCAGCCTGGCATCCTCGCTGTGGCAGCAGCTCACATGTGGTTTAGGAGTAGCCCCACCAGGTGGTAGACACCCTGTAAGGTCTGGATGTAGGTGGACTCCTGGGTCACTTGTAAGCCAAGGGGATTCCCTCTTCTTCCCTCCCTCTACCTTTCCCACCCCCTAACCCTGCATATGGGACTTCCCCAGCTTTCCCGCTTTTATGAATTCCTCCCCATAGGCTGGCAGGCAGGTGAGCTTGCAGGAGTGCAGATCGTGAACTACTGTTTCACAGAGAGTTGACCGAAGCTCTGCTGAGAGGTTTCTTGACTTGCCCAAGAGTTCACAGCTAGGCCAGGCTGGCCCTTGATTCCTGAACTCTGATCACATCTTAGATGGTCCTCTGCCTTGCTCATTTTCCCATTTCCATCTCCTCTTCCCCTCCTAGATCATGAGTGTCCTCTTTAGACAGTCTGAGAACTCCCTGCAGCCGGGCCCCACTGCCACACACACCCATATGAGCCCATCACCGGGATTTAAGTCCTTTCATCCTATTCCCTCAGACCATTCCAGGGAAAAACTGTCCTCAGTCCAACCCCCAGACTCCAGCTACAATACTGTGGGGGTTAGACTACTATTCACAGATGGGGTGGGCCATTTGGGGGGCTGCTTTTTGGTGGTTGGCTTTTGGTTTTGTTTGTTTTTACTTACTGGCCAAATAGGATCCAGTTCTTCTTTCCACCCTCAGAGCCATTTTTATGAACGCCATATGGTTCCATTTTGTACTGACAGGAACTGGGGACCACAGGCACATAGCACACACCACAGCTACTGTGACTAATAGCCCTGGCAGCTGTGCCCTCCTAACAGTCTGGGTGTGCAGTATGAGTGATGTCCAAAACCAGCAAGATTGGATTGGGCCTCCCGATCCCTGGTCGTGATGACACCACTGCACCTCTAGTCCTGTCTCTCCGGTCCCTTGATCTTTCCTATATCCATCTCCTTCTTTTAATTCAGATCATCTCTTGCTGAACAGTTGCACCAGATGTCTCTCTGCTTTCAATCTTGTCTCTTTCAACCCATCAACCAAATGGCCACCATTGGCCATCTTTACCAGCTTAGGTCATGTTCTGTGGCTCTTGGCTTAACTTCGTCCTTCCCTATTGCCTAGAGGATGGCATTCTCTCTGTTAATGGAGCAGAGCATTTCACAGCCTGGTTCCCTACCCCTAGGTGTTCCTGCTCTGCTTCTGCAGGTGCCCAGCCAGAGGAGCCCACCTGTCCTCCCGGAAGAGATGGCCCCTTTCACTTGAGATTCCAGGAGATTGCCCAGGGAGAAGGTGTGGAGGGAGGGGTTTTGAGAAGGAATATGAAGCCTCCAGTGGTGAGCAGTACCAGCAAGACAACCAAGAAGAGGCAGTTGGGTTGGTCAGTTAGGAGGTCTTGTCATCCATCTTGGGGTTGGCAGAGCAATAGAGACAGACATCACATCACCATGGGAAGAGAAGAGAATAAGAGGAAGAAGTGGAGATGAGAGGAACAGGTCACCTCTTCCAACTATGAAGGGAAAGAGGTGGATGAGTGGAAGTGACCCGTTTGGACTGGTCTTTTTTTATGTAGCTAATATTTGGCCTGTGCTTTTCTGGATCAGGCCCTGATGAGCATTTTGTCAACAATATCTCCCTGAAACCTTAAGAGAACATCCTAGGGTTGACGTGGTTTTGCCCACTATACAGAAGAGCTTCAAAAGATGAAGGCACTTTCCCAAGATGGGGGGCAGAGCTGGGATTTGTGTCCCATTCTGTTGCCCTTCAGAGCCTCACTTTCACCACTGTCCTTGTCTTCCCTGTAGTCATGAGGGGAAGAAGGAGGTGGAGGGCTGCCTGCAGTTAGGGAGCTGGGGCAAAGGCACCAGGGAGGCTCCCGGTGCTCAGATAGGACTGGAAGTCTGGGACACATCATTTTTCAGAGGGGGAAGAGGCCAGGGAAGAGAGAGGCTATTTTTAATAGCCAAATAGATATGAGCCCATTAAAAACCAGGAGGAAAGGAATAAAATGTTTAATAAAATCTTTAAGTATCTGAGTGGAGGACCTCTCTAAGCTGAAAAGCAAGGAAATGACACCAAGAAGAGAAAGGCCAACAGCGAACAGGGATAAGTGATGGCCTGTGTCCCAAGTGGCCTGGAGTGGACGGCACTAGATGGACAGATAGGGGCTTAGCCTTGGATAGCAAGCATGCAACGACCCACCCACCCAAACCTGGGAGGCTTAGCACTCGGCAGGTGACCTCATCTGTTCTCAAGCCATCACTGGGAGGTACTCAATAAATATTTGCTGGGGTGAAATAACTGAAATGGGAAATTAGATCAAAGAGGAAAAATACCAGCATTAAGCTATTGATGATACAAGAAGTGTCCAGGTGCCGTGGCTCACGCCTATAATCCCAGCACTTTGGGAGGCCAAGGCGGGTGGATCACCTGAGGCCAGGAGTTCGAGACTAGCCTGGCCAACATGGCAAAACCCCATCTCTACTAAAAATACAAAAAATTAGCTGGGCATGGTGGCATGCACCTGTAACCCCAGCTACTCGGGTGACTGAGGCATACGAATCGCTTAAACCCGGGAGGCGGAGCTGCAGTGAGCCGAGATCATGCTGCTGCACTCCAGCCTCAGTGGCAGAGCGAGACCCTGTCTCAAAAAAAAAAAAAAAAAAAAAAGATGATAGAGGAAGGCCAGGAACCACCCTTGGCTAGTTAAGTTGGGCTGCCTGGAGTATTGAGAATTGACACCTACATGGTGGCCAGTACTAGGATGACCAACCTCTCCTATGGGCACAGTTCTGTACAGTTTACAAGGGTTTTTTTTTTCTTTCTTTTTTTTTTTTCGGTGGGGGCGGGCCTCACATACTCATGGTATTACCCATTTAGGGTCTTGAGGTTTGAGGACCCTATGTAGACTTACCCTCAGTCTGTTGGGTGAGTTTGCTTCTATCATCTTGGATTCTTGATTATCCCTATTTTTTAGAGGAGAGAACAAACTTCAGTTCTTCCAGAAAGAACTGGCAAAAATAGGCCTGTACTCCTCTGACTTCACTGTCTTCTTTACGCACCATGCCACTTTCCTGAACAATATACAAGTTTACCATGTAATTATTTTAGAACCCAGGGTCCACATATTTTTGTGGTCAAGATTCGACGGGCAAAGTCCTCACACTGAGTTTTCCCAGCAAGGATGCTTTCCACTCACTTGCTGGATGGCTGTGGGTCACCTCCCCTCACTGGGCCTTGGTTTCCCCGTCTGTGAAATGAGGTAGTTGGATTAGATAATTCCACAGTTCCCTTCCAGCTCTAGCATTACCCTCAGATACCCTGGTGCCTAGAGCAGTAATTGAACAAGGAGGATGGGGACCCCAGGTTCTGGGTCAAGAACTCATCTTGCAGCATGGAGGAATCGTGATGATGGCTGCAGCCCCCAGAAGGTGAACTTGGCAGGAGCTGGCTGAGATGATTTTTCTGCTGATGGTGAAATGTGCTGGCAGAGTCTATACAGGTAGGTTGGTGTAGGTGAGGAGTGGGGTGGGCATTTTGTCTCTTGTGACCCCGAATAATGTTTCCTTGCAGAATTGGAAGCCTCTAGGACAGGTGGATGCCAGCTAGATTTAGCCATTCACATTGGCAAAGTAGGTGATCCATCTTTCCACACACTCTTCTGTCAGGCTTCCAGAAAGGCTTTCTGCTCCCATCCCTTAAACACCTCCCTGTGTTTCACTGTCACTGTGCCTGGAATCATACCTTCCTGTAGCCTTCCAGTTCCTGTTCAGGTGGTATGTGCTCTGAGAAGGCTGGGACCATAAATGCTGTAATCAGCCGGGAATAGCTAAGCTCAGAGCCAGAGCCAAGAAGGAAAGGGTTACCCAAAATTGAGGCATGAACTGTTGATTCACTAAAAAGAGAAAAAGTCCATTCCAACTTCACCTCAGAGCACACACCCAAATTCAAAAATTATTTTCAAAGGTCAAAAGGAAAAATGAGCCCATTAAAAACCAGAGGGAAAAGGAATATTTAACAAGTGACTGAATGAGGGAGCCCATTTAAGCTAAAAAGCAGCAAAATGACATCAAGAAGGCAAAGGCCAACCAATTTGACTACATTAAAACTAAATATTTTCAAAGTCAAGTAATATCACAAACAACCAAAAAGCAGAGTGGTTGCAGATTCTTAATGTATAAAAGAACACACCCAAAACTTTAATAGTAAAAGCAAAACAGGTAAGTGTGTGTAAGTCACCTGAATTGAGTTTACAGGAAAAGAAATGGAATTGACTGAAAAACTTTTTGAAAAAACATTCAACTTCACTAATAACCAAAGATCAACAATAAAAACAACAAGGAAATACAAATTTTCCCTAACAAATTAGGGGAAGAAATTTAAGAATACCCAATGTTCATGAGGATAGTGGAATAGGCACTGTTTCACACTACTGGGGGGAATGTGAATTGGTGTACACTTCTTGGAAAGTCGGAAGAAGAGAGAAGTTTTCAGAGAGAGTAAGTGGCCTGTAACTTTACTCAACATTTATTGAGTATCTACTTTGCGTCAGGCATGATGATAGGTTTTTAAATATTGGCCAGGCACAGTGGCTAATGCTTGTAATCTCAGCAGTTTAGGAGGCCAAGGCAGGAGGATTGCTTGAGCTTAGAAGTTCAAGACCAGCCTAAGCAACATAGCATGATCCTGTATCTATAAAAGTACACACACACACACACACACACACACACACACACACACACACCTGAAGATAAATATGATCCTTGCCCTTGGGAGTTCAAAGAGTTAAGAAAAACACACAGACAGACACTAAAATGATACATAGGAAGGAGAAGGCCAGAGAGGTGCCTGGGACATGGAAGCATGGGCAGCTGGGGTTGGTGGTGCAGGTGTGAAATTTCATGGGAATATCCAAGGAGGTTCCTAGAAGAGGTGACTGGATGGGTAGGAGTTACTCAAGTAGAAGGCAGAGGCAGAGGTGAGAGCCATCATGGATGAACTCAGACAGCTGGGGATTGCTGAAGCATGAAATGAGAGGCTAGGGGTGGAGAAAGCAGAACCAGATCACATAGTGTTACTATGTCTAATTTAAGACTTGGGTCTTCAATTGCAGCAGGGAGCCCCTGAAGCATTTTGTGCAAGCAGGTGCCATGGTAGGATTTCTCTTTTGAGGTGATTACTCTGGTTGCTTGGAGAAATTTGGAGGCGTGTGGGCCAGAGAGGAGATGATTGCCTTGGTCCAGGTGGGGTCCAGGAGGGATAAGGGTAGGGGCCAAGAGGATGGAAGGAAGTGGTCGGATCCAGGAGGTGAAATTGGGAGAATCTGCTGACTGGTTGGTTGCTGGTGTTAAAGAAAGACAGTAAAGGATACCTTTCCTGTTTTCTGTCGTGAGTGACTGGGTGAATGGAAGAACACCTAGGAGAAAGAGCAGGTTTGGGGGCTAAGAGAAAGTTATTGAGCTCAATTTTGGACAGGTTGAGTCAGAGGTGGGCATCCAGGAGGAGGTGGCCTGCAAGGAGCTAGATAGAGGGTCTAGATCCAGCAGGAGATTTAAACAAGAGATTTGGTTTGAGACTATGGTCATTGTAGCCATGGGCTTTGGTGAGCTGGCTCTAGCAGAACGTGTCAGCTGAGAAAAGAGGGGTCCAGGAACAAGAAAGAGCCTTGCCCCCATTTAAGGGGTGGGCAGAGAGAGGGGAGCCCACAAAGGTGAAAAAGAAGTCAGAGAGACATAGAAAAAGCACCTGTAGCCTATGTTGGCATGGAAACCTGGGGATGTGGAGCACTTCCAAAAGAGAGCCAACAGACAAAAGAGAAAGGCCAGCTAGACAGGGACCGAGAGCCCACTGGATGTAGTAATTAGGGGCCACTAGACCCTCATCAAGAACAGTTTCCTGTGAGAGATGGGGCAGAGGAAAATGAAAGGGCAAGGAAAGCAGGCAGCATGGCCACCTCTCAGGGAAAGCTGCTAGAGTAACAGTTTGGGCCAGGGGACAATTTCTGAGCTGGCTCTGGACTGAGATGACCTAAGGATAGATGTGATAGAAGCAGTCCAGAAGGCTATCACCTAGAGTCCTCCCACCTGTCTGAGTCAGAGGCAGGAGCAAAGGGCGAGGGTGGGCAAGGAAGGAAAATGTGCATAGCTGGCATCAAGTAGGAAAGTGTATGTACCTGTACCGGTTGGGAGCTCACCAAAGAAGGGTGAGCATCTCAACAGGGATAGATGAAGAACCAGAGATGCACTCAAAGAAGGACAAGGCCAGAAACGAGTTCGTGACATTTTAGGAATGGGTACAGGAAGAGAGTCCTGCTGAGGAGACTGAGAAGGAGGGGCCAGAGGAGAAGACCAAAAACATGGGGTTCCTAGAAGCCAGAGGACAGTTTCCAAAAGGACAGAGTGGCCACTGGTGGGCCACATGCACAGAGGTCAGTGGAGGCTCAGGCATCTCCTAGACCTGGCCTTTGGGGACTTTTGTCACAGCAACTTTGGGGCACGGGGCAGAAGCTCCTCTTGGTGTGGGGGGAATGAACTGGGTCTGGCTGAGAAAGGAGGGAGGGGGAGTTGGAGCAGGCAGTGGGTCCAGGAAGGAGCTAATTCTTCCAGGAGACATGGGAGGGAGGAAGCAGTACAAGCCCAGTTGGAAGGGCAGGGCGGGGCAGTGAGAGGGGCCCTGGAGCTCTGGGATTAAGTGTAGAGGTGAAGGGATTAGCAGTGTTGGTGAAAAGGGACAAAAGTAAATTATGTACATTTTAGCAAGTAACCTGATCTCCATGTTCTTTGGGAGGCCTTTTCTCTGCCCTCTGGGTACTGACTCCAGCTCTAATTAGCACGGGTTTGTCTGCCTCGTGGCTAGGGCCATGTCTTTCTCATTTTCTTGTACCTTTCAGCACCTAGCAACAGGCAGCCAGCTAGGTAGGGGCAGAATAATTATTTTCTGCTTGAAATCCAGTGTCTGAAATAGAGATTCAGAAATTTTTCTTTGTATCAAAAAGACTTTGTGACAATATCCAGGGAGCAATGAAATAGGTAAGGTCCAGGTCACAGGCTTGAATGGGACATTCAGGGTCTCAGTAGCAGTTCTATTTGTTGGTATTGCCTAGACATCAAAGAATTCTATTTCTTCGCTATTTGGACAGAAGTCAAAGTCCAGAGAGAGGCTTGGTTTAGCTGGCTG
This sequence comes from Homo sapiens, assembly GCF_000001405.40. Classification (NCBI taxonomy): domain Eukaryota; kingdom Metazoa; phylum Chordata; class Mammalia; order Primates; family Hominidae; genus Homo; species Homo sapiens. Next base: position 37,505,429 of record NC_000020.11, on the reverse strand, counting down.
AGCTTGGGCCTTGTGCCATCCCCGATAGGACCTGGGTGGTAAGAGGCAGGACCTGGAGGAGGGGCCTCCATAGCTTCCATGTGAGAGAACGGCCCAGGTCCCACCACAGCCACATAAGATAGAAAATTTCCCTAAAAGTAATAAGGGGCTTCAGGGAGGAATAAGGCATGCTAAAAAGCCAAAACTCCCAGATATCCATTAGAAGAAGTAGCCAGTTCAGAGGCAGGAGACTTCCAGGTAAGAGAGGGGAAGGCCTGAAGTAGACCAGTGGGGATGGAGAGAGATCAGAACTTGTGGTAGATAAAAACCAGAAATAATTAGTGAGTACTTATCTGTGAGAGTGAGAGAGAAGGTCAAGCCAAAGGTAATTCCCATGTGTCTTGGTTTTGTTTGTTTGTTTGTTCGTTCATAGAGACAGGGTCTCACCATGTTGCCCAGGCTGATCTCCATCTCCAGGGCTCAAGCAATCTTCCCACTTTGACCTCCCAAAGTGCTGCAATTACAGGCATGAGCCACCATGCCCAGTCCCGTGTATCTTGAGTGGAGTCCTGGGTGGATGGTGGGGAGGCCCCTGGGGTGGGGAACACAGCATGGAGAGCCAGTTTGAGGGACAGGATAGTGGACTCAGACACAGCCAAGTGGGGCCCAGCAGACACTTAGATCCTGGTGTCCAGGGCTCAGGAAGAGATTTAGCTGGAAGCACTAGCCCAGGGCTGTCACCACTCAGAGTAATGGGGACCCTAAGCATAAGTGAGATTACCAGGGAGAGTGTGTAGAGAAAAAATGGGAGAGGGCTCAGGTCAGAATCATGAGTCATAGTGACATTTGAGGAGCCAGGTGTGGGCAGGCAAAAAAGGAGAAATAAAAGGAAGGGCCTGAGAGATGCGACAAACAACCAGGAGAGGGGGTTGCCATGACAACCAAGTTAGGGAAGAGTTTCAAGGAGAAAGTAATCAACACTGTCAAATGCAGCAGAGAATTCCAATAAGATAGAGAATTTTTCCTTTGGATTTCATAATTAGTAAGTTTTGATGGCCTTAATAAGAGCATGTTGAGGGAGTGATGGCCTAGGCTGGAATAATGGTGAGATGTGAGAGGACATGGATCTGTCACTAGGAGTCCTCTAAGGAGTCCAGAAGGGAGATTTGGAGATGTGAAGGGTAGGGGCTGGGAGGCTGAGGCTAGGAAAGATGAGCAGGTGTATAGGCTCAGCTCCCAAAGTGTTAAGCATCCATTGTTTAATACGAAAGTTGATACATTCCACATAATTCTCTTTTAGCACCTAATTGTGTGCCCAGCCCAGCAGTGTGCCTAGCACTGTGGATACTTGGGTGAATGAATTAAAATAGTCAGAATCCCTGTTCTCATGGTGGTAGGGGAGAAAGACATAGTCAGATAATCACATATGTAAATGTACAATTTCCAACACTGATAGGCACTCTGAAGGAATGGTACTGAGTACTGAAGGGTGTGCCACCAGGGGACCTGCCCTCATCTGACTCTGGGAGGCTTCCCTGAGGAGGTGATCCTCCAAACCAAGATAGAAAGAAGAGAACAAAGTTGACCACAAAGCAAATTGGAAAGCATTCTGAGCAAAGGGCCTGACTAGAGAGGAAGGAGAGGTGAGACCAGAGAGACAAGCAGTTCTGGCTATACAGAGCATTGGAGACCAGGGCTGAGCTCCTGCCAACATCCTGAGAGCGAGGGAAGCAGGGGATGTGACCTGCCCTGGTATGTTGCTGTAATCTGCCTGGGACTCTGGCTGTTCTGTGGAGAAATCATTAGAGCAGCATGGGTAGACAGGGAGGCTAGTTCGGAAGCTTTGTTGTAGTGGACAGGATTTGGACATGATCTGCATATTCTGGTTAGTCTTGGTGCTGGATGGAATGAAGAGGGGCTGGAAGAGGGCAGCGTTCAGGATGACCCCTGAGCTTCTGGTTTGCCTTACTGGTGAGATGGCAATGCCATTTTCAGAGCTGGGGAGCCCTGGAAAGGGGCCAGGTCTGTAAGGTAGACCCCAAGTCCAGTGGTAAAAGCTGAGACATCCCAATGCAGATGGAGAAGAAACAGCTGAAGGCACAGCTCCAGAGCACAAGGTGAGAAATTATGGAGACCAGTCCAGGGCTCCAGGGGGCTCCCAAATGGAAATATGGATCCAGATGTTGACAGGCTTCTGGGGCATTTTTAGGCGAGGGGATGGCTGAGGACAAAAAAATCAAGCCCAAGGAGCACCAACATTTGGAGATTAGAAAAGAGAAGAAGAATCCTCTGAGAGCACTGAAAAGAAAGAGCCGGGAGGTGTCTCAGCAGAAAGACAGGGTGGTCAGCAGTGGGTGTGTGCAGAGAGGTCAGGAGGACCAGGGCAATCCCTGAACTACTCCAGTGTGCACCTGCACAACCTCCATGGTGCCTCTGGAATTGGGTAGCATGGTGGCCCTGCTGATGAGCACCCCAAGGGGCCATTGGGGGACCTCTGAGAATCTCTGCCAGAGCAGTTTGGGTGGGAGTCGATTAAGGAAAGAAGCAGCAAGATCCAGGACTTTTAATCTTAAAAGAGAGAGAAATGCTGGCAGATGAACATTCTGAGGATAAGGAGCCTGAGTAATTGAGCGATTAGGGATGGAGACAATTAGTGAGATGAGCTCCCAAAGGGGCTGGGATCAACTATGGAGGTGGATAAATTAGTTTGGGGCAATAATGTGTATTTGACTGAATGGGGCAAAATTAAATTATGTACCTTTTAGAGAGTAACTTGATCTCCATGTTCTTTTGGGAGCTTTTATCTGACCTGTGTACCGACTATAGTTCTAATTAGCACCAGTTTTATCCTGTCTTTTGGCTGGGATTATGTCTTATTATTTTGTGTGTTTCTCAGCACCTAGCAACAGGTAGTAAGCTCCTTGGGTGCCGAATCAGTATTTTCTGCCTTGGAATCAAATGTCAGAAGTCAACACTCAAACTTCTTTTGACCAAAAAGATTCTACGACAATTATCCAGAAGTTACAATGCAAGGAAGAAGAATTGGATGTTAAGTCTTGCGTAGCAGGGGTTATGGGGAGTGGATCAAGACAAAGTAGAGGTATCTGCTCCCCTCATCCTTGTAAGCTCCATGCCATTTATCCATGCTCACATTGATCATCTCATACGAGCTTCACATTTCCCCACAAGAAATGGAGCGTAACCCCATTACCTACTCATAGAGGAGGAACTGGAAGCCAGAGAGGGAGATGCCTTATTGACACAGAGCACAAGTGGCAGGAGCTGGCTTCAGACCTCAGTCCATCCGGTGTGGCAGTCCCTCTTCCCAGGACCAGGTGGAGCTGGAGAGAAGGAGGAAGAGGAGTCTGTGAGGTCCAGATGGAGATGCTCGGCAGGCCCTTTCCAAAGGTGGGAGGTGAGGTCGGCCTGGAACCCTACTGGATGCTTAAGTGTCCTGCCGCACTGCTGATGAAAGCAGGTCCCCACCGCAGTGTATATACATTGTGTGTTTGCATCTAAAACGTCTATAGTTGTTTGAAATGTTTAAATCTTTAACCCATCTGAGATGTGTTTTCATGTATGGTGTGACACAGAGCTCTAATTTGCTCTTTTTGCAGATATCCAGTTTGCTAAGCACCATTTATTGTTCCAACACCATCTTTTCTCTCAATTCCCTGTCTAGACTCCGGTTCTGTTGATCTATTTGTCTATTTCTGAGCCAATAGTACATATTAATGAGCAAAGCTTAATAAAGTGTCTTATGGCTTGATAAGATAAGCACTCCACCCTTCCCCCAAGGCCTTTATTCCTTTTTTTTCTTTTTGAGACGGAGTCTTGCTCTGCCGCCCAGGCTGGGGTTCAGTGGTGCAGTCTCCGCTCACTGCAACCTCCGCCTCCCAGGTTCAAGTGATTCTCCTGCCTCAGCCTCCTGAGTAGCTGGGACTACAGGCACGCGCCACCATGCCCGGCTAATTTTTGTATTTTTTGGTGCAGATAGGGTTTCACCATGTTGGCCAGGCTAGTCTCAAACTCCTGACCTCAAGTGATCCACCCATCTCGGCCTCCCAAGGTGCTGGGATTATAGGCATGAGCCACCGTGCGCAGCCCCTTATTCTTTTTTAAAATTGTCTTGGTCATATTGCACATTTACTTTTTCAGGTACATTTTATAATCAGCTTGTCAAAGTTCTGTGAACAAAATGTCTGTTGGAAGTTTGAGAAGAATTGCATTGAAGGGGAAATTAACATCTTTAGAATATAAGTTCTTCCCATCTGTGGACATGGTGTCTGTCTCTTTTTAATCAGAATTGTATTTGTTTTGTTTTGTTTTGTTTTTAATGCCTTTTAATAAAGGTTGGTTGCTTTTGTCATAAAGATTTTTCACAGTTCTTAATAGGTTTATTCCTGAAAACCTTATTAGTTTTGTTGCTTTTGTGAGTGGAAAAACTTTCCCTTTTTTCATTTTGCTTTCCAAATTTTAATCAGTTTACTAATCACTATGCTTCATTCACAGACACACACACAGCAAATGTGCTTTGTCCCTGGGCACACAAATGAAAACACAGCACACATGTAAATCAGAGCTAATTGGCTGAAAATGAATTAGAATTTTTGAATTAAATTTTAATTATACAAGTAATACATGAATACATTTTCCTTTAAATAAAATTAGAGCATTTTAGGTAAAGAAGTCTCTACTGGCCTCCCCAGCCTGACCTCAGGCCCCTTCCCCACTTTAGAGGCAGCTGCTGTTAGGCATTTGCTGTTGATCCAAAATGTTCTCCTATGCGCATTGAAACATGTCCTGTGTTCTATTGTTGCTTTTGTTTGCTTGCATAGATGTGGTGGTGTACACACTGGAGGTGCTGCTCCTGAGCTCAGGGCACCTTACGGGACTCTCCTCATGTCGCGTGTCACCTGCCGCAGCTGGCTCCACTGCCCCTTTCAGCTGGCCGCTGGCAACCAGAACTGATTGTGCTATGATTTATTTAGTTGTTGCTTATTGATCGACTATTAAAAGGCTTCCAGTCTTGTTTCAATAAGACAAACCTGTAACAGCATCCTTGTACATGCCACTTTTGCTCATGTACAAGTGTTTTTCTGGAGCAGATACTTAGAAACAGAATTGATGGGTCATAGAGTCTACACATCTTAAATTCTAATAGTAACTGCTAAAATGTTCTTCAAAGTACCTTTCTGATTTAATTTCATGCCAGCAGTATGTGTGTCCATTTCTCCAGACCATCTCCAAGTTTTACATTTTAACCAATCTGGTGGGTGAAAAATAATATCTTGTTTTAGTTTGCATTTTTCTGAATTACCAGGATGGCTGAAGTCTGTGTCTCCTATCCATTTATATTTCCTTCTCTGCATTACTTGTCCAAATCTTTTGCCCATTTCTTTTTTTTAGGGTACGTTGTCTTTTCCTTATTGATTTTTTAGAAGTTCTTTATGTATTTTGTATACTTTATGTGTATTGCAAATATTTTCTGTATTGTGATTCTTGTCATTTAATTGTATTGTGTCTTTGGAGAAATCTTAAATTTTGATACAGTCAAATCGATCTATTTTAATTTTATGTCTTTTTTTCAATTTTATTTAAGAAAGCCTTTCCTGTACTGAGGTCATAAGCATTTTTCCTGTATTTCTTCTCTAACATTTATCATTTACATATATGTGTGTGTGTGTGTGTGTGTATGCCTTTTTTACCACATGCAAAAAATAAATTCCATATGCATACATGAATCTTAGGATCTAACTTTAGTTCCCTCTCATCTCCCCAACAATGGTTAAATAATTTTAGTCCCAATACTACTTGTGGAGTTCTATATCATTTCCCCACTAATTTAAAATTGCTACCTTTGTCCGATACTAAATCCCAGTAGGAAATCTGGTCCACTGATATATTTGTCTGCTCCTGAGCTTGATAATATGCTTTGCTAACTGGCAGGACAAATCTCACCCTCTTTGTTGTTTTTGCAAAATTACCTTGGTCATTCTTGCATATTAGTCCTACCACATGAATTTTAAAATAAGCCTTTCAAGTTTCGGGAAAATTTCTGCTGGGATTTTATTGGGGTTACATTGAGTTTATGGATAATTTTTTTTTTTTTTTTTTTTAGATGTAGTCGCGCTCTGTTCCCCAGGCTGGAGTGCAGTGGCATGATCTCAGCTTATTGCAACCTCCACTTCCCCAGTTCAAGTGATTCTCCTGCCTCAGCCTCCCAAGTAGCTGGGACTACAGGCGTGCGCCACCATGCCTGGCTAATTTTTGTATTCTTAGTAGAGACTGGGTTTCACCATGCTGGCCAGTCTGGTCTTGAACTCCTGACCTCGTGATTCACTCACCTCAGCCTCCCAAAGTGCTGGGTTTACAGGCATGAGCCACTGCACCTGGCCTGAGTTTATGGATAAATTTAAGGAAAACTGACATCTTTATCATATAGAGTCTTCCTACCACGGCACATTGCTCTATTCTCAATTCAGGTCATCTTTTACATCTTTCAGGACAGTTTTATGGTTTTCTCTGGTTAAAGTCTGACATATTTCTTGTTGAATTCATTCCTAGGTATATTATAGGTTTTGCTGTTAACTGTGAATAGGTTGCCCTCTGCTCTTATTTGTTTGGCCCTTGTTTTTTCATATCCCATTTCAACCTGTTTACTAATCACTGTGCTTGATTCACAGACACACACAAAGTAAACGTTCTCCCTCTCTGGGCACAAAAATTTGAGCACAGCCAGACGCACAGAGGCAGCATAATTGGCTGAAAACAAATTAGAATCTTTTCAAATTATACTTTAATTAAACAAGTAAAGTGTGCATACATTCTCCTTTTTAAAAGTAGGACAATATGAATATAACTGTAGTCCCCTTTGGCCACCCTCTGGAGTCCTCATTTCCCACCCCCTCCACAGTTTTATGTATCTCCATCCATAGTAACACATAGTCCTGATGTATTTTCAATGAGTCATACCACATTATAGCGATTTTACTATAAGCTGCAGGTTTTTTTCACTCAGTGTTACATTTTTACAATATACTCCTATTGCTACACATAGCTTGCTTTTGCCTTTAATAGCTATGTTGTATTCATTCCCATGAATGTACCACATTTTATCTTCTGTAAGCTCCATGGACATTTAATTGCTTCTTTTTCTTTCCTCCATCATGAGCAGTGCTGCAGAAACCACATTGCATGTTCCTTTGTGGTGGGATATCTCTGGGAGTGATTGGGAAATGGAATGTTGGGTCTTAATATGTCCACAGTTTTAGTTTTAGCAGATACTACCACTGTCCTCCATGATTTCTGTACCATTTAAGCTTCCAGCCAGAGGGTATGAGAGGGCTGTAATCCCCACACCCATAGGCGGTTGTTTTAAATATTTGCCAATCTCATGGGTGAAAAATTGAATCCTTTTTAAAATTTGTATTTTCCTGTTTGCTTGTGAGATTTTCATATGTATATTGAGCATTTGTATTTTCTCTTTTCTGAATTGCCTGTTATTTTTTCTCATTTTAAGCATTAGGTTGTCTTTATCCCACTGGCTTGTGGAGTTTTGTAATATAATCTGGATATTGATCTTTTGTAGATATGTGACAAATATTTTCTTCCAGCTTGTCATTGCCTTTAACTCTTTGTAGAATCTTTTGTTAGAAGTTATTAGTTTTGACATAATCCAATTTATCAATCTTTTCCTTTGATCCTTTTTTATACAGATACCATGTTTAGTCCTTCCCTACTCCTAAGATTTAAATATATTATTTCTTCTTTTCTAATAATTTTATAATTTTGTTTTTATTTGGTTCTTTATGCATCTGGAATATATTTTGATTATCATATTGATATATGATCTAACCTTTCTCCAAACGGGCAGCCAATTATTGCAGTATGAGGGGTTGACTAGTTCTTCCTTTCCCCTCTGACCTGAAGTAAAACTCCCTGATATTCTGAGTCAGGTGTGTCTGAAGCCCCTGTTTTTCCCAACAATCCATTTATTCCTTTCAGTACAAGACTGTTTTCTTTGCTGTCCCACCTTTTGGTATCTGTGAAGTCAAATGCCATGTTTCGTTGTGCTTCCTTCTCAGCTCTCTTAGCTAACTAGTACCGCACACTAACTCCTCCACATGAATTGTAAAGCCAGCTTGTCAAGTTGGAGAAATTGACATCAATACAATACCGAGCCTTTGAATTCATGAATACAGTAGAGCTCTACGTTTATTCTTATTATCTTGTATGTCCTTCACTCATGCACTGTTGTTCTCCCCATAAAGAACTTGCCCATTTCCTAATGGGTTTATTCCTATACTTTTTATTATTGTTGTGAATTAGTTTTCTCCAGCCCCCTTTTTTGTTTTGCTTTTGCTTGCTACATTTCTTTTTCATCTGCTTACTAATCACTCTACTTCATTCACAGGCACACACAAAGTAAATATTCCTCCTCCCTGGGCACAAACATGCAAGCACATCCAAACACACGGAGCCCACGTTATTGGCTGAAAATAAATAGTAATTTTTTAAAAAATTGAAGTCGAATGACACAAGCAAAACATGAATACGTTCCCCTTTTTTAAAAAAGAGAACATTGCAGATGAAGCTGGAGTCCCTTTTGGCCACCCACTGCCACCCTATTCCCTTCCTCCTCTCCAGAGGTAACCACAGTAATGGGCTCAATGTGGACTTTTCTAGACGTTTCTAAAAACTTACATATATAGATACCCAGAGGAAATATATGGTATACTTAAATAATGAAAATGTTATCTTTCTAGTTTTCATTAATATTCAACTTTTGTATTGACCTGAATTTTATTATGGTTGCAGAATAGAATGTCAACATTATCATCTGTCACAATGTGAAAGTAAAGATATAAAAGTTGGGAGGTAGCAGTGAAGGGAAGAGGGTAGGAAGGTTGACAGGGACAATAGTGGGGAGGCAAGAGCTTCTGTGGACATGTGGTAGAATAAGGAATGAAGGGGCAAGTAGGTTTCTTAAAAAGATAACCAACAGAGGTACTTAAAGACTGTGTTAGGAGAGGTAGGGATAGAGGGGAGTAGTTTCCAAGTGACCCAATGCCTAATCCACTGGGACATCAGTGGATCTTATGAACTAGAAATGGGGTGTAGCAGATGCTGTCTAGAGGGCTCCCATGACCCAGTTTTGACTTGGGACTTGTAAGGGGATATCTTCAGGCAGTTTCAGGGAAACACTTTCCTCCCTAATTAAAGAGATGCATGTGGGGCCAGGCACAGTGGCTGTCGCCTTGTAGTCCCAGCACTTTGGGAGGTTGAGGCGGGCAGACTGCTTGAGCCTAGGAGTTCGAGACTAGCCTGGGCAACATTGTGAAGCCCCATCTCTACAAAAAATACAAAAGTTAACCAGGCGTGGTGGCATGCACCTGTGGTCCCAGCTGCTCAAGAGGCTGAGGTGAGGAGATTGCTTTAGCTTGGGAGGTTGAGGCTTCAGTGAGCTACTACCATGCCATTCTACTCCAGCCTGGGTGGCAGAGTGAGACCGTGTCTCGAAAAAAGAAAAGAAAAAGAGGGATGCACTTGGAGAAGTTTCTTGGCTGCCCCCTTTCTTTCTGCCTAGGTGCTGTTGAGTGAAAACATAGTGCTTGGAGCCCTGACAGCTATCTATCTTGTGACCAGGAGGGGAAGGCCAGGAGACTCATGGTTCTCTGTTCACTCAGATCTCAGATACCTGGAACCACTGACTTTTGAACTTTTCATTACTTGAAATAAATGTTCTTGTTGCTTAGCCACTTTTAGGTGATATATTACGTTCTGGTGAAAGCATTCTTCCTAATACAAGCTGAGAGCTTACAGCTAGGAGACAACCTCCAGGAGCAGAGATCACACACTCTCGGGTAAGAGTTTGGGGTTGGGAGAGGGTCCATCCCGAACTTGCTGCTCTTCATCAAAAGCCCTTCTATTCTCTTGGATTAAAAAAAAAAATTCTGATAAGCCAGGCACATCATGCACCTGTATTCCCACCTACCTGGGAGGCTGAGGCAGGAGGATCACTTGAGCCCAGGAGCTCAAGGCTGCAGTGCGCTGTGATTGTGCCTGTGAATAGCCACTGCATTCCAGCCTGGTCAGCAGAACCAGGCACTGTCCCTAAAAACAAACAATTCTGATAACAAGTGTGTCAAGATGTGAACAGTGGTTGCCTCTGGGTACATTTGGATACTTTGCAGTTTTCTAAGATGTTGTCAAATGTTCTTAGGAGCTGACACATAAGAGAAGCTAAGTTTTGACTCCAGAAAAGGAAAGGCCCACAGCTGGTGAGACTGCCCAGGTGAAATCCTAGATGGATTCAAGGGGCGTTAGAGCTGGGGATGAGGAGCAAGCTGTGGGTGGATCTCACCTCACCTGATCCTGGAGGGCCAGCAACCTTCCTGGGTTCTTAAGGGAACTGCAGGGAGTCCAGCCGATTTGAGACACACAGGGTTGGGGGCATGGGTGTGGCAGGAGGGAGATCAGTGACAGATCAGGCTGGCTGCACCTGCAGTGCTGCTGTGTCATGACAAGAAGTGAGCTTCTATCCAAGGGTAATGAGGAACCAGTGGCCGTTTTTTCTTTTGTTTTGCTTTTTAATGGACGGAGTCTCACTCTGTTGCCCAGGCTGGAGTGCAGTGGCATGATCTCGGCTCACTGCAATGTCTGCCTCCCAGGTCAGCGATTCTCCTGCCTCAGCCTCCCGAGTAGATGGGATTACAGGCGTGTGCCACCACGCCCAGTTAATTTTTATATTTTTAGTACAGACAGGATTTCACCATGTTGGCCAGGATGGTCTCGAACCCCTGACCTCAGGTGATCTGCCCATCTTGGCCTCTCAAAGTGCTGGGATCACAGGCGTGAGCCACCATGCCTGGCCGTGGCTGTTCTTAAGCAGGGAGACAGGTGTGATCACTTTCATTTAGTTAAGTTTCTTTGCCAGTGGAAGAAGCTCAACTGAAACCAGCTCAGGCACAGAAGGAACTTAATTGGCTTCTATACGCAAACCACAGGCCAAGCTAGGTTCAGTTGACCTTCCGGTCCCCCGGGGCCAGGGACTTAACTGGCAGCCTGCCCCTCTCCCATCTCCATGTCTCCACGTCTCTTTGCCTGCCAGCTCCCTCTCTCAGGGATGCCTCTTCCACACACTGGCGTTCGTGACTGCCAATGTTTCACACCTCTCAGGTTCATGACCACAAAGAGATCGAGGTAGGAGCGCAGGAACTTGGTTAAGCATCAGGGCTACTTGCTTACTCATTGTTTTGTCTAATTTCTCTGTCTTCAGTGTCCTCACATAGGAAATGGGGATAACAACAGCACCAGCTTAATGCTGTGAGGGTCAAAGGAGATGATGTCCATCAAGTACTTACCTCGGGGATGGACACTAAGTGCTCCATACATGTTATGAGCTCTCTCTGTTCCCAAGTCCAGAAATCTAGACAAAAGCTTCCATTGGCCCAGTTGAGTTGGGGTTCACCTCTGGCAAATCAATGATGGCCATTAAAGTGGGTTGTGCAATAAATGAGAAGGTGAATTTCAAAGCAAATAGGTTGGGGTGCAGAATGATTTCCAAGAAGGATTGGCGCAGTTCTAGAAAAAGAACAGAGGTCATCCCTCTGGCTGCCAGCAGAAAAGGGTTTGATCAGGCCCCAACAGCCTGGAGGTAGGGAAGTACCTAAGAGGCACCACAGTTGTCCAGGTGAGAAATAACGCAGGTCTGAGCTAAGCAACAGTGCAGATGGAGAGAAGGCGGAGGCAAGAGAAGTTTTGGAGGTAGAAATAGGGGGCATGGTGCCAAGTGCACGGGAGAGATGAGACAGAATGAAAGGTTGAAGGTGGCCCCAGGTGCTAGCCCAGAAACCTACAAACAGAGCCTCTCCAAAATGTTGCTTCATTACTCAGGTTAACTCTTCCCAACACCACTGCCACTCCATTCTGCTCAGTAGCACAAACTTAGTTGAAGGTAAACCCAGCCACATCTGGACATTTCAAAAGACTATCTTAAGTAGATTCTTGGTCCACTTCCAGCTCCTCTGCTTCCCACTGCTCCTTCTCCTTGTGGGTAGTCAGTGTTCTGGGAGCTTCTATTCTGACCTGGCACCAGGGGCATACAAGTGATTCAGGTCTGCCAGCAACTATCCACTGCCATCCACTGAGCCACAGAATCCCTACTAAATCTTTGTCCTGACCATGAGGCACCTCCAAGTCCACCGGCTACACTCACCCTCTTCTCTACACCCTCACCATCACCACCGTGTTACAAAGACAAACAGGACCCTGGAGGACACCTCCCAGCCACCTTCTCCCACCAGGGGTCCTCAGCCTCTCTCCAGCCCATGCCAGGAGCTTGTGTTCTCTCAGGCAACACCTGAGGAGCCAGGCAACAGTCCCTTCTGCTCTGGGATACCTCAAATTTACTCTGGGAGCTCTAGTATCTACTATGAGCTACATCTCTTTGTGATTCCTTTATTCCCACTAGCTGGTCAAACTTTTATTTCCTTTTAGGCAGAAAAACAGCTTCTGTATTCTTCCCTGTTTACCATTCTGGCATCAATTTCAAGTGCTCAGTCCCTCAAGCTCTTTCCTCTTTACAAAAGCCCGGCTACTGCAACAAAGCATCCTGTCTGCTGTAAGTTTCAAGAGACTCTTTGAAACTACTGACCATCTTTCTCACTGCATTCATGCTGCAACAACCCAAATCCTGCAAAGCTCTGACTGAATCAGGAAAAAGTGACCTTGGTAGCTAGTCTCCAAAGATGGCCACCACCAATACTTGCCTTCCTGCGATATATATCATACTCCTTGTATCAGGAAGAGAAGTGTAATTCCCTCCCCATGAATCTAGGCTGGCCTTAGTGACTTTCTTGGCCAATAGAATATAGCAGAAGGCACATTCTGGGATTTGTAAGACTAGGTCGCAGGAAGCCTTATGGCCTCTGCCAGGCCTCTTGCAATGCTTGGCCTTGGAACACTCCCTCCTACAAGCCAGCTGCCATGCTATGAGAAGTGCAGGTCCTGTGGTAAATCCACATGTGGTCACTCCAGTCAACGGTCTCAGCAAGCCCCCAGCTGACTGTCAACTATGTGAATGAGCCTGCAGATGACTCCAGCCCCAGCTGCCATCTGACTGCAGCTGCATGAAACACTTAAGCAAGAACCACCTTGCTGAGCCCTATCAACCCCGGAACCATGAGGAATAATAAACTGTTTTTGTTTTTGTTGTTGTTGTTTTTGAGACAGGGTCTTTCTGTGTCATCTAGCCGGAGTACAGTGGCACAATCATGGCTCAATGCAGCGTCGGACCTCCTAAGCTCAGGCAATCCTCCCACTTCAGCCTCCCAAGTGGCTGCAACTATAGGCGTGCACCACTACACTTGGCTAATTTTTGTATTTTTGATAGAGATGGGGCTTCCCCATATTGTCCAGCCTGGTCTCAAACTCCTGAGCTCAAGTAATTTGCCTGCCTCGGCCTCCCGAAGTGCTGGGATTACAGGTGTGAGCCACTGCACCTGGCCAATAAATTGTGTTTGTAAGCCACTAATGTTTGGTGTAGTTTGTTGTGCACCAACATGGTGATGGGCAAGGAAGTGTGGTGGGGGGTGGGGAAGCACATCAAATAATATATAAAATATGATCCTACTACACAGCATTTAAATGGACCATCATAGTACAGTATGGTAAGTGCAGTAACGAAACATAAATATGCACAGAACTTTCCAGAAGAGGTGACCATTGGTCTTAGGGTGACTTATCTCCTTAGAGATGAGCAGGAATGAGCAAGCTAGAAGGAACTGGAAAGACCTTTTAAACAGAGGGAACAGCACAAGCATAGCCTTGGGAATGAGGAGCAGCAGGAGTGAGCTGGAGGGTATTTGGTGTTCCTGGACTATGACAAAAGAAGGAGGGGATGGGAAGAGCAAGATGAAGTGGACAGAGACCAGACCCTGCAGAGCCTTGGATGCCCCCATGTCAAGGAGTTTGGACACTGTCCTGCAGTCACTGGGCACTGTTGAAAGTTTTTACACTAGAGTGATGCATTCAGATTTGTTATTTGGGAAGACCACTGAGATGGTCAGTGTGAAGACTATATTTGGAAGAAGATAGTCTCTAGGCAGGGAGACCAATTTAGAAAATAAAGTCAGAAATGCATAAGGATTGTTGGCTGTTGGGGTGAGAGAGAGGGTAGAACCAAGGGTGATTCTCGTGTGTCTTTGGGTTCCTTGGCAGATGGTGAGGAGGTGCTTGAGATGGGGAACACAGCATGGTAGCCAGTTTGGGTGGGGGGAATGGGCTCAGTCTCAGAGAAGTAGAGATGAGGGGCCGGGGGTACAGCCAGGAGGAGGTTAGCAGACAGCTGGATGCCAGAGCTGGGACTCAGGAAGAAATCTGACTGGAGGGACCAACCTGGGGACAGAAGTTAATGGGACTCCAGGAATGAGCAAGACCATCAGGCAGAGAGTGTAGAGGGAAGATGGGAGGTGGAGAGTGTAGAGGGAAGATGGGAGAGAGCTCATAGCATCATGAGTCCCGGAGACATGTGAGGGGCTGACGGAGGTGTGGGTGGGTGACAAAGGAGAGAGGAAAAGGAAGGACCTGAGCAATGAGACAAATAACTAGGAGAGGAGGTTGCCATAGCAACCAAGATAGGGAAGAGTTTCAGGGAGAAAGTAATCACCACAGCTCGATGCCCCGAATCTCAGAAAAATAAGAAGCAGAAAGTCCTTTGAATCCAGCAATCGGGGGCTCCTATGAACCTTGGCAGGAACTGTTTTGGGGGCAAAGGGGTAAAAGCTAGCTTCCCCAGGGTCAACGGACTGAATAGGTGGAGGAGTGGCAGAACCTTCCTTAGAGAAGGTTGGATGACTAGGGAAGGAGTTGAATGGTAGCAAGAAAAATGTGAGCGATCAAGGGAGGGTTTTTGAAAACAGGAGAAACCCTAGAATTTCCTGGTCTTGAAAGAGGATGAGGATGAAAAGAAGAAAGACTTGTAAGTGAGCTGGGATCTATCCTCTGAGCCCGGCTGAAAGGAAACAAGTGGGTCTGATTGGAGATGTCTCAAGGGAAGAGAGCAAAGCATGGAAAAGACCTTTGTGGTGCACTTTCTGATCCTGAAAAAGTTAAAATTGATTATCAAATTCTGTAGGGTGGTTAAGAAAGGAAAAGGGTGCATTGAAATGAGTAGCTAGGAGGTCATTTGGTGACTGGTCCGGATAGCCTTTGCTGTCCCCTCCAAGAGCCATACTCTATCCTCCATCCTGTTCTGTGCCTGGGAGGCCAACCTTAATACTACCCAGACTCCATGCCTTCTGGCTTCTATAGAGGGTCCCTGACTTATGATGGTTCAACTTACAAGTTTTCAACTTTATAATGGGTGTACTGGGGGTATTAAAGCATTTAATGGGCCTGGCACAGTGGCTCAAGACTGTAAGTAATCCCAGCACTTTGGGAGGCCGAGGCAGGCGGATCACTGGAGGCCAGAAATTCAAGACCAGCCTGGCCAACACGGAGAAACCCCATCTCTACTGAAAATACAAAAATTAGGTGGGTGTGGTGGCGCATGCCTGTAGGCTCAGCTACTTGGGAGATTGAGGCACTAGAATCGCTTGAACCCGGGAGATGGAGGTTGCATTGAGCCAAGATCACTCCATTGCACTCCAGCCTGGGCGATAATGTGAGACTCTGTCTCAAAATAAAACAAAATAAAAGCATTTAATGACATGATATTTTTGACTTACAGTGGGTTAATTTGGATGTAGCCCCATCATAAGTCAAGAAGCATCTGTAGTTGAGTGTGACCAATGGAGGAAACAAGGAGACGCTGGAGAGAGGGAGGAGAGTGAGCTTCTCTGGCCACCTTCCTTTGGCTGTGGGTTGGCAGTGTCTGCATTCCTTTTCGTATGGCCACAGGTGGGGTCTCTTTCTGAAAGCAGCAGCTTTCTCTCCAGGTTCCGAAAGCCCATATCCTTCTCTCATCTCTTCAAACCTAGAAGTGTGATAGCTTCCAGCTGTTGCTCATCCCTGGGTGCTTGATCAACCCTGGAGCCTGCTACACTCTGTGAATGGTCCTTTCATTAAATTAGCTTCACTTTAATCCTTTGGAATGCACTGTCTCTCTCCCCTACCAGGTCCCCGGCTGAGTAAGTGAACTTGTCTAAGCTCTCTGGCCTTCACAGTGGGAGGGTACACAATGGTGAGCAAAAACAGCCCTAGGCCTTGCCTGTGTAGAGCTGCCACACCAGTGGGGGAGCCAGATGTTAATCAAGCCAGTAAAGAGACCGGGCACCATGGCTCACGCCTGTAATCCCAGCACTTTGGGAGGCCGAAGTGGAAGGATCACTTGAGGCTAGGAGTTCCAGACCAGTCTGGGCAGCATAGTGAGATGTCGTCTCTACTAAAAATCAAAAAAATTAGCCGAGTGTGGTGGCACGCACCTGTAGTCCCAGCTACTTGGGAGGCTGAGATGGGAGGATCACTTGAGCCTGGGAGATGAGGCTGTAGTGAGCTATGATTGTAGCTATGATGTAGAGAGCTACTGCACTCTAGCCTAGGTGACAGAGCAAGACTCTGTCTCAAAAAAAATTATTAAAAAAAAAAGTAAAGAAGTCCATAATTGTAAACTGTGATAGGTGGCATGGAGGAACCCTGCTATATCAGAGAACTAACATTCAACCAGGGGCATGGAGGTTAATGAGGATGAGAAGGACACATGAAGAAACAGCAGGGGTGAAGCTCCATGGAAGGAGGGTGGCATGTTCCAGGAGCCAGAAGGCCATTAGGGCTGAGGCACTTATCAGCAAAGGTGATTTTGACACAAGTGGCAGAAAACCTAACTCAAAAATGTTTAAACAGTGAGACATTTATTGTCACATATAATGAGAAGTCCCAAGGGAGACAAATGTAATGTCATTAAGGACCCATGTTCTGTCCATCCTTCAGTTCTCCCAAGCTCAGCATATGGGCTCCTGTCCCCACAGTCACAGGATGGCAGTAGTCACTCCAGGCATTGTGTCCACCATGCCAATGATCAGAAATGAAAGAAACGGGCAGATAATGAGGTCAGGAGATCGAGACCACCCTGGCTAACATGGTGAAACCCCCTCTTTACTAAAAATACAAAAAATTAGCCGGGTGTGGTGGTGGGCGCCTGTAGTCCCAGCTACTTGGGAGGCTGAGGCAGGAGAATCGCTTGAACCTGGGAGGCAGAGGTTGCAGTGAGCCAAGATCGCGCCACTGCACTCCAGCCTGGGTGACAGAGTGAACTCAGTCTCAAAAAAAAAAAAAAAAAAAAAAAGAATTTGCTTATGGCTGGAGGACAGTGAGTTGGAGCACCCAAGGGGGATGGAAGAGACAGACAGGGCAGAGCAGGTGAGTCTTGCAGGCCTTGAGAAAGAGACCAGAGTTGGTGCTAAGGCCCATGGAAGGTCACTGAAGGCTGGTGATATGAAAGAAAATGACATGATCCTATTTACATCTTAAGAAGTCTGCTCTTCGGTGTGGTAAGTGGATGGGCAAGGAGGAAGAAAAGAAAGTTGTGAGGCCATCACAGTAAGAAGATGAGAGATGGGAGGTGGCTGGAACCAGGATGGGGCAGTAGGGTGGAGAGAAGGCTATCTTGGGCAAGATTCCCCAAAGACAGAACTGCCAGGATTTGCTGGGATTGGATGGGAGGGGAGAGGACGATGGAAGAGCCAAGGTGATGCTGAAGAACCTGGTTTGGGAAACTGGGTTGAAGGTTGGGCCGTTTGCAGAGAAGGGGAAGACAAGTGAGGGTGGGAGGTGGAGGGTGTAGTTTTGGGGAGCAGTTCACATTCGGATTGAGCTGTCATGGGGTAGTTGGGTATGTGGTATGCCCTTGAGAGGGCAGAGCTGAGGGCATGAAATTAGAGTCATTAGTAATCACTCAGGATGAGAATACAGACAAAGATGCAAAGAGGCTGGGTGTGGTGGCTCACACCTGTAATCCCAGCACTGTAGAAGGCCTAGGCAGGTGGATCACTTGAGGTCAGGAGTTGGAGACCAGCCTGGCCAACATGGTGAAACCTTGTCTCCACTAAAAATACAAAAAATAGATGGGCATGGTGGCACGTGCCTGTAATCCCAGCTACTCGGGAGGCTGAGGCAGGAGAATCACTTGAACCTGGGAGACAGAGGTTGCAGTGAGCTGAGATTGTGCCACTGCACTCCAGCCTGGGCCACAGAGCGAGACTCTGTTGAAAGAGAGAAAGAGAGGGAGGGAGGGAAGGAGGAAGGAAGGAAGGAAGGGAGGGAGGGATACAAAGAGCCCAGACACAAGCCCCGAGGGAATTCAACATTTACATAGTGGGCAGCAAGTGGTGGAGAGGCAGGAGCAGCAGCCACTGGGGCAGGAGGTTAACTGGGAGATGTTGGTGTCATGGAAGCCAAGGAGAGCCACTCTTATGAGGGAGTGGTTGGCTATGTCAGATGCTCCCGCCAGGCCAAGTGAGTTAAAGACGGAAAAGTCTGTTGGATTGGGCAATGGAGTTTATTGGAAAGAATAGCAGCAGTGAACAGGTTGAGGGAGGCCAGGCCACTGGGCAGCGTCACATCGGCTGTGAAGAGATAGGCCTGTGTGGGGTGAGTAGTCCTAGCCCTTCCTCCCCTGCCAATCACATCTCCCGGTGCCCAGCCATGAAATTAACCTGGTGACATTTCCAGCCCTCCAGCCCTTCCATCCCCATGTACCCCAACACCTCCTTCCCTGTCATCTCACTTCCTCAGGGTTGTCACAAAGTATTTTTGGTACAAAGAAAAACTTCTGAATCTCCATTTCAGACACTGGGTTTCAAGCAGAAAATAATTATTCTGCTCCTACCTAGCTGGCTGCCTGTCGCTAGGTGCTGAAAGGTACAAGAAAATGAGAAAGACATTGCCCCAGCCATGAGGCAGATGAAACCAGTGGTAACTAGAGCTGGAGTCAGTACCCAGAGGGCAGAGAAAAGGCCTCCCAAAGAACATGGAGATCAGGTTACTTGCTAAAATGTACATAATTTACTTTTGTCCCTTTTCACCAACACTGCTAATCCCTTCACCTCTACACTTAATCCCAGAGCTCCAGGGCCCCTCTCACTGCCCTGCCCTGCTCTTCCAACTGGGCTTGTACTGCTTCCTCCCTCCCATGTCTCCTGGAAGAATCAGCTCCTTCCTGGACCTGCTGCCTGCTCCAACCCTCCTCCCTCCTTTCTCAGCCAGACCCAGTTCATTCCCCCAACACCAACAGGGGCTTCTGCCCCTTGCCCCAAAGTTGCTGTGACAAAAGTCCCCAAAGGCCAGGTCTAGGAGATGCCTGAGCCTCCACTGACCTCTGTGCATGTGGCCCACCAGTGGCCACTCTCTTTCTGGAAATGTTCCTTCATGGGCTTCTGGGACTCTCTTTCCCTGTCTTCCCCTCTTTCTCAGGCTCCCCTCCCCCTGTCCAATGCTGGTGCTGCCCAGGGCTCAGACTCCAGCCTTCCCTCTCACTGTGCACCTTTTCCCTCAACTTCATGCATCCTTGAAGCTTTGCCTCTCTCCTAGAGGCTGATTCCCAAAACTGATAGTCCACACTGGGCTCCTTTAAGCTCCAGTCCAACACACCCATCTTCCTCTCTACATCTTCTTCCAGATCCAGCCCTGATCTCTCGTCTGAGCTCCAGAACCTGATGGCCAACCATCTCAGACATCAACAACATATCCCAAATGAAATTCTTGGTTTGTTATTTTTTCACTTCATTATGCTCTTTAATTCAAATTCCTAATCTTTCTTCTGCAAATTTGTTCTTGACTGATGTCTCCTATTTTGGGAGACACTTAGCGGTCCCCTAGAATCTCTGCCTTCTTCTCTTGCAACATCTCATGGAAAGGTCAGTTGATCTTACCTCCTAACCAACTCCATCATCATGACCAATGGCTCAGTCCAAGCCGTCATCTCTTGCTTGGTCACTGCAGGTACTTGCTAACTTTCTTCCCAATAATCCAACCCCCACAGAGCAGCCAGAGTAGCCTTTTTTTGTTTTGTTTTGTTTTGTTTTGTTTTGTTTTTGAGACGGAGTCTTGCTCTGTCGCCCAGGCTGGCATGCAGTACTGCGATCTTGGCTCACTGAAACTTCTGCCTCCCAGGTTCAAGCGATTCTCCTGCCTCAGCCTCCTGAGTAGCTGGAATTACGGGCGTGTGCCACCACACCCAGCTAATTTTTGTATTTTTAGTAGAGATGGGGTTTGACCGTGTTGGTCAGACTGGTCTCGAACTCCTGACCTCAGGTGATCCGGCCGCCTCAGCCTCCCAAAGTGCTGGGATTACAGGCATGAGCCACCGCACCCGACCCATAAGCAAATTCTTCTAGTCCTCCAGTGCACCAAGCTCATTCCTCTCTTAGAGCTTTGGCTCCCATTGCTCCTCATACCTGGAAACCACTTTCCCACCACCCTCTTCTCAGACTTTTGGGCTCAGCTTAAATGTTTCCCAAGAGAGACCCTCCCCAACCACCCATCTAAAGTGGGGCTCCTACCCCATGCTCTCCCTCACATTCTGTTTGCTTCCTCCACAGCCTTTGCAATCACTTCTTTGGCAACTGCCTTTTCCTCTGTTTTAGAGGACTCTCCCCTAATAGACTGTAAGCTCCTTGAAGGCTGTTTCTTCAGAGACAATTTCTACCCTGGCTGCTCTTTTATCCCTGGCACCTAGCACACATTTGTTGAGTGAAGAATAAGGCTGTATTGACATTCTCTATCTCACGTGGTCTTGACAACCCCATTTCACAGAAAAGGAAGCTGAGATGTCCCAAGACAAAGTAGCGTGGGGAGGGCCCAACACAGTGCATGACTGGCAGGGATGTGGCTCAAAGCCATATCTCCTGACCGTGCCTCCAAGATTTCAGGATTGAGTGCACCACTGGCCTGCCCCTATGGAGCACAACAATACCATGTGATCTCCAGGGAGAGGAGGTAGCTAGAAAAACATGTATTGTGTAAAAAAGTCATGCTATGGGAAATTCAAGGTTAGATTACCAAAAGGGAAATTGGGTGTGGGAGTTAGATGCTTGGGGAAGTGATCTGATATGAAACAGAGATTTCAAGGGTTCTAACCCTAACAGACATTGCAGAATAAAACAAAACAAAATAACCATTATTTTGTAACAGAAAGAAAGACATCTCAATGAAACAGAATAGAAAGCCCAGATGCAGATCCCTAGAATGTCTAATTCTATGACTTATGAGAGCAGAGGCACTGCAAATGAATGGGGGCAGGCAGGGGGAATGAAGTGATTTGTCACTTAGTGAGGCTGGAAAATTATTTTATCTATTTCAGAAACGAAAAGCAATTATTTATCTCTCTTTATACCAACCACCAACATCAATGTCCTGTGATTTATTTAAATTTTTTTCAATTTTTTTTTTGTCTTCTTTACTTTTTAATTGATGTCATCTTTTCAGTAAGTGTCAGGTGATTTTTTTTTTTTTTTTTTTTTTAGACAGAGCTTCACTCTTGTTGCCCAGGCTGGAGTGCAATGGCATGATCTTGGCTCACTGTAACCCCTGCCTCCTGGGTTCAAGTGGTTCTCCTGCCTCAGCCTCCCAAGTAGCTGGGATTACAAGCACCCGCCACCATACCCGGCTAATTTTTTTGTATTTTTAGTAGAGACAGGGTTTCGCCATGTTGGCCCGGCTGGTCTTGAACTCCTGACTTCAGGTGATCCGCCTACCTCAGCCTCCCAAAGTGCTGGGATTATGGGCATGAGCCACCATGTCCGGCCATGTCAGATGATTTAAATGCAAAAAAAAAAAAAAAAAAAAGAAAGCATAGTAATAACTAGAAAAAACTGGAAATGATTCATTATCCAAACTATGGTCGAGGAAGGCCATTGTAGCATTTACAGCAATACAGAGAACTGTGCTGGAAAATATAAATATAATTGACTATAGGAAATGTAAAGCTTCTGTGTGTTGGAAATTCTCATAAATAAAACATTCACAGAGGCAGTAAGAATTTTCATAATGAAACATTGGGGTGATAAAAGGCTGTAAGAGCCCATTTATGAAAGATGAAGTTCAAAAGTCAAATTCAGTTGAAAATGTTGAACTTACTCATAATAAAATAAATGTAAATTTGAATGCAGGGATACCACTTTTGGCCCATCGAATGAGTACTTTACAAAGCAAGAGCTCACAGAGCTCATTCAGCCCCGGTGGCATGGGCCCTCTCTTGCACAGCTGGCAGGACTGTGAAGTGGCAAAATCTTTCTACAAGGCAATTTGTTTAAGATGTGTGAAGAGCCTCAAAAAGGTTCGTACTGTTTGACTCAGTAATTCCATTTGCAGGAAGCTCATCCCAAGAAGTGCTCTAAAGCAATGCCCAAAGATTTCTGCAGAAAGATGTGCACTGTGGCTTTAGGTGTCATAGCAAAAAAGAAAAAAGGAAGTTATCAAAATCTTCAGCTCCAGGAGAACAGTTAACCAAATTATGTTCCATTCATTAACTGGATTATTAGGCAGCCATTAAACATAATAATTACAAAGGAAGTTGACTAATATGGGGAGATGTTTAGCATATAATCAATGGAAAAGGATGGTGCAAAATTACATACAATGAAAGCATCTATTGTAAATAAATGCATTAAAAAGGCTAAGAAGAGATGTGCTTTTCCGGCGCATTTTTACAGAACTTGACAATGGATGTTGGGATTCTTGTCAAGATGTTTTAGTTCTTCATGACTTACTTCTCTCCAAATTTTCTGCCATATTTGGATATCGCTGTTTTTATGATAATATATTTCATTTTTCCCTTATTTATTTTGCTTAGACTGTTAGAGAAATATGATAATATATTTCAAAAGTGCAGAAGAGAACAAGAATAACATAATGAATACAATATACTCACCATCTAACCAATATAATGAATACAATATACTCATCCATCCATGTATTTCTTTTTACAATAGAAAAAGAAGAAAAAAATAAGAGCTAGGTCTTAAGGAAACGGTACCTGCATCAGGCAATTTTTGAAGGGGTGAGGGCTTGGAGGGGTTGGGCAGGAAAGGAAAGAAAATGGTTCTGCATGAGGAGGCTGCCTGGGTGGGCCTTCTTCAAAAAACCTCAGAGCTAAAGAACAGGGAGGGAGCTTCAGGCTCCTGGTGACCAATGTCCATCATTTGAAATGCCCTTTCTAGTATATGGCAAATTCCCTCTGGACACAGGTCAAATCCTGAGCTCCTCAGTTCTGTAGGTCAGTGTGTCTATCCCTGTGCCATTGCCACACTGTTTAATCCTTTTGTTGCTTTGTCGTATGCTACCTAGTAGGGCAAATCCAGTCCTTTTTCCCCTACTGTGTTCCACCACTTGTTTTTCTTTCTCAAAATTATCTTGGCTATTCTTGCCCATCTCCTGTACCATATGACTTTTAGAATCAGCTTATTAAGTTCCATTAAAACATCCTAGTGGGATTTTGATGGGAAGACATTGAATTTCTAAATTAATTTTGAGAGAATTGACATCTTTACAATATCAAATGTTCAGGACCCTAACATTTTAAGGGTGGTTGAGTCAGAGGTTCTGATTAATGAGACTGGGAAGGAAAAGTCGTCATAGAGATGGGTTAAAAACAAGGAGAGGGTGTTGTCATGGAAACCAAGAGAGCCCAGCATTTCGAGAAGGCGAGAGTGATCAACAATATCAAACCCTGCAGAGAATTCCAATAAGACAGGGTTGGAAAAACACCCACTCAAGTTGGTAATTAGGAGGTTATCGGAGCCTTCAGCAAGAGCAGTTTCAGGGGTGTGATGGAGCAGAACCCCGACTGCAGTGCCTGAGGATGATAGATAGTCAGTGAAGACAGCCCTTTTACAGAAGTTTAGATAATTAAGTTTTGATAATTAGAAAAGTTTAGAGAAAGATTGTCTGGGAGCTCGAAAGTGAGATGTGGAGTCAAGAGAAAGTTTTCAACTCAATTCCACACATATTTTTTGAGCACCTCTTGTGTGCTGGCTAGTTGTTGATGAGACCATGTGAAAAAGACAGACACACATCCCTGCCCATGTGGAGCTTATTGTCTAAAAGGGGCTCCTGTTGCTTCCCCTAAAAGGGGAAACAGATGTGAATTAATTACATGAATAAAAGGATAATTAGCAACACTGATACTCATGAAGGACAAGTGTGTGGTGCTGAAAACAGTGAGGAGACCCCCAGAAGGGATCTGAAAGATGAGTGGGTATCAACCAGGCTAGGAGGAATCAGAAAGAGCATTCCAGGCAGAGGAAACAGCCCAGACAAAGGCCCAGCAGTGGGAGGGGCAGAGTGTGTTCTGGGAGGGGAAGAAAGCCAGTAAGGCTGGAACACAGTGGATGAGGGGAAGCAGGGTAAAAAATCTGAATGGAAGAGCCAGCCAGCTGGAAAGGTTTGGGGCTTTATTCCAAGAATGCTGGGGAGTCTTTGGAGACATTTAAGCATGGCAATGACTTGTTCCAATTTGCATGTTGAAAGTATCACTCTGGGCTGGGCACCGTGGCTCATGCCTGTAATCCCAGCACTTTGGGACACTGAGGTGGGTGGATCACCTGAGGTCAGGAGTTCGAGACCAGCCTCGCCAACAAGGCAAAACCCCATCTCTACTAAAAAAAATACCAAAAAAAAAAAAATTAGCTGGGCGTGGTGGCACATGCCTGTTAACCCCAGCTACTCAGGAGGCTGAGGCAGGAGAATCACTTGAACCTGGGAGATGGAGAACGCAGTGAGCTGAGACCATGCCATTGCTCTCCAGCCTGGATGACAGAGTGAGACTCTGTCAGAAAGAGGAAGGAAAGAAGGAAAGAAGGAAAGAGGGAGGGAGGGAGGGAAGGAAGGAAGGAAGGAAGGAAGGAAAGAAGGAAGGAAGGAAGGAAGGAAGGAAGGAAGGAAGGAAGGAAGGAAGGAAGGAAGGAAAATGAAAGAATGAAAGGAAGGAAGGAAAACGAAAGAATGAAAGGAAGGAATGAAGGAAAGAAGGAAGGAACGAAGGAAGGAAGGAGGGAAGGAAGGAAAGAAGGAATCACTCTGGCTTCTAGCGAGGAAGCGATGGCAGGAGTGCAGGAGGGGGTGGAGCTGAAGAGAACTGGAAGGGCCCAGGAGCCACTGGGAGATGAAGTCTCCAGGCTTGAGGCTGGACTGTGGAGGTAGGTGGTGAGAGCCAGTGAGCTGTGGAGGAAGATGCCAGGCGTCTCCTGGGTCTACTGGCTGGTGGCATCTCTCCATGAGATGTGGGACTCTGGTGAAGCACCATATTTGGATGAGAAGAGTTGTCTGTTGAGTCAGTTGAGCATGAGGTGCCTTTGGGACTTGTGGCTTCTGGAGTCCATAGGAGAACTTGGGCTGGAATTGGACATTGCAGAGGCTTTGGGTCCAAGCCGGGGTGGAGGCGGTGTTGAAGCAGCTCAGAGATGGGTGAGATTAAGGAACAGAGTGCAGAGGAATGAGCAGATGACAGAGGCTGAGCCCAGGCGAGCACTCGGGTTCAGGTGGCTGGGTAAGGGAAGAGGACACCAAGAAGGAAGGACCAGAGAGGAAAGCAGCAGGGGGGACTCCCTGGGGCCCATGGAAGAGAGTTTCCAAAAGGACACAGTGGCAGTGGCAGGGAGCTCAGGGGAGGTAAAAGTTGATTGGTGACCCTGGACTTGGCCTTCAGGGCCGTTTGTCAGTTTTTCGGGGATGCGGAGGGGTGGGTCAGGAGCAAGGTTGATACAGGGTCTATCTGTCAAGAGAGGAGAGTCAACAAAGGGGGGCAGAATTTTTTGCTTCATTTTGGTTTTAATAAAAGGGCAACATTTGCATATTAATTTTCCCAAAGGAAGGTACCTGTGGGATATGAGTTACTGTGGAGCAGAGGCAATTAGCTAAATGAGGCCTCCAAGGAAATGAGGCCACATGGACGAGAGGGATCCACCCTGGCGGTAACACACATCCAACCTCCTGGGACAGCGCTCGATTGGCCTTTTACTGAGTAATCTGCGTCCCACTTTCTGTCTGGGAACTTGTATATGACCTTTGTGTTTTAACTGTGTCTCCCTTTGGCAGGAATTTCATCCCACTCCATGGCCAGGACCCTGTCTCATTCGTTTTGGAATCCTCCCCAGTCTGGAGCAGCCAACTGGGGCTGTTGAACAAATATTTTCTGATTTGAAATAAAATGTCTGAAATGGGAGGTCAAAAATTTTTAGCCAAAAAGAGTTTGTGATTATCGAAACAAACAAATTCCGTGTGTTTGCTTAATTTTGCACGGCAGAGTGAAGGAGGGGCCAGGAGAGTTGGAGGAGAAGGTTGTGTGGTTGGCATCCTTGTCATGCAGGGATGATGGGGTATGGGACAGGAGGTCTGCTCAGGAGGGAGAACCAGGATCACCCACCCCAGCGTGGGCACAGGACTTCACAGTTTACACAGTTGAGTCAGAGCTAAGTTTTATATGATCCTCACAAACCCCACGAGGCTGACAGGGATTCCACGGAGAAGCAAAGCAGGAAAATGAGACTCTGCACAGGGCACTAGCTGTGGAAGGCCTCAGGGCACGCTAGTGGCAGGTAGCGGACTCAACCTCTGTGCCTCTTGCCTCTGACTCCAGCGTCCCAGCCCCTCTACATCCCAGAGTGAGCTCCAACTAGGTTCATGTCCAGAACTTGACTTCGGGGGGAATCTAGTCCACAATCAGAAGTCAAAGTTATGAAAGATGAAAGCGGAGTTTGCAGGTCATGAGGAGAAGGCATTCACCAGAAGGCTGTCTGGAGTGGGAGGTTTGACCAGCCTTCCCAGCTAGCAAAATATAACCCAAAACTACATCAATGAGATGACAGTGGCAGGGTGCAGGTCCAAGCTCCAGGACTCAGGGAAAGGCGACTTGTGTGTGATGGGCGTGAATGCCACAGTGTCAACAGGACACATAGACTGCTCTGCTCTGCCTGGCAGGATCTTGCCTCTTCTGGTCCCTCCTCACTTCCTGGTAACCACAGGCTCTGTCTCCCCGAATTTGGCAAACCCTAGCTTCCCTGGGTCGGCAAGCTCACTCTTGGCCCCAACCAAGCCCAGACACCCTCCAGTGCCAGCTCGGCTCCACAAGGCTGCTCAGGGAATTCTGCTGCCTTTGCTCCCCTTGATGTAACCACCAGGTTAGACTTAAGGCTTCTGCTCTGGAATCCCCCAGACTTGTCTGGGACCCCATCATATTCCCCCTTGGGATTCAGTTCAGGGACTGGAAGATGAGCCTTTTCTGGGGGATCCAGCCAGTACTAATATTCTGCTTGAATTTCCTTGGATTTCTCTCCTTCTGCCCACAGGTTGAACTCTTACCCCCTTCAAGGGGCTCAGGCTCCACCATCATCGTGAACTGTCTTTTCCATCTATTGTCTATGCATAAGCTCTTTGCCTCTTCCTTTAGCTTTAACTCCAAATCCTCCAAGCTTTGTAGAATCTAGAATGCTTCCTTTCTCAAGTCCCAGCTCTTGTCCTGAAAAGCTATGGCTTTCATTCCTGTAGACTCCCCTGTGGACAATAGTCCACACAATTGTGGTTTGTGCTACAGATTCACAAAAGCCCACAGAGGAGCTCAAAGGCCAAGCCAGGGACTCTATGTAATGTCAGCACCCCAAAAACCATGCACCCAGGAAGCTTGGACAGTGGGGCGAAGAATGAGGGTGGAGGATATTAAACCCATACACAGTATAACAGAAAAATATTACCATACTCCACAGAGCTAAGAAGGGACACCATGAAGCAGTGAAGAAAGAAGGGCTTAGTTAATAAATGGTGTTGGAACGATCGCTAAGCTATTTGGAAAAGCAAATCCACTCATTCTTCACTTCATGTCATACATCAGCATCAAGTTCAGATGGATTAAAGATTTAAATTAAAAATCACACTTGAATAAAGTAGAAGTGAATATTCACCCCAAACTCTCAGTGAGCCTTCTAAGCTTAAAAGCAAGGGAAGCAATCACAAAGAAAATAAGAAGAAAATAGATTAAAAATTTTAGATTTAACTGTGTGGAAATTGAAAACAACTTCCGAGGATGTCACGCAGAGGGTTAATATCCTTGGTGTTTAAGAATCCATACAAATTGAGTTTTAAAAATTCAAATCACTGCTGGGTAAGTGTGAAGGGATGAACACTCAATTAACAGAAGATTAATTTTTTATGGCTCATAGGTTGAACCCATTTTCCAATATCTAATTATTTTTTAAAAAGTAAATTAAAACAACAGTGAGATAACACATTTTGCCCATCACAGAGTGAAGAAAAAAATTTTAATGAGAATACCCCATGCTGGCTAGGGTGTGATGAAACAGACAATACTGCTGATGGGAATGTAAATTACCACAGCCTTTGACCCAGTAATTACACTTATGGTGCTCCATCAGAAGGAAATAATCTCAAATCGACAAAGATTTATGTACAAAGAGATGTAGTATGCCCTTGTTTCTAATAAAAAATGGAAGCAACCCAAAAAACCAACTATAGAGGAAATGTTAAGCAAATCATTTTATATCCACTCAAATGGACAATTATTCATCCACTAATTGTATTTTTACAAAAAGCTCGAAAATTCTTATAATATAAAAAGTGGAGCAGCAACTGAGAAGCCAGGGTGCAAATTATATGCAGGATATAATCTCAGCTGTGGAAAACAGAAAAGAACATCCAAATAAAGACTGGGAGGAAGTGCACTGGGACCCTGAACCTAAGGGCACAGGGCTCAGGATGGGTCAGCTTTGATGGGGGAAAGAGAAATAAATGGAAGATGCTCAAGTGGGGTCCTGGGTGTAGTCTCACATAAAAAACAACTTCATATCTGGAGGAGAGGGGGAATGGAGTCTTGCTTCAGCCTGGCTGTCTGATCCAGCCTGCCCTAAAGCTCCAAGAAAGAATTGCCCTGGGCATTGAGCTCAAGGAATTGCCATTCAGTGTGTACATCCAGAGCACAGGGCACCATGAGGGGCCAGAAAGGAAAAGGGTTGGGAATCAGGCCAGGAAGTTCATGCAGGCCCTTTGAGCCATGCTAGGGAGTTTAGGACTTTTATCCCAAGAGCAATGAGGAGCCATTGAAGGTCTTTAAGCTTCACCTTTCAAATAGATTACAATATTAGCAGGGTCTCCCTTCTTTGCAATACCAAAAACCCAACTCTAACTCAGGCATAAAAATATAAGTAAAAAATAAAAGGGTAAAACCAAAATGATAAAACTTCTAGGATAAAACATATAAGAGAACAACCTTCATAACCTTGGGTCAGGCAAAAATTTCTTAGCCACAACACCATAAAAGAACGAAATGATAAAAGCATGATTCATGAAGCAATAAATTGATCAACTGGACTCCATCAAATTTTTTTTAAGTATGCTCTTTTAATTGCTGAGAGAATGAAGGGACGAACAACAAACTGGGAGAAAACATTTGCAAATCATATATCTGATAAAGAACTTGTATCCAGAATATTTATAAAGGAGTCTTAAAACTCAATGATTAAAAAAAAAAACAACCCAATAAGAAATGAGCAAAAGATTTGAACAAACACTTCCCCAAAGAAGATAAACAGATGGCAAATTAACATACAAAAAGATGCTCAACATCTTGGACTTAATCTTGTAGGCAATAGGATGCCGTGGAAGGGTTTTGAGCAGGTAAGAGCCACAGGCAGATATTTGTCTTATGACGATCTCACTGGGACTTGGAGAAGCAAGTGGATTAGGGAGGGGTAATGGCCACAATTCAAAGTTGACTTTGTGGGGCCTGCGGACACCTGGGGGAGATGGCCAGCGGGAAGTCATGGCCAGTAGGAAGTCATGGCCAGCGGGAAGTCAGGTCCAGCAGTCTGGCTTTCAGGAGGACATCTCAACCAGAGCTGCAGAGTTGGGGTGGCCATGTCTTGGGGAGACTGAGAGGTAGGGAGAGTCCTGTTGGAATCTAAGGACCTCCAACCCATCATTTCAGGGGCTGGCAGAGCCTGGGGCACCTACAAAAGCAACGGAGAGAAAGAAATGTCAGTGCCACGTGGCCACGTGAGCAGAGCTGGAGAGCAGGTTGTCATGGAAACTGGGCTAGTGAAGCGTTTCTAGGAGAGCAAGATCAGCAGGACCAAATGTAGCAGAAAATCCAAACCGATGAAGGCTGAAAATTTCTTTTGATTTGGCAATTAGTGGAACACTGATGAGCTTAACAAGAGCAATTTCAGGGGACCATGGGCCAGGGAAAGGGTGGAGATGGAGAGAGATTTAGGAAATAAAATGGGCCAGAGTTGGGGATGGGGTGCACCCTGGGGGAAGAGAAGCAGAGGAGGAGGAGGAGGAAGAGGAGGGCAGTGTCAAGCAAGACCCCTGGGTTTCTGGCATTCAGAATGGGTTGAATGGCAGCGGGAAGGGAAGCTGCAAGAGGATAAGGTTTGCAAGAGGAAAATCAGGAGTTCCATTTGGGACATTTTTATCCAACAAATGCATTTTAGTATTTACGATTTGCCAGACACTGTTCTAGGAGTGTTACTTAATGTTAATTCATTCATACTTACAACTATACCATAAGGTAGATACTACCTCATCTATCATCGTTTACACACAAGGAAACAGAGACACACAGAGGTTGAGAAACTTGCCCACAACAAGGAGGTGGCAGAGTTCAGACTTGAAGCCAGCCCATCCAGATGTGTTGATGTGAGGTCCCTGAAGTAAACAAATGGGGTGTCAAGGAGGCAGGTGGATCCGGGATCTGGGGCTCGGCAGGGATGGAGGGGTAAGAGTGGATCCAAGCAGGGAAGGACCTGATTTGGTGTGGAGTGTACACTGGAGGTCACTGGGTCCAGGAGGGTGTCGAAGCATCAGGGGTGGGTGATACTGTGGGAGAGAGTCCAGGCAGAGGCCCAGACCATGCCAGCATTTGGGGGCCCCCCAGGGAGATTGAAAAGGGAGGGCCAGAGGACAGACATGAGGAGGAGACACACAGGAACCCAAGGAGGAGGGTTTCCAAAAGGTGAACTGGCTGGCCATGGGCTGTGTCCAGAGAGGGCAGAGGAGGTGACTTGGCCCTGGGGAGGCTTTGGGGGGATCCTTGTCGGAGCAGCCTTGGGTGAAGGCAGAGGAGCCGTAAAAAGGGAGGCAGTGAAGGCTCTAGCTACAAGGGAGAGAGGGACAAGGGGGAGAGACAGGGGAGCAGGGTCCCGAAAGGTATTATTTTTAAGTGGAAACAATTTTTTAATTTTTAAATGTTTTTCATTAAATCAGAAAGTACATTTATATGGTTCAAAATTCAAAATCCACAAAAGGCCACCCAGAGAAAAGTCTCCCTCCTGCCCGTCTCCTCCAGCCTCTCAGGCCCCCTTTGTAAAGGCAACTGGCACATCCTTCCAGAGACAGAAAAATGAAAATCGCAATGTGGAATTCTGGAAATAGAAAAGCAGTTCAGAATCCCAAGATTCTTAAGAAGAGGACGGTGTTCAGAGTGAGAGACGAAACAGAGACACAATCAAGCTGGGGGCAGCAGGAAATTAGCTTTGGACAAGAACATGTGTTTCGGTGAATAGAACAAAATTGAATCATTTTCTTTCTGCCAAGTAACGTGAGCTCGGCATTCTTCTGGGGCCCTCTCGCCTGTCCCTGGGTCCTGGTGGCAGCTGGCATCACAGGGACTTTGTCCTGCCCCACAGCTGGAGACACCGGCCCTCGCCTTCACCCTCAGCACCTGGCGACTGGCATTCATCCTGGCGGCTGCTGAATTCACATTTTCTGACATGAAATGCAAATGTCTGAAATGCAGTTCAATCTTTAAAAAAAAAATGATGAAAACCAATTGGGGTGTCAAGGAAGACATAGTGAGCAGAGGCTGGGTTTGGGGGAGGGTAGGTGTGGGGTAGGGGAGAAGAGGCTGTTGACAGGGAGGGCTCCTGACTCCTGGAGTTCCTGTGGGATCAGGAAATAAAGGCTGCATGCAGTAGGACTAGGATTCTCAGGGCAAGTTTGCCCTCCCTTGCCTCAAAAGCCCCCAACTCTGGAGGCAGGTGCTGGACTAACAGGAAGCCCATGGGGTTATGGGATGGGCTCAGGGCAAGGATCACTTTCAGGGTAAAGGCCTCAGGGGACAGAGTGACCCCTGCCTCACCCCATGACTCCAGGCAGATGGCCACCCCTCTCTGTGCCTCAGTCTCTGTGGCCGTAGAAATAGTGGGCAGGTGGTTCGGGGAGAGCTCGCACAGAGCCACCACTCCCTTCTTCCAGCAATTTGGGCCCTGACCACAGTGGACTCTCGGGATCCTTAGGCCACCTTCCCTGTCTATAGCGGATGCCCCGGAGGCCACTCAGAGCCCTGTTGTCTAGTACACATCACAGTCATGGAACCAGAGCAAGGGGGCTCAAGGGGTCAGTGGGCACCCCCAAGACAGTCTCTGGCAGTTTGAAGGGGTGGGAATGGGCCCTGGGGTCTGCCTGAGCCTTCAGAGGTACATCCTCGGGGAGCCAGGTAAAGTTCTCAAGTGGGCCTTAGAACAGCATCACCGTGCAACAAGAGGGGCTGGCCAGGCTACTCCCACCAGCACCATCCCTGCCACCTTCACAGCACCTGGACCCTCAACTCTTGCTGCTTTGGGGAGTGGCCTTCATGAGTCTTGTGAAGGGTTTTGACCCCTGAGAAGGGGAAAACTGCCGTCAGACACTCACACTCTTTATATAAACTTAATTTTTTTTTTTTTTTTTTTTTTTTTTTTTTTTTAGAGATAGGGTCTCACTCTGTTGCCCAGGCTGGAGTGCATTGCTGCGATCATAGCTCACTGTAGCCTCGAGCTCCTGGACTCAAGTGATCCTTCCTCCTCAGCCTCCCAAGTAGCTGGGACTAAGGTGTGCCACCATGCCAGGCTAATGCTAATTTTTAAAAATTTTTGTAGAAACAGGATCTTGCTATGTTGCCCAGGCTCGTTTCAAACTTCTGAGCTCAAGTGATCCTCCCGCCTCAGCCTCCAAAGCACTGGGATTACAGGCATGAGCCACCATGCCCAGCCTGAACTTCGATATTATAATTGAAAAATTAATACATTTATGGATGTAGTGTCCCCCTCCCTCCCCAGAGGCCACCACAGCCACCTGGATGTCATGAATCCTTGAGGGCTTCAAGGAGCTAGCATTAGGGTGGAGGAGAAGCATTGGAAGTGGGGGATTGAAGGTGCACAGGATGAGCTGGCCCATCAGATGTGGGGTACAGGAGGGAGAACAATGGGACGCTTGTGCCCAGGTTCCCACCCAGGAGACCTGGTGGGTGTTTGTAGTATCCCTTGCAGGAGGCGAACTGAGAGTCCTCCATGGAACATGACAGGTTTGGTTTAGGACATCTTGGGCTGGGGGACACCCAAGGGATGTGAGCATCAGAAGTCGCCTGGTGCAGCAGATGCCTCGCTCAGCTGCAGCTCCAGCTCACCGGGTACAAACAGGCCTTTGTCCTTCCCCGTCTCTCTAGACGCTTCCCTCCACATTCCCCAGTAACTACTCCATACATTCTCCTGCTTTCCACAAAACACTGACTTCCCTCCCTGCCCTGCCTCAGGGACTGGGGCTGTTTTGTTCCCCAGCATAGATTCCCACTAAATATTTGCTGATTGGCTAAAAGCATCCAAATGGTGATCTCACCTGAGAGCCCCTGTGCCAGACACGGGAGACACAGCAGAAGATGCCAGAAGCCCTGGACCACACAAAGCTCTTAAACTAGCAGAGGAGACAGACAAAAAAAACCAGGTGTGCAAATGACTACATACTCTGTCTTCAGGTGGTCATGCGTGTGAGGGCGAACATGCAGGATGAGGGCGACAGGCTGGAGGATGACCTGAGCCTGCGCTTGCAATGGGTGAGGGAAGGGGCCAAGCCATTTAGACGGGATATTCAGGGAAGGCCTCTTGGAAAAGGTAGCTTTCTGTCCGAGATCTCAATGACACGAGGAGTAAGTCATGTGCTGATTCGGGGAGGGAGGCATCCCTGTCAGAGGTACTGTCTTAATTTGCTAAGGCTATGAGAATAAGTGCTTCAAACTGGCGGCTTCAACATCAGAAAGGTATTGTCTCTGTCCTGGAGGCAAGAAGTCCAAGATCAAGGTGTCGGTAGGGCTGATTCCTTCTGGGGGCTGTGAGGGAGAATCTGTCCCAGGCCTTCTCCTAGCTTCTGGAGGTTGGCTGGCAACCTTCGGCCTTCCCAGTCTTGTAGACCAGCACGTCCATTTTCACCTTCACATGGCGTTCTCCCTGTGTGCGTCTGTGTCCAAATCTCTCCTTCTTATAAAGACACCAGTCATAATGGATTAGGGGCTCACCCTACTCCAGTGTGACCTCATCTGTATTAGGTTGTTCTTGCACTGCTGTAAAGAAATACCTAAGACTGAGTAATTTATAAAGAAAAGAGGTTTAATTGGCTCACAGTTGTACAGGCTATGCAGGAAACATAGCAGCTTCTGCTTTGGCGAGGCCTCAGGAAACTTACAATCATGGCAGAAGGTGTGAAGGGGAAGCAGGCTTGTCTTATATGGCCAGAGCAGGATCAAAAGGGAGTAGGATGGCGCTACCCACTTTTAAACAGCCAGATCTCATGAGAACTTATGAGAACAGCACCGAGGGGGATGGCGCTAAACCGTTCATGAGGAACCGCCCCATGTCCCCCATGCCCCGTGACCCAATCACCTCCCATCAGGCCTCACCCTCAACACCGGGGATTACACTTCAACATAAGATTAGGTGGGGACACAGATCCAAACCATATCATCATCTTAATGAATTACATCTACACAACCCTATTTCTTTTTTTTTTTTTTTCTTTTTTGAGATTTAGTCTTGCTCTGTCACCCAGGCTGGAGTGCAGTGGTGTGATCTTGGCCCGCTGCAACCTCTGCCTCCCGGGTTCAAGCGATTCTCCTGCCTCGGCCTCCAGAGTAGCTGGGATTACAGGCATGTCTCACCATGCCTGGCTAATTTTTGTATTTTTAGTAGAGACGAGGTTTCACCATGTTAGCCAGGCTGGTCTTGAACTCCTGACCTCAGGTGATCCACCCGCTTTGACCTCTTAAAGCGCTGGGATTACAGGCGTGAGCCACCGCGCCCAGCCTGCACAACCCTATTTCCAAATAAGGTCACAATCTGGAGTATAGGAGGTTAGGACTTGAACACATGAATTGTGGGGGGTGCAGTTCAGCCCATTAACAGAGATCCTGTAAAGCAGGGCCCTGTAAATGGGCTGAATTGCATGTCCCCATAATGTCCATGTCCTGGTGTGTTCCAGGACGGGCAACAAGGCTAGTGTGGCTGCACCAGCGAGCAAGGGGAAGGGAGCAAGAGGGTGGAGTGGGAAACAGAGGCACTTCACACAGGGCCTTGTTGGAGTTTATTCCAACTGCAGTGGGGGGCGTTGTGGGTCTGAGAACTGACTTCCATTTCTTAAAGATCCTCCGGCCACCATGTGGAGAGTAACCGAGTAAGTCTGCAGGTGGAGTCCTCTGCACCAAAGGGGCTGAGCAGGCCCAGCAAGAACACAATGGGAGA
Organism: Homo sapiens; assembly: GCF_000001405.40. Classification (NCBI taxonomy): domain Eukaryota; kingdom Metazoa; phylum Chordata; class Mammalia; order Primates; family Hominidae; genus Homo; species Homo sapiens. Next base: position 37,469,958 of record NC_000020.11, on the reverse strand, counting down.
CATGACAATGTCAGGATAGGTTCCAGACATGAGCCAGCTGAGCAGGAGGGCCAACGGGATTTCCGGAGCCACCTGCTCTGGGGACTGAGGCGGAGATGCATAGAGGGCCTTGCCATCTGCTTACACCCCAAGTAGGGTGGGGGCTGAGAAGTGCCATCCATGGTTGCTAGCCAGGGTGCTTTAGTGGCCTGGGCTACAGCTCAGAGACCAACGTCTAACCTAGAACGCCAGGCTGGGAAGGAGGACACAGTCCAGGAACCTGAGGGAATGCCAAGGAGAAGAGGCCTGGGGCTGAGTCCTGGACCTCGCCAGACATAGGCACTGGATGCAGAAAGACAAGCCCGCTAAGGATGTTGATGAAGGCCCACAAGGGGGTCCTAGGGGAGCAGGAGAAGGTACCAAGGAGACTGATGAAGGTCCTCAAGGGGGTCCCAGGAGAACAGGAGAAGGTGCTCTGGGAAGCAAGGGAGGAGGGCGTTTCCAGCAGGTGGACAGGGTCACCCATGGGCTGTGAGCAGAGAGTTTGGATGGGGGATGAGCAAGCCATGGAGCCCCTGGGCTTGGCCGATGGGAAGCTTTGGAGGACCTTCATGGGAGCAGCTGGTGAGGAGAGGGGAGGGGCACAACTGGTTGGGAAACCACTCAAGAAAGAAAAAGGAAGGAAGGAGAGAGGCAGGAAGGAAGGAGAGAGGCAGGCAGGAAGGAGAGAGGCAGGAAGGCAGGGTCCAGCGAGAACTAGTTTTGATCAAGCATGAGATGTGTGAGGGTTAGTGAGTGGAAGGGGCCAGGACATTGAACAATTAAGGATGCAGCAGGGAGCAGATGGGTCATCGCAGAGGGATTATGGTCGGACAGTCACATGTGTCAGGTTGAACAGGACCTAATTAAACCGCTGCCTCTCATGGGCAACCTGATTCTTGTGTCCTTCTAGGGCTTAGAACTCCCCCTCCATGGGTGTTAGCAGCCCCTGCAGGCCCCAGTTTCATCTCACCTCCTGGCTGGGATCTTGTATTCCTCATCTTTTCTCATCCTTGGCTCTTGCAATGATCAGTGAGGCTGACAAGTGCATAATATACTTTGTTTTGTATTTTGTATTATTATTGTTATTTTCAGAGACAAGATCTTGCTCTGTCACTCAGGCTGGAGTGCAGCAGTGCAATCATAGCTCATTGCAGCCTCAAACTCCTGGGCTCAAGCAATCCTTCTGCCTCAGCTTCTCAAGTAGCTGGGAATACAGGTGTGCCCCCTTCGCCCTGTTAATTAAAACAAATTTTTTTTAGAGATTGGGGGGGTCTTGTTATGTTGCTCAGACTAGTCTCAAACTCCTGGCCGCAAACAATTCTCCCACCTCAACATCTCATTATTTTGTATTAACACACCTAGAACCCACACAATACAGTGCACAAATCTTAAGTGTGTGGCCCAGTGAATTTTTAATTACACACACACCCATGTAATCACCACCCAAATATAAAATAATTCCATCCCCTAGAAGCTTCCCTTGTACCCCTTGTCCGTTAGTACCCAACCCCACAGAAGTAATTACTATTCTGACTTCTATCACCCAAGAGTGGTTTTGCTTCTTCTTAAACTTCAGATGAATGGAATCAGTGTGTCTCCTCATGTCTGTCTCCTTTCATGAAACCTGTCTATGAGATTCACGCAGGTTGCTGTATGTAAATGTAGTTTATTCTTTCTCATTGCTATGTAGTATTCCTTCTTATGAATATACCACCAAGGGATCTATTTGTGCATGTGTTAGCACTCCAAGAGGAAGGGCTGGGGACACTGGGCGATTAAGGATACAGCAGTGAGCAGATGGGGTATAGTAGAGGGATTACTGGGCAGTCACAGGCATTAGGTTGAACAGGACCTTATTAAACCAGCTACCTCTCATGGGTAACCTAATTCCTGTGTCCTTCTAGGGCCTATCATTGATGACATTTGGGTTGTTTCTAGTTTTTCACTATGACAGATAAAGCTGCTGGGAGCATTCAGTGTGCATCTTTGAGTGGCCTGTGTACTCCTTTCTCTTAGGTATATCCCTAGGAGTGGGATTGCTGGGTCATGGGATAGGCATATGTTCAGCTTTCACAGATATTGTCAAACAGTTTTCCCAGTGGTTGTACCAATTTGCACTCAGCAGAAAGGGCTTATTTATTTACTTATTTATTTATTTAGAGAGAGGGTCTCACTCTGTTGCCAAGGTTGGAGTGTGGTGGTGTGTAGTGTGTGGCTCAGGAACCCCTCCCACTTCAGCCTCCCAAGTTGCCACGACTACAAGTGTGCACCACCATGCCCAGCTAATTTTTGTACTCTTTCTTTTTTTTTCTTTTTTTTTTTTTTTTTTTTTGGAGAGACAGGATTTCGCCATGTTACCCAGGTTTGTCTCAAACTCCTGGCCTCAAGCAATCCTCCTACCTCAGCTTCACAAAGTGCTGGGATTACAGGCATGAGGCACTGTGCCTGGCCAGAAAGGGCTTTTTTTTTTTTTTTTTTTTTAAGTCAGGTTTATTGAGGTACCATTTGCATAGAATGACATTCACTCTTCTCAGTGGACAGTTTTAACAAATACATGTCATTGCATACCTCCCACCACAATTAAGATAGAAAACATTTCCATCAACTCCAAAACTCCCTCATGCCCCACCAGCCCCTGGCAACCACTGATCTGTCCCCTGTCCCTCTACTTTGCCTTTTCCAGAATGTCATAAATGGAGCCATATGGTATGTAGCCTTTTGGGTCTGGCTTCTTTCACTTATCGTAATGCGTCTGAGATTCACCCATGTTGTTGTATGATTAAATGTTTGTTCCTCCTTATTTCTGAGAATCGTTCTATTATATGGCTGTACCACAATTTGTTTGTTTGTTTTAATGTCTTTGCAAGTTGAAAGATATTTGGGTTGTTTCACATATGGGGCATTATGGATATGGGGCAATTATGGATAAAATTACGATAAATGTCTATGTGGAGGCGTTTGAGTGGACAAGAGTTGTCATTTCTAGGGGAAATACCCAAGAGTGGGGTTCCTGTGTCATACGATAAAACGTATGTTTAACTTTATAAGAAACTGTCAAACCATTTTTAAAGGCTTACCATTTTGGCACTTCCACCAGCAACCTATGAGAGTTCCAGTTACCCTTCATCCTTGCCAGCACTTCATATATTGTTAGGTTTTGTGGTTTGGTTTGGTTTTTTGATTTTAGCTATTCTAAGTGGGTATGTAGGGGTTCAAATCTTTTTCTCATATTTTGGTTGAGTTGGCTGGGAGGGTTTCAAGTGGAGGAACAGCATAATCAGATGTGTAGTTGAGAGCGGGCTGGAGGGAAAGCTAGACCAGAGTGGACGAGCCTGTCTTCTGGGGTCTGGGAGGTGCTTGGTGCATTCAACGGGATGACAAGGCCCACCTCAAGAGGATGGCCCTGAGGGTGCAGGGTGCGAGAGTCTGAATGAGGTTTCAGAGGGCATTAGGGAAGTGCTGGTAACTCGTTGGCCGTCGTGTTCAACACTGCCTTGGGCTGGAGTCCCCAGAAGCAGACCCTGGGACAAGAATTTAGGAGCAAGTGATTTATTCAGGAAGCGGTCTCAAGACAAACTGGACAGGGAATGGGGAAGCAGGACAGGAAAGGGAGAGGAGGTCCGGCCAGGCTGTGACCTTAGACCAGGTCCCGCAGGGGGCTGCCTCAGCCTCACCCCACAGGGGAGCTCCACTGGGTAAGTCACACTCCCGAGCTGTCCCTCCTGGAGGCAAGGAAGCTGGGCTTTCAGAGTCTTGCACCAAGGCAGGCATGCCTATAGGATTTGGGATGCATCGTGGGGTTGGGACGCAAAACATAAACACCCATGTAATTCCAGCTCTCAAAACCTGTGGGGAAAGAAGCTCCCGGAACTTTAGTCACAAACACAACTTGCAAGGGCTAGTCGTGGGAAACTAACATACCAAAGATAGGGTTCAGGGGCATAAAACACTGGCTAAGCAGGGTCTGAAAGGATCTAGCAGAGCCTCAACACGTCCCACCTCAAACGCAGCATCATAGCATCTAGAACAGAGTCTGGCCCCTGGTAGGTGCCCAGTAAATACTTGCTGAAATCACTGAATAAATAAAGCACTGAAGGCATGGCAGATGGGACACTCAGGAAGGAGGGCTGGTTCTGAGGAAAGATAGAGTTTGAATCTTTGAATCTTTGCTCAAAAAGCACCTCTTAATTTTAGCAAAGAGGCTAAGACTTTTCAAAACCATCAGGTTCCGGCTTCTTCATGTTTTTAACAGTTATTCACTTAGTTCACCTATTTCATCTTGCATTTACCATAAACATCAAAAATAGAGTTTGGTTTGGGGCCCGATGACTTTGAGGTGGTGACATGTCATCAGCAGTGTTAGCCAAGGATCGAGCACGAGGGAGAGTGTAAGGAGGCCAGAACGGCAGTCAGAGAGATGATGGCCCCAGAAGAGGGTGTCGAGAGAGGAGAGAAGAGGAGGAAGGAGGCGGGTAGTGGCTCACACCTGTAATCCCAGCACTCTGAGGGGGTGAGGCTGGAGGGTTGCTTGAGCCCAGGAGTTTAAGGCTGTAGTGAGCCGTGATCGCGCCACTGCACTCCAGCCTGAGTGACAGACAAGACCCTGTCTCTCCAAAAGGAAAAAAGAAAAAGAAGAGGAGAAAAAAGGAAGTCTTAGAGGCTTAGCGAGCCAGGGAAGAGGAGCTACAAAGGGTGAGGAGGGCACAAAGTGGCCAGAGAATGGGCAAGAAAGCCAGGAAAGAAGTGGATGCTGGGGAAACCCAGGGGTCACACGTTTGAGGAAGAAGAGGTGGTTGATGGTCTCAGATGCTGCCCAGCTAACACCACTGGCTGAGCCCTCATGGAAGACCCTGATGACATTGGCCAGGGAGGTTTCGATGGCCCACAGGGCCTGGAGCAGCCCAGAAGGGGCAGCCAGGCCTGAGAAGGAGGGGGACTGTTGGTAGAGGGGTGGAGGAAAAGACAGGGTATACTAAGAAGGAAGAAATGGGCTGGGAGGCCCCACATCGATGAGATCCAGGCCTGGTGGAAGGCTCAGATTTAAGCAATCCCTCAGTGTTGGGCTGAGCTGCCAAGGTGAGCTCATTAAGTCCTCAGTGTGTAACTTTATCCCCGTGTCCTGGGTGAACTTTGTGGGGTCCCAGATCCTCCCGAGCAGCGGGGTGGTGTTACATCATGCCTGGGGCCCCCAGCAGTTGTCCCACTTGGCTGTGGCTGATGTTGAAAGCCCCCAAGAGACAGGCAGGCAGGTGAGCCTGTGGGAGCCTCGTGGCATCCTGGAAAAAAACATGGGGGTAGTGAGGATTATGACAAGAAGGGGAGATGCAGGGAAGGGTGCCCAGGAAGGAGGGGGACTTTGATGAAGGCAGAGGCAGGATGGGAGCTTTTGAGAATTTATGGGTGGAGAGAAAAGAGCCAGCAGAGAGGGAGAAACTGGAGGAAGGAAAAGACAGATGTAAGGCCCGGGAGGACACAGGCAAGGGACAGCTGGCCTTGGACACAGGAAGGTGCAGGCAGATCGCTGCAGAGGCGTGAGGGAGGGGAGTGGCAGCGGCCAGTGCCTCCACAAATGCCTGTGTTTTCTCCATTGAGCAGGAGCTGGGCTTGTCTGTGGGGCCCAGGGGAACAAGGGGGGAATGGGGGCCCCGGCGGAACAACTGCTACGGGAACGGAAAGGCGTTTGGGGACCAGTCAAGGGGTTGCTGAGCTGCACTTAAGACCCAGCCAAGGTTGGAGAAAATTAATCTGTGCTGGCGCCAATCGGCATGGTGATGTGATTTGTGCCTGCAGCACTTGGCAGCCCAGGGTGAAATGGAGAAAACAGGTGGTTTTCTTAGCTCCTGCTCATCCGCCATCTCGTGGAATCTGCCTGGCAACACTCACTGCCTCCGATTTACAGATGAGAAAACTGAGGCCCAGGGAGAGGAGGCCACATGGCTGGAGTGTTGCAACAAGTGAGTGGGGACACAGGACCCAGTCCAGGGCCATGGACTCCCTGCTTGGGGCAGCCCCCATGGTCTTGCGACCTGCGGCTGGCACACACTGTGAAAAGCATTATGGCAGCCCCTGTCCTCACCACTGAAACACACAGGGAGCCTGTTCCCTTGTGTGCCCATAACTGTGCTCAGCTCAGCTTTGCCTGCTCACTAAAACCTGTCAGGGAGGGACCAGGAGGAAGCTGCAGTTCAGAGGAGGCACGTAACTGATCCAGGGTCACATAGCATTAAGATATCAATTCTCCCCAAATTGATCTATAGATTCAATGCAATTGCAATCAAAATCCTAGCAGACTTTTGGTAGAAACTGACAAACTGATTGTAAAACTGATATAGAAATGCAAAAGACCAGCAGGGCGAGGTGGCTCACTCCTGTAATCCCAGCACTTTGGGAGCGGAGGCGGGCGGATCACCTGAGGTCAGGAGTTCAAGACCAGCCTGGCCAATATGCTGAAACCCCGTCTCTAATAAAAATACAAAAATTAGCCAGGCATCTTGGCGGGCACCTGTAATCCCAGCTACTCAGAAGGCTGAGGGAGGAGAATCGCTTGAACCCAGGAGGCAGAGGTTGCAGTGAGCTGAGATCGCGCCATTGCACACTAGCCTGGGCAACAAGAGCAAGACTCCATCCCCCCAACAAAAAAAAAGAAATGCAAAGGACCTAGAATAACCAAAACAATCTCAACAAAGAAGAACACATTAGGAGGTCTTATGCTACCTAATTTGAGGACTTACTATAAACCGACAGTAATCTAGATAAAGTGGTATTGCCTGTGGTTAAATGGAACCTAATAGACAGTCCAGATGTAAAACCACACATACACAGTCAATTAATTGACTTTTGACAAGAGTGCCAAGGCAATTCAACAAGGAAAGGATAATTTTCCTGAAATGCTGCTAGAACAATTGAAAAACCACATGGAAAAAAAATGAGGCTTAACTCTTATCTCACATCATATCCAGAATTTATAAAGAACATTCTGGCCAGGTACAGTGGCTCATGCCTGTAATTCCAGCACTCTGAAAGGCCGAGGCGGGTGGATTGCTTGAGCCCAAGAGTTTAAGACCAGCCTGGCAACATGGCAAAACTCATCTCTACACAAAAATGAGCCAGGTGTGGTGGCACACATCTGTAGTCCCAGCTACTCAGGAGGTTGAAGTAGGAGGATCACCTGAGCCAACTGCAGAGGTTGAAGCCAAGGATTACCTTGACCGGGGAGGTGGAGGCCAAGATCATGCCACTCCACTCCAGCCTTGGTGACAGAGAGAAACCCTGTCTCAAAAACAAAGCAAAACAAGAATGCTTACAACTCAGTAATAACAAGATACTCAAGCTGATTTTTTTTTAATTAGCAGAGATCTGAACAGATACTTCACCAAAGAAGATATATGAGTGACAGATAAGCACATGAAAAGATTCTCAACATTGTTATTCAGCAGATGCAAATCAAAGCCACAATGAGATTCCACTGCACACTCACTAGAATGGCTCAAATAAAAGACTGACCATATCACATCTTAGCAAGACTGTGGGGCACCTGAAACTCTCATACATTGCTGGTGGAAGTTCATAATGGTGCAATCACTTTGGAAAACATTTTGGCAATTTCTTATAAAGTTAAACACGCACCAACCATTCAACCCAGCAATTCCTCTTCTATATACTTACCTAAGAGAAATGAAAACATATGTCCACACAAAGGCCAGCCCTCAAATATCATAGCAGCTTTATTGATAATAGCCTAAAACTGGGGAAAAAATAAATGTTTGGCCGGGTGCAGTGGCTCATGCCTGTAATCCCAACACTTTGGGAGGCCGAGGTGGGTGAATCACCTGAGGTCAGGAGTTTGAGACCAGCCTGGCCAACATGGTGAAACCCCATCTCTACTAAAAATATGAAAATTAGCTGGGCGTGGTGGCAGGCACCTGTAGTCCCAGCAACTCAGGAGGCTGAGGCATATCGCTTCTCGGCCTTTTGGCTCAGATCAAGTGTAGGAGGCTGAGGCAGGAGAATCGCTTGAACCCGGGAGGCAGAGGTTGCAGTGAGCTGAGGTCGCACCACTGCATTACAGCCTGGGTGACAGAGTGAGACTCCATCTTAAAAAAATAAAAATAAACTGGGAAAAAAATAAATGTTCATCGGCATGCAAAAAGGTAAATAAATATGTATATAGTTATAGAATGAAATACTACTCAGGAATGAAAGGAGCAAACTACTGATACATGGATTAATCTCAGAAACATTATGCTGAATAAAATAAGCCAGAAGCAAAAAGGTACTTCCTGCGTGATTCCTCTATGTGCAACTCAGGAAAATGTAAATCTGATCTACATTGATGGAAAGCAGTTTATTTGTTGCCTGAGGCAAGGAGTGGTGAGAGATTGACTTCAAAGGGCCATGGAGGGAAGTTTCTGGGGACAGGAAAGTTCTATATCTTGATTGTAGTGGTGGTTACATTGGTGTATGCATTTGTGAAAACTCATCAAGATGTACACTTAAAATGGATGCGTAGCATTGCATGTAAATTATACTTCAATAATTTAAAAATATTATGAAAATCATTATCATGAGAAAAATAGAACTCTGTGAACCTGCTTATACTTAATTTATTGTGTATTGATTATTTTTATTTACTGTTGAGGAGGGAGAACCATAATCCTGGGGCCTCTGCATGGTCCGTTTTTGTTTTTTTTTTCGAGACAGAGTCTTGCTCTGTCACCCAAGCTGGAGTGCAGTGGTGCAATCTCAGTTCACTGCAATCTCTGCCTCCCGGGTTCAAGCAATTCTAGTGCTTCAGCTTCTCAAGTAGCTAGGATTACAGGCACCTACTACGATGACTGGCTAATTTTTGTATTTTTTGTAGAGATGGGGGTTTCACCATCTTGGCCAGGCTGGTCTTGAACTCCTGACCTCAGGTGATCCATCCACCTCAGCCTCTCAAAATGCTGGGATTACAGGCATGAGCCACCACACCCGGCCCTCTGTTTGGTCTTAATCTAGCCCTGGAAGGTTAGTCAGGGCCAGATACCAGAAGGCTTTGAATGCCAAGTACAGCAGTTTTAAGACGTCTACAAATGCTTTTACACACCTCCCTTCAAGGTAGAACCTAATTCCTCTATTCTGAGTATGGACCAAACTTAGTGACTTGCTTCTAGCTATAGGACAAACCAGAAGAGATGGTGTAGGATTTTGAAGACTCAGTCATAAAAGGACTGTAGCTCCTCCCTTCCTCTTCCTCCTTCTTACTCTCCACTCTCTCTCTTTTTCTCTCTGATTACCTCCTCTTGGGGAAGCCAGCTGCCATGCCCTGAAGACACTTAGGGAGCCCTGGGAAGAGAGCCACATGGTGAGGAACTAAGACCTCCTGCCAACAGCCACTTGATTGGGCCATCTTGACAGCAGAGCCTCCAGCTCTGGTCAGGACTCCAGATCACTAAGCCCCAGCTAATAGCTTCACTACAGTCTCCTGAGAGACCCTGATCCAGAACCATCCAGATATGCTCCCAGACTGCTGGCCCTCAGCAACTCTGTCAGATAACAATGGTTTGTTGTTTTAAAATGCTAAGTTTTGGAACAATTTGTTACACAGCAATGGATAACTAATACGTATTTTGGTATTTGGAAGTGGAGTGCTACCATAACAAAAACCTAAAATATGAGAATTGCTTAGGAACCAGGTACTGGGGAGAAGCTGAAAGATTTTGATGAGAATTATAGTGAACATTTGAAGAGTTCAAAGAGAAACTATTTATAGAAGCATGACGTCCTTTGCAGACTGCAGTGAGCATTTTGTTTTGTTTTCTTTAAGTGAGGAAGATCTTATTGGAAACTGGAGGAAAAGGGATCCTTCTAATGTAGTAGCAAAAAGTTTAGTAACACTATTGCTTACAGTAACACGAAAAGTACAAAATGTGCCCAGTGAGACAAGTGATCTAGTGAAGGAGATTTCCAGGCAAACTGTTGAAGATGTCATCTGTTTATTTTTGATATTTATGGTAAATGCAAGATTAAAGAGGTGAACTAAGTGAATAACTGTTAAACATGAAGAAGCCAGGACTTGATGGTTTTGAAAAGTCTTGGCCTCCTTGCTAAAATTAAGAAATGCTTTTTGAGTAAAGATTCAATCCAGAACATTGCCAAGAAAATATAATCTAAAAATCAGGTGAGGATGTGGCTGCAAAAGATCTAAAGTGGTTCCTCAGAGTACTCTCAGTCAGCAAAGGGCCCTCTAAAAAATTTAAAGACTTACCTCACAGACCCTCTGACTCAAACAGTTGGATGTTTAAGAGCTTGTCTCTGCAGAACCACAAAGTAGTCAAGGGCTTATCTCAAGAGATTTTTGGGTGTGGCTTTTGTCTTGTAGAGTAGATCCCAAAAAGATTCACAGGAAAACAACAACATTTTAAAAAGAATTATATCACCAGGCACAGTGGCTCATGCCTATAATTCCAGCACTTTGGGAGGCCGAGGCAGGAGGATTGCTTGAACCCAGGAATTCAAGACCAGCCTGGGCAACAAAGCGAAACCCCATCTCTAAGAAAATATAAAAATTAGCCACACGTGGTGGTGTGTGCCTGTAGTCCCAGCTACTGGAGAGGCTGAAGTGGGAGAATCACTTGAACCTGGGAGGCAGACGTTGCAGTGAGCTGAGATCACACCACTGCACTCCAGCCTGGGTGACAGAGCAAGACCCTGTCTGAGGGGGAAAAAAAAGAATTATATCAACAGAAATAGCATCAGCATGTACTGAAAGGGACAGAGGTAATGTGAAAGGAAAGAGGCCTTTGAACTTGCTAAATTCTATTAGCAGGAAGCAGGCTGAGAAAAGAACACAGTTGTAAACACAGGCTACTTTTTACTTTGAGGTAGACCCAAGAACCTAGAAGGAGACAGAAAGAGCAGAACCCCTTGGAAAATTATTTCTGAGCCAGAGTAGCATAAGTCCTAACCCTTCAACATTTCCCCAGCTAGATTTCAGAATTACTATGGACCAGCGACTTATCTGTGCTTCCCATTTCCCCTGGTTCTGAACGATTATCCTATACCTATTCCACCATTGTATACTGGGTGCCGAGTGGGGTTGAGGGGTAGATAGGTAACTCACCTCTTGGGATTCACAGGTTTACTCATTGAGAGGGAGTGTATTGCTGGGGATATGCTTAGGGAACCACTCCCAAGGAGACTCACCCACACCTGCATATGGTTTAGATGACAAAAGTCTTGAGTTCAAGCTCATACTGTACCAGTATGAGACTTCAGGGTCCTTCGGAGGGTGGACTGTATTTTGCATGTTAGAAGAATGTAAATAATTTGTGGTCAGAGGGAAGACTATAGTGCTTTTAATGTACGTCCACAATTTTTTTTTCTTTTTTCTTTTTGAGACCGAGTCTCGCTCTTTTGCCCAGGCTGGAGTGCAGTGGCATAATCTCAGCTCACTGCAGGCTCCACCTCCCGGGTTCAAGCCATTCTCCTGTCTCGGCCTCCCAAGTAGCTAGGTATGTCCACAAATCCTTTGGTACTCTTACCTTTAAGAGATAGAGCTTAATTCCTTTCCCCTGAATGTAGGCTAGACTTAATAAGTCACTAGTGAATAAAATAAAGTGGAGGTGATGATGTACAGCCTCAGAAACTAGGTCATAAAAGTCACTGTGGCTCCCCAGTGTCCCCTCTCCCTCCCCACCCTCTTCCCCTCCTTACCTTTCTTTGTCATCACTCTCTCTGGGGGAATCCAGCTGCCATGTAAGAACACTCAGGCAACCCTGTGGAAAGCCCATGTGGTAAGGAAATGAGGCCTCCTGCCAACAGCCCTGGGAGGGAGCCATCTTGGAAGCAGATCCTTAGCCCCAGTTGAAGCCTTCAGGATGCAGCAGCCCCAGCTGTCAGCCTGACTACATCTCATGAGAAAACCTGAGCCAGAAACACTCAACCAGGCTGCTCAAAGAATTTTGACCTCGGAAACTGTGAGAAAATGATTTTGTCATGTTAAGCTGATTGCATGGGCGTAATTTGTTGTTATGTTGTAAAAGATGATACACCAACTTGAGGAATCTGATATTTCTCACAGGAGCAATGGGGTGCAGTGGAAGGCGTTAGAGAGAGGAAATGACATAGAACGTTCTGGGATTAGTGCTATGGTCTGAATGTTTATGTCCCCCCACAAAATTCATACGTTGAAATCCTAATCTGCAGGTGATGGTATTAGGAGGTGGGGCCCTTGGGGGATGATTAAGTCATGAGGACTCTACTCTTATGAATGGGATTAGTGCCGTTGTAAAAGGGGCCTGAGGAAAAAAACAAACAAGTCCATTAAAAAACGGGCAAAGGATATGAACAGATACTTCTTAAAAGAAGACATACATGTGGCCAACAAGCATATGAAAAAATGTTCCACATCACTGATCATTAGAGAAATGGAAATCAAAACCATGGTGCAATACCATCTCACACTGGGCAGAATGGCTATTATTAAAAAGTCAAAAAATAACAGATGCTGGTGAGGTTGCAGAGAAAAGTGAATGCTTATACACTGCTGGTGAGAATGTAAACTAGTTCAGCCACTGTGGAGAGCAGTTTGGAGATTTCTCAAAGAACTTATAATAGAACTAATATCTGACCTAGCAATCCCATTACTGGGTATATACCCAAAGGAATAAAATCATTCTATCATAAAGACACATACATGTTCATCATAGCACTATTCACAATAGCAAAGACCTGGAATCAACCTCAATGCCCATCAACAGTGGACTAGATAAAGAAAAATGTGGTAAATATACACCATGGAATACTATGCAGCCATAAAAAAGGACAATATCTTGTCCGTTGCAGCAACGTACATGGGGCTGGAGGCCATTATCCTAAGTGAATTAATGCATGAGCAGAAAACCAAATACTGCATTTTCTCACTTATAAGTGGGAGCTAAACATTGAGTACACATGGACACAAAGAAGGGAGCAATAACATAGAGGCCTACTTGAGGGTGGAGGGTGGGAAGAGGGTGATGATGGAAAAACTACCTATCAGGTACTATGCTTATTACCTGGGTAATAAAATAATCTGCACACTAATGCCCCGAGACATGCAATTTACCTATATACCAAATCTGCACATGTACCCCATGAATGTAAAATAAAAGTTGGAAAGAAAAATGAATGATTTTCTTAAAAAGTGGCCTGAGAGAGACTCCTCAGCCCTTGCACCATGTAAGGACACAGCTGAAAGGCACTGTCTATGGACCAGAGAGCCTTCATCAGACACCAGATCTGCTGGTGCTGTGACCTTGGACTTCCCAGCCTCCAGAACTTTGAGAAATAAATATTTGTTGCTTGTAAACCACCCAGTCTATGGTAATTTGTTATAGAAGCCTGAATAGAATAAGGCATTTAGAAAGAATTTTCTTGGTCCCAGAGTGAAGAAGGGATTGGAAGTCACAAGATTCACAGAACACTTCATACAGGTGGAGACTCTGAAGCTAGGTGTCTGTGCCACATAGCTGAGCCAGGGAGTTGTACTCTGGGCAGAGGAAGAAGCCTGTGCTGGGGCAAGGAGGCCAGACATTGTCTTATGTCAGAGGTGGTAGGTGTAGGTAGAGAATGAGATTCTGAGCATAACTGTGAATGGATGGTGAGCTGCTTAGGCCCTGAACAGGCCTTTCTACCCCTTCCCCATCCTAACCTCAGCCAGCACCAGCAGTTGCTCCAGGATGTGTTGGGCACCTACAGAAACGCTGCTCAACTTAAATCCCTGTGAGCCCCACAGTCAAGCCGAACTATCCCCACTGTGCACTGGGGATGCAGCAGTGAATAAACAGACAAAATTCTCTGCCCTCATCAAGCTTCCATGTTAATGGAAAAAAGACAGGTATAGAGCAGAAGGAGGTTAGGGGACGAAGACAGGCAATTAATTTTATAGACAGTAAATATATACATAGAGAGAAATACACAAGGTAATGGGGCATTACAAGTTGAGGTAGTTTCAATTCTAAGTAAAGTGATATCTTATCTCAGGCTGCTATAACAAAATACCATCTACTGGATGGTTTAAGCAATATTTATTTTTCGTCGTTCTGGAGGCTGGGAAGTCCAAGATCAAGGTGCCAGCGTATTTGGTGTCTGGTGAGGGCCCTGTTCCTAGTTTGCAGATGAAAGCTTTCTTGCTGTATCCTCACATGACACAGAGAGAGGGATCTGGTCCTCTCTTCCTCTTCTTTTAAGGGAACTAATCCCATCATGGAGGCTTAACCCTCATGACCTCATCAAAACCTAATCACTTCCCAAAGGCCCACTTCCAAATACCACTACACTGGGCATTAAGGCTTCAACACCTGACTTTTGGGAAAACGCAAACATTCAGTCCATAGCAGGTGGTTAGGGAAGGGTTCACTGAGAGGGTAACATGAGCACTTGTGAAGTGAGCAAGTTGGCCACGTGGATATCTGGGGGAAGCGTTCCAGGTAGAGGGAACCAAGTGCAAAGGCTCTAAGGTGGGATCATGACTCCCAATGTCTCTACTAACCAATAAAGAGCTTTATGAAAATTAGAAAAAAAAACTAGGCAAAACATTGGAAACAATTGTTTGCAGACATTGAACAACAGGCAGTAGCATAAGACAGTGATCCCTGAAGAAAGGTAAGCAAATCAAGTTAGCTCTACAGTTCACCCAGCTTTCTGTCTGGAGGCATCTTAGGTGCAGGGAGGGGAAATTCAAATAGAGTCCAGCAGTATTGCTGAGTTGATCTTTGAGACCAAGAACAAAGTTCAGGTAGGCTTAGGTGGCTGTAAGTTGAGGGGCAGAGTACCTGACTGAAGGAAGAAAAACAGCTCCAGAAATCTACATGTGTCCTCTTGAATCACTGCCATGTGCAAGGCTTCAGGTGTGTAGGGTGAAATTCCCTGAGGCCAGGCAAAGAAAGACTGAAGCATTTTAATTTGAACAATTCCTAGAAGTCACACAGGTTAGGAACTATCCCATAAGTGAAGGCTACTGTGGACCCACCCTAAAAGAGCTTAAAAATAAGCCTCAAAATGATCAAAGTAATTAGCAAGTAATTTAACTGCATGCCACTCTTTAACAGAAGACAACACAATTCCAGACCATCAATAGTGTAACATTTACAATGTCCAGCATCCAATCAAAAATTCCTAGACAGGCCAAGAACCAAAAATTGTAGCTCATAACTAGGAGAAAAATCAGTAAATAGAAACAGATCCCAAAATAACAGATAATGAAACAAGTAAGCAAGAATGCTAAAGGTCTTTTCTATCTATATATTTAAAAGAAATAGACAATCTTTCTTCTAAGCAGAGGCAACCCCAAACCAGGGCTCATGGCTTGGAGAACAGAACAAGGGCTGGGTTTTGTCCTCCACTGACATCCTCTGCCAGGTGCCCTCATGCCATGAACAACCATAGGTGACAGCCCTGGTGTCTGTCTGCTCAAGGAACACCAAGGAAGCCCATGTGGCTGGAGCAACATGAGCAAGGGGGAAAGGAGTGGGAGATGAAAGGAGAGAGGTAACAGGAAATAGACTGGGTAAGGCCTGTGGGCCATGGTGAGAATATTAACTTTTACTGTGAGTGACATGGAAGCTATGGGAGGATTTAAGCAAAGGTGATTCATGATTCTTCCAGAGGTTAATGGAGGATGAAGAGGGGGTGGGAGTGGAGGATGGACAACAAAGGAGGAAGCCTCTTCAGTTGTCCAAGCACAGGATGCTGGGGCCTGGCCAGAGAGAGGGGCTGAAGGGATTGGGGTTAGAAGGGTCTCAGAGTGGTCCCTTGGAAAGAGACTTGGCAGGAAGTGGGACAGATGTGCCGTGGGCAGCAGAAGGAGTTAGAGATGGCTCAGTCTCCCACTGCAGCCTGAGGCAGGCAGCGGGGCTCAGTGCTAATGCGAACTGGAAGAGAAACACATCTCAGGGTGTGAAGATGATGCAATGGGTTGGATTCTCCTGGGGAGGAATCTAGTGGCTTGCGAAGAAGAGAAAAAGGTGGGGAGTCTTGGTTGCAGGAGCAGTTAGGGAGATGTCAGCACAGAGGGCAGGGGATGAGTTCATCCGGGGAGTGTGTGAGGAGTGAGAGAAAGAGAAGGAAAGGAAGACAGACCAGACAGGAAGACCCTGCCCCAGAGTTAGCTGAGCATGCTACAGATGGCTGGATGGAGAGGCAAGCAGATGAAATGTCCATGAGAGTGACAGAGAGTGGAAGCCAACCCTGACCATGCCTCAGAAAGAGATGACCCACTTACACGTACACACAAGTACACACACACACAGCAGGAATGATGCGTGGACAGAGCAAATTCCATAAGTTTCCTCTGGAGAGCAGAAGGAAGTGCAGCTGAGGAGGATGAAGGCAGGGGTGGGAGAAGGGGGCTCGGAGAGACAGGCCCACAGACAGGCAGAGACCCAGGGGCAGTACACAGAGGGGGCACACACACTGACTCACGTATGGGAGCTGTCCAGCTCCTGGAAGATGCTCAATGTCCAAAGTGGGTGGATGAATGGATGGCAGAGCAAGTGGATGCACAGGGGTGAGAAGTCACCAAGTGAATGAGAATCAGAAGGAGAAAAGGCTCCAAGTAAAGAGGAACCCACAGATGTGACCCAGGGTGAGACACACAAACACAGTTGTGTTGCAACATGGGGACCAAATCTAGAGGGAATATGGAATAATGAGAGAGAATGGGAAAAGGAAGGAGAGAGATTCAGAGAGGCAAAGAGGCAGATGTGTGCACACACAGACAGACAGACAAGCAGGCACACGGCAGCCTGATCACACACTGGGGACCCTAGAGTGAGACACAGAAAGAGGCCATGCACAGAAGCTGCTACCACCTCACCAAAAGAGCAGGGACACCAACATGCTCATCGGCAGGAGGAAGCCAGCTCGGCCATTGTGCATCTGATAAAAGAATGTGATGCACCTAAACTCTGACATGGAAGCAGACCCAAGACACATTGCTGAATGAGGAAGGCCACTGCCAAATCACATGCACAGTGTGTAGTATTTATGTTCAAACAACAATAACCAAACCAACAATAATAGAACAAGTTTTCTCTTCTTTCCTTCCTTCCTTCCTTCCTTTTTCCTTCCTATCAATCATCTAGCTAGCTAGCTACCAGTATAATTCACATCAGTCTAATAACTGAGGATCCATGTGGGAAAATAAGTAGAAATCAGGATTTGGGAGGAGGTTTCAAAGGAGACTTTAGTCCTTCCTTCCTGAAATTTTAGTGTTTTTTTTCAACTTGAAGTTCCTCCAGCTTCAGACATTCCTCAGCCTTCCTCTGTGCTGACACTCAGAGAGAACTCAGATGCAGGCTCTCAAGATGCCCGTGGTCTGGCGGGAAAGATCCCCCCAAACACATGCATGTGCCTGGCTGTTCCCAGGGGTGTGATCCTGTGATGCTATGGGGGCTTTCAGGGGAGAGGCCCTGGGACTTCATCAGGGAGGATGAAGTGCCTGAGCCAAGAGAAGCCTTGCTGTGTGCCAGGCAGACAGGTGAGAGGCGTTCCTGCCAAGGGCAGCTTGAGCAAAGGCCAGAAGGTGGGGAGAGGGTGAGTCTTTCTGCACTGCAAGAGGTTCCTTGTGACTGGAGACAGGGCAGAAGGATAAGTCACCAAGAGTGTGAGGGTTTGGCCTTGCCCAGAGCCTTAAAGCAGGAAAAATTGGCTTGAAGTTTATCAGGAGGGTGGGGAGGTGGGGAAGCTGGCTTAGTGGGGTTAGGCCAGTGAAGGGTGAGCTGCCAAGTGGGAGATTTAGAAAGGTGGCTTGGGTGGCCTCACCAAGTGTAGACAGGAAGGGGCAAGGCTGGAGATGGGAAACCCGGGAGGCCCTGGGAGCTGACACCCAGATGGGATGGTGGTGGTGTGCTGGAGGCACAGCCCTATGGTGGGACTGGATGTGGTCAGAAGGAGTCAAGAAAGTGCCTGAGACTTGGTCTACTTGTGCTGAGGATGGGGAGCTGGGCAGGTGAGGAGGTTGGAGAAAAGAAGAGCAGTGTGGGAAGGGCAGGGAAGTGTCTAGTCCTGTGTTCAGGTACATGGATGTGCAAGTCCCAGTTCAGGAGAGAGCTCTATGTCCAAGAAGGACAATGGGTGGCCACAGATGTCCTGGGGGTGGAGGAAGCTGCCCTTGGGGAACGGGCAGGGCAGGAAGCGGTGGAGGACTGAGCTCTGGGAAGCATCAGTATTGAGAGGTGGATGGAAGAGAGAAACTGCCCAATGGGTGGGAGAAAAGCCAGGAGCACCCAGTGTCCTGAAGGAGGAGACAGTGGCCTCCCAAGCAAGGATGGGCACCCCAATCAGGACCCCAATGGGCCAGGAGAAATGAGGAGGAAAAAGGGACCATGGGCTTTGGCAAGAAGGAGGTCTATGGAGAGCTCTCTTGAGAACCATGGTGGGCTCAATGTGGCTGAGGTCCCTTGCCAAGGATGGGGTATGCGTGGGCTGGGAATGGAAGCAAGTAAAGCCAAGGGTCCCTTTCCCAGATTTTCTGCAGATGGACAGAGAGAGAAGACAGAGCATGGGAGGAACAGGTCACCAGAACACATCTCTCATGCTGGAAAGCAGACTCAGAAGGAGGGAAGAGGATGGCTGTCACCAGGGCAACCATGCTGGCCATGGGATGAAAGGAGCAAAGGAGGAGATGGGAGATTTGGGAGAAAGAGTCAGCACAAGTTTAAAGGAAGGAGGTGGGGAGAAGGGGAAGCCTGGATTTCTGTCCCTGGAGATGGAGGATGAGAGCATAAGATGAAGCCTGGAGAGGAGGGAGGTTGTTTGGAGCCTGGGGAGTGTATGATGCTGGGAGTATGACTGAGTGGGGCTGAGGACAGGACAGTGAGTATACAGGTCTGGGAGAGGGGAGATGAGCACAGAAATGCAGAGGAGTTTGTGTGCAGGGACCTCTGAAGCCCTGGTGTGGATAGTATGGCCCATGGAAGGACAAGGGCAGAGGGGTGAGGACACAGCCCTGGGGAGCACTGATAGTAGAGATCAGGAGGAAAGAGAAGGGTCTGAGAAAGTGGCCAAGACAGAGCAAACACATGCATATATGCACATGCAAGAACACACACGGTGATGCTTGGAGACTTCCAAAGTCCCTATCACCCCATCTTCCCATGGGTGGTAACTGGTCCTCTCTCCCCCTGGACTCCTTAGAACACAGCCCGGGGTTTTGGAGTCTTTGTCTTCAACAGAGCACTCAGGTGCTCAATGTATGTCAGGTGGTAGGAGGGAGGGATGGATGGATGGATATATAGATGGATGGATGGATGAAAGAGTAGGCAGATGAATGGGTGGGTGGACATATGTATGGATGGGTGGATGGATAGGTGGGTGAATGGGTGGATGGGCAGATGGATGGCTGAATGAATGGATGAATGAACAGATGGATGGAGGAATGGGTGGATGGATGGATGGATGGATGGGTAGATGTATGGATGGAAGGGTGGATGGGTGGATGGATGGATGGAGGGATGCATGTATGGATGGGTGGGTAGATGTATGGATGGATGGATGGATGGATGGATGGATGGATGGATGGATGGATGCATAGATGGATGGATGCATGGATGGATGGATGGATGGATGGATGGATGGATGGATGGATGCATGGATGGATGGATGGATGGATGGATGGATGGATGGATGGATGGATGGATGCATGGATGGATGGATGGATGGATGGATGGATGGATGGATGGTTGGATGAATGCATGCATGGATGGATGGATGGATGAATGGATGGACAAAGGAAGACAATTATCCCCTCATCTCCACACGATGCTGCAGCAGGGACTGAGAGAATGGGGGCCTTTAGCAGCCCCTCGGAGAAAGAGTTGGCAGGGAGGGGGAACAGATGGGCTGTGGGTGGCTAAACAGGAGTAGTCAGAGACGATGCAGGGCTCCTGGCTGCAGCACCACACCGAGGAAGGCACTGACATTCAGTGTTAATGAGAACAGGAAAGGGGCCAGTTTGTAGTGCAGAGATGATTAGATGAGTTTGAGGTACCTCTGGAGGGCCCCAGTCAACACTGGCCCCAAATCTGTGGCATGCAACAGAGAATGAAGGTGGGTGATTTTCAGACGCAGAAGGAGATTGGGGGATGTCCTTACAGAGGCCTCTATGCCCAAGGTGCATAAGGGGCACCTCTTGTGCAGAGGGCAGGTGCAGCGCAAGAGGAGGGAAAGAAGAGAACAGGAGAGGACAGATGGACAAACCTTGGTCCAGAGCTCACCAGGCATGTTGTGGATAGATGGAGTTCATGAGAGTGACAGGGAGGGTGGGACCCAGCCCTGACCATACCTTACAGAGAAGTGACTCACACACATGTGCACCTGTGCACACACACATAGAGTAAAACTCTCCAAGCCCCAGAAAGAGAGAGAGGGAGCTGACGGGGAAAGTGGTAGGCACACACACGCACGAACATGTGCGCACACATGCACAGAGCAGGAATGACGCACAGACTTGAAGCAAAATCCAATAAGCCTCCTCTGGAGAGCGAGAGGGAGCGAGGCTGAGCAAGATGCAGGAAGAGGCAGTGTTGGCGGGGCACATCAATAATAAAGTTAAAAAATGAAATGAAGAGGGGGCGGCAGGACCCTCGGGGAGCTGAGACGCAGGCAGATGCAGAGATGCGTGCACATGGAAGAGGAGGGAAAGACGGGGGAGGACAAGCCTGACAAAGGGCCTAAATAGAGGGGTGCACAGTGGGACCCACACCTCCACACAGAAGCAGCCACAGATCGTGACCCTTGGGGCAAGGGCCAAATCTGGAGAGGAGGAGAAGAAACGAGGGAGAGGATGAGGAAAGATGAAGGAAGGAAGGAGAGAGACAGACTCCCAGAGACCTGAAGAGGCAGCACATTCCATGGACAGACAGAAAAGAACCCACATACTGTAGACGAATTCTGAGGACCCCTCCGCCCCACCGCCCCACCACACCAGAACCCAGCAGAGGGCAAGGCAGAAGAGGAATCGGTGACAGATAAGGTTGTGGTGACATTATCTGTCATGGTGAAAAGGGGAAAACACCCATGTCCATCCACAGGAGAGCTGGTCACCCACAGTGCAGCTCTCTCCCGAAAGACCCAGATCTGTGAAACAGGGTGCATCCTGGGGTATGCTTGCACACTGGCCCTCTGGGGAGAATGTTCCCTATGGGTTGCTTGTGCCCGCTTCTGTAGTGTAAATACTACCACCATGGCCAATTTCAGGCTAGCATCGTGCCATCGCTGAGCAGGATGAGGAAGAGGTGCCCACTTTGGCTCTTGCACACCAATGACGGTGCACCCACATGTTCGTGGAAAGAACTCGAAGACTCATCACTGGACAGACAAAGCTATTGGCAAAATTTACACAGAGTAAATGGTATTTATATTTTAAACAACACCCCACCACCACCAAATGCAGCTCTGTTTTATTTAGATGAGAGGACACATATAGGCTGTGTGGACAGGGTCACACAGAACTGGCCACAGAGGTTCCCCTTTTTGGGGGAATTGGAGGTGGGAAGCGGGAGGGAGAGAGAAGAGACTTCAGCCTTTTGTCATGCTTTAATTTTGTGAAAGCACAAAAAATTTTTAAAATTTTGTGCAAAAATAATTGCTTCATGTACCACACATAATTAAAAACTAATTTTTTAATTAGGAGAGGAAGAAAATGGAAGGAAAAAAGGGAACACGAGAGTGAGGAGGAAGGAGCGCTCTCCTCAGTCCGTCTGTCCTCAGTTCGTCTGTCCCTCCGGCCTCTGCCATAGTCATAGCCATTCAGCAAAGACAAATCAGATGCAGGTCCTTCCCTCAAGGTGCTCACAGCCTGGGGGTGGGGAAAGTTGCCCAACACACATATATCTGGGTGCTCCGGACACAGAATCCTCGCCCAATAGGTCAGGGGCCCCCAGGAAGAGCTTAGCAAGGACTCTTTTGAGGAGGACAGGGGGCTTCCCAGGGCCTCCCATGACCCTGCTCAGCACAGCTGCAGGATGAGAGGGGAGATGCTGGATGAGGTCAGCATGAGGATGGTCACACAGGCTCTAGGGAAGGCTGCCTGGGGGGCAGAGCACAGGGAGAGGGAAGATGGGGCCCTGGGGACATGGACACAGAGGGCTGATGGAAGCCAAGGAGGCTGCAGAGGAAACAGGAGAAGGGTGGCCCGAGAGGTAGAATCAAGGAAAGAAAGGGGCTGAGAAGCCAGGAGAGACCCCCAGCATCAGAGGCCATCAATGGAGAGAAAATGGGCTGTGGGGTTTGGAGGCCTCTTTTCTCCCCATTGGCAGGTACAGAGCAGCTGCAGGGGTGTGCAGGATGGGAGGGAGGGAGTGGCCACATCCAGGGATGAGAGTTCCCACCCGGCTGGTCTGGGAGGAAAGAAGGCATAGGAGGAAGAAGGGAACAGGTCAAGGGAGAAGGAAGGACTCCTGGGTAGGAGTGGGGTGAGCTTGCCCACCTGCTGAAACAGCGCAGGAGAGGGTCTACGGGAGGGGACAGCTGTTGCCAGGGCAAAGGCACTGCCTGGGAGCACAGAGAGGATCAGAGGAGAAGATGGGAGAGAGCCCTTAGAGGAGGAAGTGGCCCTGGGCTGGAAGTGGGAGGCAGGCAGAGGGCATGGGGCCTGCCTGTTTTCAGTCCTGGATTTGGGAAAACGGGGAAAACACAGAGCCTGTGGAGGACTTAGTGAGTCAATGCTGTTGGCAGGGTCTTCAGTGGGGTGCATGGTTGAAAGCGTGCTGCTTCAGCAGAGAGATCTAGCGTGGGCCCAGAGACGTGGACATCTCTCCCTTTCACACACCACACACACTGTGAGGCACAGTGACACAAACACATGGGTGGCACCTATCACCCCATATTTTCATTGCAGATGATGAGTCTGCTTCCTCATGGACACAGATGCACCAGGATGTCTCCTGGGCTCTGGGAGCTGTGTGTTTTGTTCAGCAGAACATCCAGTAGGTGTTCAGTGTATGCTTGTTGGATGGATGGATGGGTGAATGGGTGGGTGATAGATGGGTAGACGATGGATGGGTGGATGATGGATGGATGGATAGATGAATGGGTGGATAGATGAATGGATGGGTAGATGGATAGAAATGATGGATGGATACGTAAAAATGAATGGGAGGAAGGATGGAAAGAAAGGAGGGAAGAAGGAAGGAAGGAAGGAAAGAAAGGAGGGAAGAAGGAAGGAAGGAAGGAAGGAAGAAAGGAAGGAAGGAAGGAAAATAGATGGATGTGTGGGTGGATGAATGGAAGAAGTAGTTACACAGGCCTATGGTCCAGGCATGAGATGCTAAGGCCTGCTGTGGCCAGGGCTGAGGCGTTGGGTTAGGGTCTTGAACAGCCCCTTGGAGGAAGATTCAGCAGCAGGAAGGGGAGACAGATGTGCCATGGGTGACAGGAGAGGGAGGTGTCAGAGATAACTCCTGGCAGCTGAGATAACTCCTGGCAGGTGGTGATGCTCAGTGCTGAGACCAGGAAGTGTGTGGCTGGCCCTGGGAGGTGATGGGTTGGAATGTGAAGATGACTTGTGGGTGAGAAGCTCTGGGTCCATATTGGTTTCAAGTCTGATTCTGCATTTGAGGGCAGAGTTCGGATGGCAAGTGAGGGATAGCGGTGTCAGCCAGAAGAGTGGGACCAGGACAAGGAGTGGGGCCTGACCTTGGAGGACAGGAGGAGGAGATGGAGTCGAGAAGGAGAGGGGAGGACATAACAGATCATAGCCTGGAGCTCAGCGAGCACTGTGCATGCAGAGGGATGGGGGCAGGCTGGGCCGGGGTGTTTGCAGCTAGCTCGTCTGTAATAGTGATCATGGGGAAGCAGCTACATGCCCATCCACAGAGTGGCATCAACCACCATTCACCTGGCCTCCGCACTACCATGCAGCAGAGATTCTGAGTCCTGGAAGCCATCTGTGATCCGCTGTTGTGCAGAAAAGCCCACCACAGAGCAGGTGTGCCTGGTTCAATATGATTCTCATTTGACATCAAAACCAAAGCCAGCACCACCCACAGGACTTGCCTTTTTTCGTGAGAAAATATCATATACAGAGAGTGGAATGATTCTCCCAAATCAATACTGAGATTACTTCGGGGGAGCAGTATTTGTACCCTGGGCTAGATGGGATGGGAAGTGGACAAGAACACCAGTCTTATGTACAACACTTTGATTTTTGTTTTTTACAAAGACAGTGGGTCCGTGAATGACTTGTGTAATTAAAAATTAATTTTACAGCCAGGTGCTGTGGCTCATGCCCCTGTGGTCCCAGCACTTTGGGAGGCTGAGACAGGAGGATCACTTGAGGGCCAGGAGTTCAAGACCAGCCTGGACAACATAGCATGACCTCGTCTCTACAAAAAAAATTTTAAAAATCAGCTGGGTGTACTCTCTCCTCCCGCCGCCCAAGATGCCGAAAGGAAAGAAGGCCGGGGGATGAAGGTGGCTCCAGCCCCTGCTGTCGTGAAGAAGCAGGAGGCCAAGAAAGTGGTGAATCCCCTGTTTGAGAAAAGGCCTAAGAATTTTGGTGTTGGACAGGACATCCAGCCCAAAAGAGACCTCACCCGTTTTGTGAAATGGCCCCGCTATATCAAGTTGCAGCATCAGAGAGCCTTCCTCTATAAACGGCTGAAAGTGCCTCCTGCAATTAACCAGTTCACCCAGGCCCTGGACCGCCAAACTGCTACTCAGCTGCTTGAGCTGGCCCACAAGTACAGACCAGAGACAAAGCAAGAGAAGAAGCAGAGGCTCTTGGCCCAGGCCGAGGAGAAAACTGCTGGCAAAGGGGACATCTCCACTAAGAGACTACCTGTCCTTCAAGCAGGAGTTAACACCCAGTCACCACCTTGGTGGAGAATAAGAAAGCTCAGCTGGTGGTGACTGCACACGATGTGGATTCCATCAAGCTGGTTGTCTTCTTGCCTGCCCTGTGTCATAAAATGGGAGTCCCTTACTGCATTATCAAGGGGAAGGCAAGACTGGGGCGTCTAGTCCACAGGAAGACCTGTGCCACTGTCGCCTTCACACAGGTTAACTGGGAAGACAAAAGTGCTTTGGCTAAGCTGGTGGAAGGTATAAGGACCAATTACAATGAGAGATACAATGAGATCCACCATCACTGGGGAGGCAATGTCCTGGGTCCCGAGTCTGTGGCTCGCATCGCCAAGCTCAAAAAGGTAAACGCTAAAGAACTTGCCACTAAACTGGGTTAAATGTACACTGTTGAGTTTTCTGTACATAAAAATAATTAAAATGATACAAATTTTGCTTCAAAAAAATTAGCTGGGCATAGTGACACATACCTGTAGTCCCAGTTACTCAGGAGGCTGAAGTGGGAGGATCGCTTGAGCCCAGGAGTTAGAGGCTGCAGTGAGCTATGATTGTGCCACTGCGCTCCAGCCTGGGCAACAGAGCAAGACCCTGTCTCAAAAGAAAATGAATGTTATAAAGGGTGAGAGGAGAGGCGGCAAAGGAGGAGCAAAAGAGACTAGTAGAAAGACACACCTTCCATTTGTCCATCCTCCTCTCCAACCTGAGACCCAAAAGGAAGCCAGGTGCAGGTCCTCTTCCCAGGAAGCTCCATGTCTGAGCGAAGAGAAAGATGCCCTCATACCCATGCCCGGGGGCTCCTGGAAGACAGGAGTCAGCCAGCAAAGGCCTCTGTGGGGACGACCCAGGGCCTCATTGTCCTCATTGCACCTGCCAGTTGTACACTGTCCTCCCACCCAGTTTCCTCACTCTTATCTAGTTTGGATTCCACAGTCCCTCTCTCTTTGTTGTTGAACTTGCAAAGCCTCAGCTCTTCAACTGCACAGACTTTGATTCTCCACTTATTCTCAGCCTCCTTTGTTTTTTTCAATGATGCCTTATTCTTAATACGTGGAGGGGGAAGGAAGAAGAAGGAGGCCAGAGGTGGAGTAGGAGGACATACCTGTAGGGTGTTCATAGGGAGACTCCGTCTCCACCCCAGGCAGATGGGAGCTTACGTCTGGACTTTACTGTGTGCAAAAAGGCATGGATAGTAAGCCACCCTGTTTCCCAGAGAAAACTGCCCCAGCAGAAAAGGCAGAACAGGAAGAAGCGGCAGGAAGTTCAGGCCTGGGGCTCTGGACCTTGCCTGAGCCTGGTGGTGGGTTCAGAGCCAGCCACAGGTAGCCATAGAGAAGTGGGGCTGTGGAGAAAACAGCAGAGCTTAGGATTCCCTCCCCAGCACTTCTGTGCACAGGAGTTGGTGGGGGGCAGGGCAGGAAGGAGACATTAACAGAAGGCCAAGATCTCAAGAGAATTTCTCCCTGAACTCTGGGCTTCTGCAGGGCATAGCCTGGGGTTTGGGCGTCTGTGTCATAATCAGAGCACCTAGGAAGTGTCCAACTGATGTTTGGTGGT
Source organism: Homo sapiens (assembly GCF_000001405.40). Lineage (NCBI taxonomy): Eukaryota > Metazoa > Chordata > Mammalia > Primates > Hominidae > Homo > Homo sapiens. The sequence goes on along the minus strand of NC_000020.11, from coordinate 37,443,558 downwards.
GGAGGGATGGATGTTGGAGGGATGGATGGATGGATGTGGTTCAGGCACTAGATTCTTACATCAGGGCTGAGGCAGGGGCTGAGGGGATGGAGAGGGATTATCTACCTGCCCTTTCGAGGGAGATGTGGCAGGAAGAGGGGACAGATGGACCATGAAGACAGGGATAAGAGCAGCCAGAGGTGACTTGGTGCTCCTGGCTGCTGAGCCCTGGGTGGCAGAGATGCTCAGTGCCAAGGAGAATGGAGATAGAGCACCTCTGGTGGGTACAAAAACAATGCGATGGCTTGAGCTGGGCAGGGCTTCGTCAAGCTTGAGCCTGTGTCTTAAGGGGAAGGGAAAGGGTCTGGGCTGCATGAGGGGCCAAGGGGGTGGTGTCAGCACAGAAAGCTGTGGGTGAGCACATCCAGGGAATGTGTGCAGAGAAAGCAGAAGACTCCAGATAGGCCTTGGGGCCCCATGGTGTGAGAACAGACGGAGGGGGAGTTAGGGAAGTAGAGGAGGAGAGACAGGACAGACAGACCACCCTTGGCACTGAACTAACTAAGCAGTTTATAGACAAATAAAAGAGCAGGAGACAAACAGCAAGGAGAGTGACAGAGAGGGTGGGGGGCAACTCTAGTCACACCTCAGAGCAAGAGATGAGACCCACATGTGTGTTCACAACGGTGACTGGAGAGGAAAAAGGACATGGGTCCTGGCACTCAGTAGCTGCTGTGTTTGTGGATGGATGGATGGATGGATGGATGGATGGATGGATGGATGGATGGATAATGAATGAATGGATGGAGAGATGGATGGATGGATGAATGAATGGATGGGAGAACAGATGGAGAGATGGATGGATGGATGATGAATGGATGGATGGATGGTTGGATGGATGATAGATAATGGATAAATGAATGGATGAATAGATGGAGTGGAAGGATGGGTGGATGGATGGAGTAATTCAGGGAGTAAGAATAAAATCAGATAAAAGAGCCAGGAAGAAAAAGACTCCTATGTGACCACTTTGCTGGTCATCATTGTGATAACCAAAATTTCCTCTGGGAAAGGGGGTGGAAACTAGGATCAGGAAAATCAATAAGAAATTTAGAACTTTAGAGCAAAACTCCACAAGCCCCAGAAAAGAGAGAGCTGCAGGGGAAAGTCAGCCAGCACATGCACAAAGCACACACACACACACACACACACACACACACACACACACACACACACACAGAGATACACTGCAAGAATGACGCACAGCCTCAGAGCAAAATTCAATAACTCTCCTCTAGAGAGAGGGAAAGAGCAGAGATGAGCAAGACAAAGTCAGATACAGGAAGAGAAGGGGGAGTAGACGTCAATAAGAAAGTTGAAAACAAGAGGGGGCGTGAGCCATGCCAGCAGGCAGTGGGGGTGGCAGGCAGAGGCCCAGCATGGGCTCACAGGGGAGCCAAACCCTCCAAAAGGTATGCCACTCCGCACATGGCACCTGGGAGGGGATCCATGCACATTGGCTGGATGGATGTGTGGATGGGAATGATGGGTGGATGAAGTAACCCAGAGACTGGAAACAAAACCTGATAAAGGGCTTGGAGAGAGAAAGTTCTAGATGCCCTCTACTTCCCCTGTCCCTTTCACCCTTCTCCTTTGCTCTAGGAGGCTGATGACACCCTTCAGGGAGGTGCTCTTCCCTCTGGCTTCCAGCTGGGCTTGGCCAGTGAGATGGCCAGCAGGAGATGATGGGGGAGGAGAATGAGATAAGGATGCTTATCCCCCCGGGTCACCTCAGTCTGGGTGGTCCCTCTCCTAGAGGTCTCAGCTCCCAGCAAGGCAGCCCCTCTAGGTGACAGTTTGCCTCCAGGGCCTGGTCACTCATTACTTCCACCCTTCACCCCTTAGGGAGTAGGGGGTGGTCACAGCCTCACAACTATTAGCTCTAGGTTTCTGCAAAATCCCACATCCTGCAATACAGCACCTTTGTAAACAAACTCGCCTCAGATTTTCCTAAATTTAAGTGTTCCATCCCTTTCCTGTTAGGACCCTGACTAACACAAACCCACAGTGAAAAAAATAGACAACACAAACACACACACCCCATGCTGGGACACATAAAGTGACAGCAACATCTAGAAAGAACAGGGAGGGATGAGAAGCTGAGAGGGAACAAGAAAGAAAAGGAGACAGAAAGAGTAACCCAGGGCCCCAGGAGGCGGAAGGGAGAACGCACTAATGGGAAGGGGAAGCAGGGACACAGGTGTTCGCGGCAACCTCATTTTAATTACAAAAGAGTAGAAACCATCTAAATGCCCATCACCAGAAGAATGGCCAATAAACCATGACAGCTCTGCCTGCTGGAATACTATGCAGCTGACAAAAAGGCAGATGGACAGCTTTATATATTGAGATGGAAGGAGATCCCCAAAATATGTCAAGTCAAAGTCCCACTGAAGAGCAATATTCATAGCTCAATGCAATTTCTATGAGGAAAAAATGCCCTAAGCCAAAACCTACCAAAAAAATCAGATTCTATAGGGGAAAAATATACATTTTTATGTTTAAAAATATGTATGTAGTATAGAATGATTCCTGCTAAAGTAAGAACTGGTTTTCCCCAGAGGAAATGGCTAGAGAACAGGATGGGATGAGTGAGTGTCAAAGGAGACCTTTAATCTTATTTGTAATACTTTACTATTTATGCAAAGATGATGTGGTCATGTGTCACTTAAGTAATTAAATATTCATATTTTTTTCAAGACAGGCTCTTGCTCTGTCACCCAGGCTGGAGTGCAGTGGTGAGATCACAGCTCACTGCAGCCTCGTCAAACTCCTGGGCTCTGGTGATCCTCCTGCCTCAGCCTCCCTGGTAGCTGGGACTATAGGCACATATACCACCACACCCAGCAAATTTTCTGATTTTTTTTGTAGAGACGAGGTTTCACAATAAGCATTAATTTTTTGAAAGAGAAAGAGAACAAGAGAGTTAAAGGAAGAGAAGAGATCCTCTAGAAAGACACAACTTTCATCCATCTGTCTGTCTGTCCTCCCCTCCAGCCAGCCTCTCCTCCATGCTGAGCACCAGACATGCAGACTCTTCTTAAGAAGCTCAAAGAAAGATGTCCAAACCTAGCCGTTCCTGAGGGTCCCAGTGCCCTTGGGGGGCAGGGGAGCTTCTCCAGGGGAAGGTTCAGCAGGGCTCTCTGTGGGGAGGACACAGGAAGGAGCCCTGTCGAGGCCGTGGCCAGGGGAACAGCCCCTCAGGGCAATGGATGTGGGGGTCCCAGCTCAGCAGGAAGAGTTGGCCACAGACACAGTCAAGGTGTGAATGGACCCTATGGCCTGAGAGGGATGGAACCGACCCACAGAAGAGTTTGTGCAGCAGGTTGGGGAAGGCAGGGCCTGGCCTGGGGAGCGCTACGACGCAGCAGATCACAGAGCAAGAGGATTCCACCAAAGCAAACAGCAGAGGTGGCAGGACAGACCCTCACTGTCCCAGGAGCTTAGGGAGGAGAGGGATCCTGGTCCTGGCACCTTGACCAGGACCCCTCATGAACGAGGGGAGAGGAGGAGATAAAAGATCCTATTCCATTTGGCAAACAGGTCAGTGGAGGCCCCAGGTGAACCCCGTGGTGGGCTCAAGGTCGGGGCAGGTGGTGGTCACAGAGGGCCCGGGAGGGAAGAGGGGAAAGAGCCTGAAGTTCCATCTCAAACTCCTCTGTGGACGGAGGAGAGAGCAGATGAGAGGGAGATGGGAACGAAAAGTCAGCGGAGGGAAGTGAACAAGTTTGCCTCTGAAAAACCCAGGAGAGGGGAACATGGCGTTGCCAGGGCAACCACACGAATGGGGTAATGGAGAGGAGTGAAGGGAAGACGGGGTGGGAGTGTGGCTTAGAGGAGGCAAACCTGAAAGGTGGGGGCAGTAGAGGGGAAGGGCGCCTGGACTCGAGTGCCCAGGGATGGTGAAGGGGAGCACAGGGGAAGGATTGGGAAGTCAAGGATTTCTCCCTGGGCTTAGAGAGTTTGTGATGCCGGTGGGACGTCCAGGAGGTGGGGGCGGGTAAGAAGATGTTTAGATGCGTAGGCCTGGGGTGTACGTAGGGGGGCCCGGGTGGACACAGAGGCAAGCAGAGGGAATCTCAGAAGCCCCACAGGTGGGCGGCCTGGCCCGGGGAGGGGGTATGCGTGGAGGGGCGCAGATGGAAGAGAACACAGCCCAGGGCTGGCTGACGCTGGAGGGGTGAGGGAGGAACGGGTGTGGAGAAGTGGGCAATGCAGAAAGACACCACACGCACACATACACACAACACACAACACAACACACATATAACACACACATGCACATGTACACGCACAACACACACACACAACACACATAACACAATACACACAACACACACCCACATGCACACACACATTACACACACACCCTGAGTGTGATGCTCGGTGACCCAACCCAGTCTTCTTGTGATATAACAACCGGTGTGTCTGCCCTGGACTCCAAGTTTCTTCAGGACACAGCCTGGGTGGGACTCCGGGCTCTTCACCCTCAGCAGCGCACACACAGATGTTCAATTCACGTTTGTTGAATGACTACTGGATAGATGGGTGGGCAGACACAGACAGATGAAGCAGGACGGGAAAGGTGGGAACCAACCTTGACCTTGTGTATACACTCATGCGCACACTGCAGGAATGATGCACAAACAGCCCAATTCAACAAGCTCCCCTGGAGAGTTGGAGGAGCGAGGCTGAGGGAGCAGGAGACAGAGGCACCGAGAGAGGGGGTGGTGCATCAGAGAAAAGTTTGAAAAGTCAAGGAAGGGGAGCAGAAGCCTGGGGAGGCAGACAGGCGGAGGAGCAGGCGCGCAGCCCACCCGCCGGCTCCCAGGAGGCGCTCACATGCTTTTGTTAGGTGGGTGGTGAACGCCGCAGCACAGAGAGGGCAACCAAGCCTGAGAAAGGCCTCAGGGGGGAAAGCCCCCAGGGCGACGCAGATGCCCAATGACTCCCACACCTGCCCTTCCCGCCCCACCGGCCCCGCTCCTCCTCCCTGCTCTGGGCTGGGGAGGCTGAGCCCCGTGGATGAGCCTTGGGCCTACAGCTTCGCGCTGGACCTGGCCACTGGGGACCCCCAGCAGGAGAGTGGAGGGAAGAGGGAGGGAGATCAGCATGTCTGCTCCCCCAGAGCTCAGGCTGCTGTGCCCTCTGCTCTCAGCTGCCCTCTCAGCTGCCTTCTGGAAACTTCTCCTCCCTGGTTCCTTTGGATTCACTGGAAATCACAAGTTTGCTGCTCTCCTGGCTCCTGCACCCCCTCCCTCAGCACCTTTGTAAACAGACCCTCCTGAGGCTTCCTAGATTGGAGGGAGACATCTGTTTCCTGTTGGGGCCTGAATGAAGAGAGGAGCAGGGGTCAAAGGGCACCTCAGTCCTACATGGAAGGCTTCAGTTTTTTACAAATACAGTGGGTCTTTATAGCATGTGTGGAGTTAAAAAATGATTTTCCAAAAGGAGATGGGAAGCAACAAGGGGAGAAAGAGTAAGAGGGTAGAAGAGCAGAGCTCGCAGATGCCCCGTCTGTCCTCATCTCCACACTTCCCTCAGTGCCAAGACCCTGAGAGAGGTCACACCCAGGCCCCACAGAGCCCGTGGCCTGGCGGGGACAAGGACGACCACAAGCCTGGTGCTGAGTGCTCCCAGGGGAGTGCTCCCTGCATCCAGGAGGGCCCAAGGGAAGGCTCAGCGGGAGCTTCTCTGGGGAGGACAAGGGCCCTCTGGGGAGGACAAGGGCCCAGGCCTTCTTCTCTACAATGGTGGGGCGTGGGAGAAGGGGATGGAACCTGGTGGCCACTCCACATGGAGCCTCCCCGTCAGGCTGATGACATCTGGGCTCTGCAGAGAGGGCCAGAGTGGAGCCTGGCCAGGGGTCAGCCTTGGAAGGGCAGGAAAGTGCTGGGGAGCAGGCAGGGCAGGGCCCTGGAGCACCGGAGTCCCACGCAGCTGGCAGGAGAAACCCTTCAAAGGAATGGAGGAGGCCCAACTGAGAGGTGCGGGAAAGTCTGGCCTCCGTGTCTGGGGCCCAGGGAGAGGCTGCTGTCCAGAAGCCAGCACTGGCCTCCATGGGGCAGGGGAGCGAAGAATGGATAGGCTGCAGGTTTGTCAAGGAGCAGGTAGGCAGACTTGCGGGGCACTATGAGGGGCTTAGGGCAGGGGTCCTCAGTTGCAGAGGGGAAGGCAGAGAAACCTCCAGGCCTAATACTCCCTCCCCAGCTCATCTGTGGCCAAACAGGAGGGAGCCTATGAGGGCGCACAGTCTCACCCCCACCTCCACCACCTCATCTACCTGCTGAGAGGGCCATGGGGAAGAGAGAGCGTCAGGTGGGGGTGGGAGTGAGATTTTGCGGAAAAGATTGTGAAGACCTGGGGCACATTAGAGGTAGGGCAGGGAGAGGGGAGGGGTGGCCAGACAGCTGGGTCTGGGAGTGGGGGTGGGGGTAGGAGGATGGAGAGTTTGATCCTGGCTCAGGGAGTCTGTGAAGCTGGTGGAACCAGTGAACAGAGCAGGGGAGAGAATAGTGAACATGTGATGTCTGGGGCTTGAGCTGAAGAGCCGTGATGGGGGGACACTGAGGTGAGGCAGTTTGTTGCAGGGCCTTTGAATTCCCAGGAGTGGACAAGCAGGGAGATCTCAGGGAGGGAGAGAAGCAGAAGAGGGAGGCGCAGCTGCAGAGGCATCTGCGCTAGAGCAAGGAGGAGGCAAAGGGGCTGGAGAAGTAGCCAGGAGTGACCCCACCCATGCACACATGCACCCACACACATACACACATGCGCACACACACATGCACACGCAGGTGCACACTCATATGTATACACATATGCACACACGCACACATGTGCACATGCACACACACTGTGATTTGCAGCGTGACATAAAGTCTTAGGAAGCCTCCATCAGCCATCTTTTAGTGCAGGCATAACTGCTCTGTATTCTCCCTGGACTCTGAGCTCCCACAGGCCATGGCCTAAGGCTTTGTGGCCTGTGACCCCAGCGAATACCCAGTGGGTGCTCAGTGCAAGTCTGTTAATGGATGGATGAAAGGATGGACGATGAGGGGATAGGTAATGGGGGAATGGATGATGGGTGGACAGAAGATGGGGGGATGAATAATGGGAGGATGGATGATGGGGGATGGATGGGTAATGGGGGAGATGCATGATGGGGGGTGGATGGATGACAGATGGATGGATGATGGGGGATGGATGGGTAATAGGGGAGATGCATGATGGGTGGGTGGATGCATGACGGATGGATGGATGATGGGGGATGGATGGATGATGGGAACATGGATGGATGATGGGGGGGTGAATGCATGATGGGGATGGATGGATAATGGGGGATGGATGGATGGTAGAGGATGGATGGATAATGGGGGATGGATGATGGGGGATGGATGGATGGGGATGGATGGATGATGGGGACATGGATGGATGATGGGGGATGAATGGATAATGGAGGGATAGATGGATGGATGCTCCTGGCATCATAAACCTGACAACTGGGCTATGTCAGGGGCTGAAGTGATCGGAGTGGGGAGGGGGCTGCTTAGCCACCCCTTGGAGAGAGACTTGAAAGGAAAAGAGGACAGATGGGTAGTGGGCAGCAGGAGGGAGTGGAATCAGAGATGACTCGTGCTCCTGGCTGTGAAACCCCAGGTGGTGGTGAAGCTCAGTGCCAATGAGAACTGAGTGAGAAACGCATTTGGAGGATGGGGACAGGATGTGCTGGGCTTGAGTGAAAGAGCCCAGTCTGTGTGAGCCACGATTCACTGGCAGGATGAGGAGAGAACAAGTAGGGTCTGGGCTGCAGGGGATGCTGGAGTGTCAATGCAAAGAATGACTCTGTGAACCTCAGGGAGCTGGTGAAAAGCTGGGGAGGGAATGATCCAGGACAGGAACCTGGGGCCCCAAGATGTGAGGGTAGGTAAAGCAGGAGGAGTCAGGAAGGAAAGAAAGACACAGGACACACAGGCAGACCCTGGTCCTGGCTCAACAAGTATGGTGTGTTGGATGTATGGACTAGCAGATGGATGAAGAATCACTGAGAAAAACAGAGAGGATGGAATCCAATGAAGACCAACATATGTACACATGTGCATGCACACACAGCAAGACCTGGAGAAAGTGGGAAACTTTATGAGCTTGAGAAAAAGAGAGGGAGCTAGGGGGAAGCTGTGCGCACGCATGTGTGTGTGCACACACATACAAACACACACACAGCAGGAAGGATGCACCAACTCAGAGCAAAATTAAATAACACTTCTTGAGAGAGTGGGAAAAAAACACACTGAGCCAGGAGACCAAGACAGAAGCTGGATGAGCAAGATGATGTGTACATTCAAAAAATTAGAGCATGGGAAGTAGAGCGAGGTGGGGTCTTCAGGGAGATGGCCAGGCAGGCAGGTGAGACCCAGGCACATGCATGCACACAGACACCCTGACACACACATGGCCAAGCTTGAACACCAGTTCCTGGAACAGGCTCAGTGCGTTTTTCTGAATGGGTACACGGTGGGTGGGAGGATGGGTGGGGTAGCCCAGAGGGTGAGAACAAAAACCTGAGAAAGGCCCCAGAGAGGAGTCACCTGAAATTATCCTAATTTGGTTGTGATATCACTTTCCTGATGGGACCTGTTACTGTTACATAAACAGAATGGGGAACAGACAACGCACACACTCCCCACACACATACTCAAGAACTAGGGCCAAGTCCAAGGGGAACTGGGAAAGATGAGGGAGAAACAAAGGGCAAATGAGGCCAAGAAGGGGAGTGACAGAGCACTTGGAGACCCCAAGAGACAGATGAATGCCCAGACAAGGTTTGGAGTGCCCTGGAACCTAAAAGAGGGAGCCAGAAGGAGACGTGTGTGTTCACTGCAGCCTCGTCTGTAATGGTGAAAAGGTAGACACAACCAAAGTGTCCTTCCCTGGGGAAATGTCTACATAAACCCCAGTGCCTCCCTTTTCCAGAATCCTATGCAGCAGAGGAAAAGAATGTAGTGCAACTCTCTGTTCTAAAGGGGGAAGAGGGCCCTATGGGGGCTGCTGGAGGTAAAAGCCCCTGGAGAATAATGTATACAGTATGAGGCCATTTCTTTAAAAAACACCAAACAGTATTCTGCATTTTCTAGAGGAATATATATGCTTCCATTTCCAACTGTTCATTGACTTTTTTTTATATTGGCCATTTTTACATTGGCCTTTTATTGTGCAACCTTGCTAAACTCACTTTCTAGTTCTGGGTGGGGGGTTGTAGATTCTTTGGAAGTTTCTATATAGATAGTAATGTCATCTGCTAATGGAGACAGTTTTAGTTCTTCCTTTCCAGGCTATATCTTCTTTTATTTCTTTTTATTGTCTTATTGCACTGGCTAGGACTGCCAATATCATGTTAAATAGAAAGACTAAAAGCAGGTGCCCTTGCCTTGTTCCTGATCTTAAGGGAAAGCAGTATCATCATTGGCTTTGTTTTGGGCTGTTTTATGAGAGAGAGAGAGAGAGAGAGAGAGAGAGAGAGAGAGAGAGAGATGAATTTTTTCCCACTAATTTGATAACTTAGTTTCCTCTTAGGAAAGAGAGGACTGGGGACCAGGAGGTAGGGTGGTGGGTACAGTGGAAGAGACTTTAGTCTCATATGTAATGTTTTAATCTTTTAAGAAGAAAATGTATTTGCATATCACTGATGAGATTGGAAAGCAAAATAATTTTGGTTAAAAAAAAAATAGAAGAATGACAGGAAGGGGAGAAAGGGACTGATAAAGAAGAGGATGAGGCCAGGCGCAGTGGCTCATGCCTGTAATCCCAGCACTTTGGGAGGCCAAGGTGGGTGGATCAGTTGAGGCCAGGAGTTCAAGACCAGCCTAGGCAAAATGGTGAAACCCCATCTCCACAAAAAAATACAAAAAAATTAGCCAGGTGTGGTGGCATGCCCCTGTAGTCCCAGCTACTCTGGAAGCTGAGGTGGGAGGATCACTTGAGCCCAGGAGGTCAAGGCTGCAGTGAGCTGTGATTGTGCCACTGCTCTCCAGCCTGGGTGACAGGCTGAAACCCTGTCTCAACAAAAGAAGAAGAAGAAGAAGAGTAAGACAAAGAGGAAACCCACAGACATACATGACTTCCGTCTATCTGTCCATCCCCTTCCCCACCCAGCCACACACATCCCTAGCCTTCCTCTGTGCTGACATCCACAGAAGACCCTGACATCAAGGTTCACAGTCTCGTAGGGGAGAAAAGTGCCCAAACCAAGGCATGCCTGGCTGTTCCTTGGGGGAGCTCTTGGGAGATGATGGGGGTCCTGGGGGGAAGAAGCCAGCAGAGGCTTCATCAAAGGGGACATACAGTGTGTTATTCTTGAAAGATGGGTTTGGGAAGGGAAGGAAAAGAGGTCATTGTAGCCAATGGTGAGGAGGAGCCCATAAGACACCCACAGGGACCTCTCACATTGGGCAGATGAACGTGCAAAGGACAAGAGACTGAAGATCTGGCACACAGGAGGTGGGTAGAGGGCCCTGCCTGAGCACCTTGGCTGGCACAGAGGAAGCAGGGGTGGCAACACTGAAGCCAATGGCTCCCTCCCCAGCTCTTCTGATGATGGAAGGAGAGAGGGGACAGAAGGGAGACAGATCAAGATGAGAGTTTCTCTACAGGTTAGAGAGAAGTGGGCATGCTCCCCAGCTGAGAGCAGCCAGGAGAGAAGGGAGAATGGCCGTTGCCAGGGCAACAATACTGGCCATGAGGATGGAGAGGACCAAAGGGGAAGACAGGGGAGAGATGTTAGAGGAAGAATTGGCAAGAAATTAGAGTCAAATTGAAGATGGATATCTCTTCCCCATCCAAGGAGGAAGAGAAGGTGTCTGGGTTTTTGGTCTCAGAGATGGGGGTGGGAACAAGGAAGGGGAGTGGGGATGTTAAGGGGTTTGATGCTATCTTGCCAAGTCTGTGTTGTTGCTGAGCATCTGAGTGGATTTGTCTAGTATAGCATCTACCACAAAATATTTTAAAATGGAATAACTGAATAAAGTAATAAATTAACAAATGAATAAATGAATGAGGCAAACCAGAAGTTATATCAAAGCCCACTATGTGAGAGAGAAACAGAAATATGACCCACAGTGACACAGGCACAGACATGGGTGTGCATTCACACACACACACACACACACACGATGATGCACTCACAAAGGGGAGGCCAAACCTGTGTGGGCTCAGAGAGAGAACCCTGAAGCCAAGAGACAAGGAAGAAGGGAGCTCAGAGGGCAAGTCAGGGAGGCAGAGAGGTGAGTGGAGGGCACAGAGGTGAGAGCTATTAAGGAACCAACCTGAAAGGACCTGAGCCATGCCTGTAACCCACAAGAATTGACAGAGCGCCTACTGCATGCCAGACAGTGCTGAATGACCAAATTACGGCACAGAGCAGAACAGATCCAGCCCCTGCTGGGTGGACGTACATGAGCACCGTCTGCGTGAAGCGCATCTCTGCAGCCCTGGTCAGGGACAGCATGGTGCAGGCACACTAATCATGGAAGGACCTGGGCCAAAGCGGGAGGACACAGCCCTGGTGGAGGGTTGGATGGAGGAAGGAGGTATGAAAAAGTGATAAGTAAGACAGATGCCGGCTAGGTGCAGTGGCTCACGCCTGTAATCCTAGCACTTTGGGAGGCCGAGGTGGGAGGATTGCTTGAGCTCAGGGGTTCAAGACCAGCCTGGGCAACATGGCGAAACCCCGTCTCTACCAAAAATACAAAAATTGGCAGGGCATTGGTTCATGTGCCTGTAGTCCTAGCTACTCGGGAGGCTTAGGTAGGAGGACTGCTTGAGCTGGGGAGGCAGAGGTTCCAGTGAGCCGTGATTATGCCACTGCACTCAAGCCTGGGTGACAGAGCCAGACCCTGTCTGAAAAAAAAAGAGAGAGATCACTCCCCCAAACACACTGTGTGATGACAAAAGGGACATAAAGCCTTGGGAAGTCTCCATCACCCATCTTGAAGGGCAGTGACAACTATTCTGTCACCCCTCTGGACTCTGAGCTCCTGCCTTTGGGGCCTGTGTGCTCAGCAGGGACCCAGTGTGTACTCAGTGCAAGTCTATTAATGGATGGGTGGGTGATGAGTGGATGGACAGATGGATGGATGGATGGGTACAGTGGTCCAGGCTTCAATTTTCTAGGCCAGGGCTGTGGCAGGGGCTGATAAGATGGTGGGGGTTGGGGGGTGCTGAGCAGCTTTTGGGGAAAGATTATACAGGAAGAACAGATGGGCTGTGGGCGGCAGGAGAGTGAGGACTCATAGATGACTTGGGGCTCCTGGCTGTGGACCCAGGCAGGCAATGACACTCAGCGCTAACGAGAACAGGGAGAGAAACACATCAGGGGTGCGGAAATGATGTGGTGAGTTTGTCATCCACTGAGTTTGTGATACCAAAGACAGCTGAGGATTGGCTTTGAGTATCCAACTTGTGAGCATGAGGGCAACCTGGCCCTTGGGGCCGTCAGCACCAAGGGCAGGGCAAGGTGGTGCAGAGGAGGAGGGTGGAGCTCAGGACATGCACCGGGGCCCCAAGATGTGAAGGCAGGTGGAAGAAGAGGATGAGAAGGAGACAAAGGCAGGGATGGCAGACAGCATGCATTCACACATGCACACACGTACACAATGGAGCAGCCCAGGTCCTGACATGAAGCAGGTGTTTAATCAACCTCTTGTGGATGAATCAACAAATAGATGGAAAAGGTGTAAATGACAGTGACCCAGAGACCAGGAACCGCCCATCCCAAGTCCCAGGGGGAAAGAAGTGAGAGACTGACAGATGTACACACACACACACACACACACACACACACACACAGCATGAATGGCTTGCAGACTCAGAGCAAAAACCCAACAAGGCTTCTCTGTAAAGAGAAAGGGAAAATGTGGCTTTGGAAGGAGATAAAAACCCAGGCATTGAGGGAAGGGAGATGGGACCCTCAGACACACAGCAGGGACATGGATACAGGCACCCTACAGATACAGGCACAAACTCACCTCTCACTGACTGGCACAGAATATTTTAGATGGATGGATGGGCGGGTGGATGGATTGATGGATAGATGGATGGATAAATGGAAGAGTGGATGAATGGATGGGTGAATGGATGAGTGGATGGGTGGGTGGATGGATGAATGGATGAGTGAGTGGGTGGGTGGATGGATGGATGGATGGATACATGAAAGTGAATGAATGGATGGGTTGATGGATGAGTGGGTGGAGAGACAGATGAATAAATGGAGGAGTGAATGAATGGATGGGTGAATGGATGAGTGGATGGGTTGATGGATGAGTGGATGAGTGAGTGGGTGGATGGATGGATGGATAAATGGAAGTGAATGAATGGATGGGTGGTTGGATGAGTGGATGGGTGGATGGATAGGTGAGTGAGTAGGTGGGTGGAGAGGAGGATGGGTGGATGGATAGGGGGTGGGTGTGTGAATGGATGGATGGAATAATCCAGAGATGAGAACAAAACCTGATTGCTTCTCAGCCTTTTGGCTAATATCGAGTGAGAACAACACATGATAAGGGTCCAGAATATGAGAGATTCACAGATGTGTCCACACACACATATCACACATCTACACTGTCTAGCATAGCATCCACCACAAGATATTTAAAGATGGAATAACTGAATAAAGTAATAAATTAACAAATGAATGAATGAGGCAAACCAGAAGTTATATCAAAGCCCACTATGTGAGAGAGAAACAGAAATAAGACCCACAGTGACACAGACAGGCACAGACATGGGTGTGCATTCACACACTCACACACACACACACACACACGATGATGCACTCACAAAGGGGAGGCCAAACTTGTGCGGGCTCAGAGTGAGAACCCTGAAGCCAAGAGACAAGGAGGAAGGGAGCTCAGAGAGCAAGTCAGGGAGGCAGAGAGGTGAGTGGAGGGCACAGAGGTGAGAGCTGTTAAGGAACCAACCTGAAAGGACCTGAGCCATGCCTGTAACCCACAAGAATTGACAGAGCTCCTACTGCATGCCAGACAGTGCTGAATGACCAAATTACAGCAGGGAGCAGACCAGACCCAGTCCCGGCTGTCCCGGAACTGACCCTCCAGTACAAAAGACAGAAAGAAAGGAGGAGTAAATTAATGAGATCATTTCAGATAATGATAAGAGTGAAGAAGAGGATAAAGTAGGCTGGTGAGACTGAGTCCGGGGGATGGTCAGGAAAGGCCATCCTGAGGAGGTGGCATCTGAACCTAGCACTGAGTGACAAGAAGGAAGGACATAGCCTTGTGGATTCCTGGGAGGAAAGTCTTCCAGTCTGAAGGAACTGCAGGCTGAGCCCTAAGACAGGAATGAGCTTGGTGTGTCTGGGGGAGAGCAAGCAGGTCAACGGGGCTGGAACCAAGAAAGTGGGAGGGAAGCAATGCAGGAAATGAAGCCAGAGCTGGGATCAGGGTCACATCATGTCAGATTTTGTAGACTATGGCACAAAACTTGGATGTTATGAGCAGGAGGTGGCATGATCCTGTTTACAAGATCCCTCTGGTTCTAGATGGAGAATGAGTTGGAAACAGGAGTAAAAACAGGGAGCCCACAGAGGAGGCTGGGCTGGTGTCCCAGAGGAATGATGGGGGCTTGAGTTAGCATGGGGCAGCTAGGGTGAAAAACATGGAATGGATGTGGGGAGCTTTGGGAGTTAAGTCAGTACTTACCAGTGGATTAAACATGGATATGAGTCATGGAAGAACAGGGGGCTCCAGAATGACTTCTACGGTCTTAGAGTGGTGTCAGTTACTGATGTGGGAAAGACTGGGGAAGGAGCAAGTTTGTGGGAAGATGGAATGAGTTCTGCTTTGGACATAGTGAGTTTGAGATGCCTCCTGGACATCCAAGTTGAGATGTGGAATGGGCAGTGGAGTCGAGTTCAGGGAGAGCTGGAGTTAGGAAGTCGTCAGCAAATAGATGGTGTTTCAACCCAGTGAGCTGATAGAGATCAGGAGAGGGTGTGGGTACAAAAGAGAAGGGGGCCATTTAGAGGTTGGGGAAGCAACAGGATCCAGCAACAGAGACTGAGAAGGAAAAGTACAAGAGTGTCGTATCGTGAAGGCCAAGACGAGTGAATGTTTTGAGACTGAAGAAGTGATCAACCTCATCAGGCACTGCTGATGGGACAAAGAAGACGAGGCCTGAGGAGTGACCGCTGGATAGGACAAGATGGAGGTCACTGTTGATCCTGCCAAGAGCAATGCCAGCAGCAAAGTGGGGATGGAAGGCTAATTAGAGGGGCTAAAGAAAGAATAGTTGGGGATTGACTTCCAAAGTCTTGTTTTGATCAAAGACGTGCTCAAGCAAATGAGGTGGAATGGCAGCAGATGAATGCTGGGGAGTGGGATGGCTCAAAATTGAGATTTCAGAGTTGGCACTGTCATTGTATGGCAAGACCAAAGATGTGATCATAGCTGCAGTTGAACAAAGGACAATATTTTGGGCACCTGGGAGGTCCAGATCACAGTGTTGGCTACGCCATCCATGTTGGCATTGAAGTTATCAAGAATGGCCACAGAATTCAGAATAGAGAAGACAGAGAACCAAGAAACAAACAGTGATTGAGGGGACACAAGAAGGGCTTGGCAAATGACCACCCCAATGAGAAGTACTAGTGGAAGTAAACAACACAGAATTAAGAGTGATGTGGGGTGCCCTCCATGGTAGGGCACATGGCAGTCTTCTTTACCAGCACAAGGACCCCAGACAGAGAAGGAGCATGTGTAGGGGATGACGCTGAGTCCACTTGGTCCAGGTGGAGCAGTAGGTGCCTGAGGGACCTCGGGGTAGAAACCTCCAGGAAATGGCTAATCAGAGGCTCAGGATAAAAGTTAGGCAAGAGATAGAGACCCTGGAATCATCAGTATTTGTGTGGTTATTGAAACAGTGAGGAAAAGAGGGGAAAAGGAGTCATGAGGAGGGCTGGGGATGCAACCCTGAGGATGAGAGAGGGTGGCATGTCTGGAGAGACCCTTGTTTTAGACGTGTGTGTGTGTGTGTGTATGTGTGTGAGATACAGGGTCTCGCTCTGCCGCCCAGGCTGGAGTACAGTGGCACGATCTTGGCTCACTGCAACCTCTGCCTCTCCACCTCAAGCGATCCTCCCACTTCAGCCTCCCAAGTAGCTGGGATTACAGGTGCCCACCACCATGCCCAGCTATTATTTTAGACTTGAGTGGTAGCTGTGCCAGGTCCTGAAGTGAGGGCAGCCAGGCAGAGGCCCAGCTTGGAGGATTGAAGTCAGGGGCTCATTTGGAGCATGTGACGTTTGAGTGGCCACAGACTGACACATGGAGATGGCCACGGGGCAGCTGGACATCCATGCCTGGGGCTCAGGCCCAAGCTAGGAATCATCAACACAAGTCTTGCTGGTTTTTCAAGTCATAGGACTGGGTGAATCAGGATTCCCAAGGAAGTGAGGAGAGAAACAGAGACCGAGAAAGAGAAGATAAGCAGACATTGAGCCAGGGGCTCACCAACATTTCAACAACCTCTACAAGGGGTTCTCCAGGGGCTGGTCATTGGAGGACATGAGGAGAAATGCAGGAGGGACATCCCAGAAAGTGCTGAAATGCTGCCAAGAGTCAGAGGAAGAGAAAAACTAACATTTAAAATGTCCATGAAATTTGGCAGCATGGGGGCCACCTATGAGCTTGACCAGGGCAGAGGCATCAGGGGAAGGGGCTGATGGGAGTGGGTGGAGGAAATGGGGCTAGTGGTGGTGGCGGGAGTGCAATTCTTTCCCAGAGGTTTTCTAGGAAGAAAGGAAAGGAAAGGAATGGAGCTGTAGCTGGAAGAGAGATGGAGTCACGGGAAGGATCTTTTTCTAAGACCAGAGAGGCTTGCAGGCTGGCTCAGGAGACCCAGGGCATTTCCAAAGGGCAGCCATCATTCAAAAATAGTAAAAATTGTGCCCTAGAGACAAGGAGTGTGGGGGACGGGGAATCTGAGAGGAATATAAGGAAAAGAAAATGGCATACCCATGGGGTCGTTCACTCATTCATTCATTCAGAAAATCTTTAGTCACAGCTACCCGTTTAATCTTTAATTACAGCTACGGATTGCAAACCTGGCCCTGCCGCAACAGCTTTTCGGTATTTGCCTAATCCTCGAGATACTCCATGAGGAACATGTCGTCACCAGCTTCGTTAACGGACACGGGGACTTAGGAAGGTAACAGGTGTTTCAGTAAGAAGTGGAGGGTGAGACCGAAGGTGGTGGCCCAGGAAAGGGGCCCCGGAGGACAGTCGGCAGGAAATGGGCACAGATGGGTGGTGGGCGGCAGGCCACTGGAAGAGTCAGAGATGAGTCCGGGCTCCTGGCTGCAGCCCCGGTGGGTGGTGACGCCCAGCGCTAATGAGAACAGGAGAAAAACACATTTGAGGACTGTAACGACAGGCAGTGGGCTTGAGGCATCGGTGGAGGGGCCAGCAGGTGCCGGCCTTGTGCCTTCATCAAGGCGAATGGCAGGGAGGGACTCTGAGGGTCAGCACTGTGGGTAGGGAATGGGCTTCCCAGTGAGAAGGTGCAGAAGGTGGACAGGGTACAGGGAGCCCAGGACAGGACAGAAACTGCAGAAAAGAGAAAGATTCCAGGGCCCTTTACACTGAGAGAGAAATGCTTGACACATACCACCTCACACCACCTTACAGGGTGATTCTGGAGCCAGACAGCCTGGGTTCAAATCCTACCTTCACTACTTACTTGCCGTGTGACCTGGGACAAGTCTTTTCACCTCTCTGAGCCTTGGTTTCACCATCCGTGAAAGGAAATAATCATAGGGTCTATACTTGTCCCGTAAGGATTAAATGAAAAGCCCACGGAAGGTGCTTAGGACAGTTTCCAGCATGTGGTGAGCGCTGTGTAAGGATTCATGGCTGCTGCTCTTCTGTTCCGTCTTGTTTTGTCCTTGAGCACCAATAGCCTTGAGAAAGGCAGACGGACACAAAGAGACCCATGATGTGACTGAGGCTTGTTATGAGAGAGCCCGGAGTGGAAGCCACTTTCTAAAGGGGAAGCAGGAAAGGCTTCGGAAGGAAGGGCCATTTGAGCAGGGCCTCGAAGGATGCATAGAAGTTAGCCAGGTGGAGAAAGAAGGTGTGTTCCTTCTTCCAGCTGCTCCCAGGATCCACTGAGTGCACTCAGCCCCATGCTAGGCAGGCGAGGAAAATCTCCAGAGAGAACTGGAGTGCCAGGCCCACCCTCCGCCACCCCTGGCCTGGGTACGAGGCAGGTACAGAGAGACAAATAATTACAAGAGAAGATGGGAACAGCAGCAACAATGAGGTGGTGCCCAGGGGTCATGGGAGCCCCAAGGCAGGATGCCCACTTGTGGGGTGACAGGAAGGGGTGCTGTGAGAAGAAGGGAGCTGGGTAAAGGGGAGGAGGAGGGAAGGAGGGTGCATCCCAGACCGAGGGGACAGCCATAGCAAAGTGTCAAAGCTGGGGAAGGCCACTCATGTCCCCAGTGATCCTGACCAGCCTTCCCTTCCCCATCCTCACCACCCGCAGCCCTCCATAGTTTGTCTCCCATGCTTATTCCCTGAGTACCTATTAAACATCTCGGAGGAGCCACACCTGCGTGGACCAACCTCTTTCCTTCTTCCCTACTGCCACCGCAGCCCCTCACAGCCTCTGCACCTTCCTTCTTCTTCCTTGCTGCCAGAGGGCACATTATCAAACTCCCCAACTGTGACAGATCACCCCCTTGCTCTATAACCTTCACTAGCTCCCTACGGGCCATGCAGTAAAGTCCAGAATTCCTAATGTCTGCTAAAACAGGGCAACAGCAGCTTTCCTGGCATTGGCCCAGGCTCTTCCCACAGCCAAGACCTCCCCTCAGGGCACTTTCTCACCCTCAAGTCCCCACTGGACACGCCTCCCTCCTCAGCTCCTTCTCCTTCCTGGCTCCCTCTGTCTCCCACATCACCCCTTACTCTGCACCCTTCTGGACTCTTGCTGTCTCTCTGGGCATCTCTGTCTCTCCCTGGGTCTCTCTGCCTTTTTGCCTCCCTTTATCTCTCCCTCTGTCTCTCTCTGTCTCTCTATATCTCTCTGTCTCTCTGTCTCTCTCCGGGTTACTGTTATGCTCTGGGTTTCTGCATCTCTTCCTCTGTTTCCCTCTGTGTCTCTTCATCTCTCTGTCTCTGTCTGTCTCTCTCCCTCCCTCTCTCCATGTCTCTCTGTGTGTCTCTCTGTTGCCCTCTCCATTTCTCTCTCCCCCTCTGTCTCTCCCTCCCTCTCTCTCTCCTCCCTGCTCTCTCTCCATCTCTCTCTCCCTCCCTCTCTGTCTCTCCCTCCCTCCCATTCTCTCTCTGTGCCTCTCCATCTCCCTCTCCATTTCTCTGTCTCTCTCTCTCCCTCTCTGTCTCTCTCCCCACCTCTGTCCTCCTGGAGTCTGTGTTCCATTCCCCTCTCGCGCAGCTGGTGGCCGGCACGTTGGTGCAGACCCTAAAGCCCTCCAGGGCAGGCTGTGTGCTGAGTCCCAGTCTTTGTGTTGGGCTCCAGGTCTGCCCCTGGAGGGTCTTTCTCCTGGCCCCCAACCCCACAACTTTTGTCTTCTGTTTCTCAGTGCCTGTCTCTAGAATTAAATTCCATTTCCTTCCAATCCATGGGTGAGTGCTGCTGTGCGTGTGGTGCCCGCACGCCTGTGTGTGTTCACACATCTGTCCCTCTGTCCACCTGCCTTGGTCAGGCCTGCTCTCCAAGTCTCTCTGAGTCACTCATTCAAATGCCAGCCAGGGAGCCCTCCTGTGCGCCAGGAGAGGGGCTGGGGGCGCCATCGCCAGTGATAAGAATGACTGTAGTGCCATCGGAGAAAACGTTCCTGGCACTGGCCAGGTGCACAGCCTTTGGAAGAGAAGCTAGTGGCAGCTCCATGTCAGAGAGGAGGAAACTGACGCTCAAGGGTGAGGATGAAAGCAGCGACCCTGGAGGGAGACTCAGACCTACCTGCTCCAAATCCACACTCCATGCCCCTCTCTGATGTCCTCCTGCCCTGTACTGAGCTGGAGGCCTTGGGGAGAAACTGAGGCAGAGACGGGGTACAGCTAGTTCGGGGTCAGAGTTTAGGCTGGGAACCTCATGACAGTATGGGACTCTTATGGGCCACTCCATCCCTCTGGTGACCATTCCCACCCCCACCCCCCAGGGCCTCTCAGCCACACTGTGAAGTCACTGCAGGCTAGTGGAGGGGTCCCAGGCAGAATCCAGGCCTGCAATGACAAAGCCCAGGCCAGGGCAAGGGGGCAAGGAGGAGACAGGACCTCAGGGAGATGTTTGGGGTTCAGAATGGCAGGAAGCAGGACACTCCGGCTTGGGTGGCAGAAGCCAGGGGTCAAGCAGGGGTCCCACTGCGTGCTGACAACAGGTAATTGGTGCTCCCACGGCACGGCCCACTTCCCAGCCCCTATGAGGGTAGAGCAAGAGGGAAGCTCCTCCGTGGCCAGTCCCCTGGTCCCCTACCCCCTCATCTCCCGGGCCACATGAGGAAAGCTCCTGGAAACAGAACCGTTTCCTGCTTCCACTTGCTGCTAGGAGCTGTGTCCTCTGCCTACACCGCCCCACTCCGCTCCTGGAGGCTCTGTGCCATCCTTTAGGAACCCAAAGACAAAGGGATGGGGACAGGAAAAGGGACTGGGGGCCACAGGCAGGCACCTAGCACAGTTATCCCTGCATCCCGAAGCGGGCAGAGGAGGAAGGAGGAGGGAGGAAGGGCGGAGGACGCAGGGTCTCTTTCTGTCTCTCTCTCCCCCCAACTATTTCTTTCTAGCTGCTTCCCCCCCCCCACACACACACACACACACGCACTCACACCCACACGAAGGGAGAGAGGTAGGAGACCCTCAAACAGACGGACCTTCCCAACAAAGACATTCAGATGGGCTGACGAAGACACACAGGGGTGCCCCAAGTGGGGACCCCCAAATGTTTCTGAAGGAATGAATAAGAGAGTAGAGAGTGGGGTAGAATCTGCAAAGAAAAAGCGAGAAAAACAGTGCACAGACACAAGGCAAAGATAATGAAAAGCTCCCCAAAATGTCGGCGACGGCTCCTCTCTCCCTGGGAGTTGGGAGCACAGGGATTTTTATTTGTCTTCCTCTGCACATTCTTTTTGGTATTTTCCACCTTTTCTACAGGGAACACATATGACATCTGAAACCAAAGGAAAACAATAAATGTCATTTCTGAAAGAAAGGAAATGTTCGCAGAGGGGAACAAAAGCTGGCAGGGCTGCAGAGGCGGTGAGGGAAGGCGGGAGTACATGCAGCCTGGCTCACACCCACCCACCACACACACACAACCCTCAGCGCCCACACTCACACACACACCACACACACACACACACACACACACACAGCCCCTTCTTCAGGCTCACAGCAGGAGCGGCGAGAGTGAAATTCCAGAAATCTCCAGGAAAAAGGGTGGAGAAGAGGAGGAAGGAGAGGCAGCCAGGAAGCCTGGAGGTGGAAGGACAGACAGACACACTCACTCACCCCCGCACAGGCACACCTCAAAGGGACACGAGCAATAGGCACCAGCACCCTGTTACTCCTGTGGGTGGTGGGTGCAATGTTCATGGTTTTTTTTTTATTACAAAGGTAATAAAGCTCTCTGTGCTCACGGCAGATAATTTAGAAAGAAATGATGCTCCATCTTTGAATGAGCAAAAGAAATGATGAATGGGGGTGACCCGGGGGAATAGAGGGAGAGCGAACTATGAAGAAACCACAGAGAGGAGGCGAGGGAGACAAAAGTGAGTGGAGGGACACACACACGCGCGCGCGCACACACACACACACACACACACAGAGGATGCAGTGAAGGGCAAGATGGCAGTTCACGAAGGTGCAGAGAAAGGGAGGCGGCAGAAAGACAAGCGCACACACAGGCAGAAGGTGTCCAGGGAGCCAGATGTGTGGATACCCCGCCCCCCATATGCACCCCAGGAGCTCCCACAGGTAGGGACAAAATCCAAGGAACCTTCAGAGACAGCAGGAGGCACGCTCTCCCACAGACACACACAGTGTGGCCCGGCGTCTGCAGAGTGGGGTTTGTGAATGAATGAAAGTGGATGTGTGTGGGAATCCCCAGGGTGAGGGCAGAACGGAGACGGAGGAAGGCGCCCAGAGACAGAGGGGCTCAGAGACAGACCAGAGAGACGGTGACAGACTGAGAAAGGCAGAGTCCCTGAGAGGAACAGAGAGAGGGCCAGGCAGAGCCCAAGGGAAGAAGGGGCGGACAAGAGTGTGCAAGGTATGCACACCTGTGCATGGGGGCCCGGGCTACAGACCAACGTGGGGGCCACTTCCCAACCTACACCCAGAGGCCTCTCTTCTTGGGAAACGGAACCCACAGAGGCTTCGATTGTTTTCTCTGTATTTTCTAAACATCCTGTCATGAAGATGGAGCATTACCTTTGCAATCGGGAAAAAAAACGCATGGCTGGGAAGAAGAAAGAAGATAAAGAAACAAAACTGTCGCAGAGGGAGTGAATGGAGATGAAGTTACAGAGAACAGTGAGGGGAGGCCATCAGACGCACACGCATACACACACAATATGCACACATGCACACACGCACATATATACACACATCAACATGCACACATACGCTTGCATACACATGCATACACACACATACACACGTGCATACACACTCACGCATACACATACATACACACATGCGTGCATGCACACGCATGCACACGCACACAGGTGTGCGCACACGTGCATACACACTCATGCATACACATACATACACACATATACATACACATGTGTTTGCACATGGGGAAGGAGGAGCAGGGAGGCTGTGGGCAAGGAACGAGGAGGGGCTGGCAAGGTGGGGTAGGCCTCCAAGGCACTGAGCCCCAAACCCCAAACAGGCTGGCACCCACTGAGAAGGAGACTGGGGTGTGTTTGGGGCGACCTGCTGCTGTGTGCAGGCTTCCAGGGTTAGGTTGGGCTGCAGCCGGTTCCCCTTGAAACTACCTCGATCTGGGGGCAAGTCTGGGCTGACCTGGAGGCCGGGCAGGGAAAGGGTCTCCCAGAGGAAGGTCCCAGAGCCCAGGAGCACAAAGCGGGGCCCTGGGGAAGGAAGAAGAGTTTGCCAGAGGGGGAAGAAGGCATGGGGGAAAGAGGGCCGGGTCACCAGGCAGAGGACAAAGGCTGAGCACAAGGACAAAGGCTTGGAGGAGCAGAATATCCTGGTGTGAGACACGGAGACAGATAGCGGCAGAGACAGAGGACAGAGGACAGAGAAGGCAGGGGCCAGACGGGGCCTGGGCGTGGGCATCTGGAGGACTTGGGACAGGCACTGCTCTGGGTTTCTGACCCTGATGGGAGCGGAAGCAGAGGCCACAGAGGAAGCCAGCAGGGTCCTTCCAGGGAGAGTTGGGGTACCCGTAGAGAGGGAGGTGGGGATTGAGAGCTGTCGGGGGTGTGGAGGGGAGTTCAGGAGTCCTCATGATGGTTTGTGGATGGGGGAGGGGCAGGCCAGCCCTGGCCTGGGCGAGTGGGCTGAGGGTGGGAACCTCCAGCTCTGGAACCAGGGACCAGGTGTGACCAGAGGGTGGGTTTAGCTCTGTGGCCTCCTGGGAAACATGGGGGATGTGGGGATCCCTCAGGATGGAGCTCCAGGAGCAGTGAGACCCAGCTGGAGGCAGCAGTGAGAGGGCAAGACCCCAGGATGGACCCCCCCCTCCCAGGGCCCCCAGCAGGGTAGGGGTAGGCAGAGGGAGGGGAAAGAGACACACTCACAGACACACATAGACACAAACACTCAGAGACACACAGACACACACACATACACACAGACACACTCAGAGACACACACAGACACACATAGACACATTCACAGACACATAGACACACACAGATACACACACACAGACACACATAGACACACACAGACACACACTCAGAGACACACACAGACATACACACAGTCACAGACACACACACACGGACACATAGAGACACACTCACAGACACACAGACACACACAGAAACAGACACACACTCAGAGACACAGACCACAGAGACACATACTCCAGAACACACACAGACACACACTCCGACACAGAGATACACACTCAGAGACACACACACACTCACAGACACACAGAGATACTCAGAGACATACATAGAGACACACACACAGGATACACACGCAGACGCACATACAGACACACAGATACACAGAGACACACAGAAATACACACACACAGACACACACAGAGATACACAGAGACACACGGAAATACACACTCACGGACACACAGAGATACACACTCAGAGACACACACACTCAGACACACACAGACACACACAGACACACAAAGATACACACTCAGAGACACACACAGAGACACATACACAGAAATACACAGACACACAGACACAGAGATACACACAGACACACAAACACACATGCTCACAGACACACACACAGATACACACTCAGAGACACACACACAGACACACACAGATGCACAGGAGTCCAGAAGAAGTGGGAGAAGACGGAGCCTAAGAGAGGAGGAGGAAGGGAAATACGTGGCATGAGCAGAGTCAGACATGGCACATCTGGAAAAATTGAGAAGGGAGGAGAGAGGCCAAGAGATGGAGAGAGAGGGAGAGAAGAACAGGAGCAGAGAGAGACAGAGAGAGAGGCTGAGAGACAAAGAGAGAGACAGAGAGAGTCTGAGAGATGGAGAGAGACAGAGAGAGACTGAGAGATGGAGAGAGACAGAGAGATGCTGAGAGATGGAGAGAGACAGAGAGAGACTGAGAGATGGAGAGAGACAGAAAGAGACTGAGAGATGGAGAGAGAAAAAGAGAGGCTGAGAGATGGAGAGAGACAGAGACTGAGAGATGGAGAGAGACAGAGAGATGCTGAGAAATGGAGAGAGACAGAGAGAGGCTGAGAGATGGAGAGAGACAGACAGAGAGGCTGAGAGACAGAGAGAGAGACAGCCAGAGAAGAACGGGAGCGGGCAGTGAGTAGCAGGCACTGGGAAGCTGCCCACCACCTCCCTTCCTTCCCTCCCAACCTCTGTCTCTCTGACAGCCAGGGCAGATTTCAGTAACGCCTTAGAGACAGAGAACAGGCTGGAGGCAGGGGAAGAGCCAGAGAAACACAGACACGCACACACACACACATGCACACACTCACACATGCACACACACACACGTGCCCGGCCAGCACACGGGAGCGACTCGAGGGGTGCTGCCTGAAGGAGGGAGTGGATGCGGTGACTCACAGAATGAGCACAAAAGCCAGACCCCACAGAGAGGGGGCCAGGCGGGGGTTTGGTGTTTTGTGTGTGTGTGTGTGTGTGTGTGTGTGTCTCACATGCTCAAAGAATGACAATGACCTCCAGGGCTAGGGCAGAGAGAAAGCAAAGAGTACAGTGTGATGAGATAGACGGATGGACAGACAGACAGACTGACTGAGAGAGGGCACTGGGGGGCACTGTGACACACACACAGGGCAAAGTATTTGATGCCCAAAAGGAGCAATGAAGCACTAATGCTCCAGTGGGGGAAGGCGTTGCAGAAAGACAGTCAGACACACACAGTAGGGAGGAAACTGGGCGTGGGACACTCAGAAGAGGAGCAGGAAGACAGAGAGGGAGAGGAGGAGGGGCCGAGGGGCCAGGACACAGGACCCCTCCTCTCATCCTCCAGAGTCCCTCTCTATAGCCGCCTGGGGGGAAGCCGCTCCTGGGCCCAGGGGACTCAGAGCCGAGTGGCTCACGGCCTGGCCTGACGGACAGATGGGACACCATCAGCACACGGTGCGGCAGGAGTGCTCCTGGAAGCCCCTTCCCTCAGGAAGCCACGGTGGCAGGGGAGACACGGACTCTGCTTAGGGGTGGGAGGCACGGGGAGGGGAAGGCGGGGACAGTCCCCCAGTCTGCAGGGGGAGGTGACTTGGAGCCAGATGCCCGATCACCGGGGCAGGTTGGGAAGGGACACCTCACACAGAGAGTTTGCAAGGGCCAGGAGGGGTGAGAATGTGTGTGAGGGCGGGGTGGTGTCTGAGATGACAGGCCATCTGGGTGGCCGGTGGCTGGTGTGGGGGTGACAGAGAAGGGGTGAGGCTTGAGAGGCAATGGGGGTTGAAGCATGCAAGGGTTTGACGCCCAGGCTAACGCCTGGACGGCGCCCGCGGGATGGAGGGAGCCCAGGAAGGGTTGAAGCAGCCAGGGACACATGGCCAGAAGTGCTTGAGAGGCAGCCACGGGCTCCATGTGCACACTGGGAAGGGGAGGACGGAGCTGGGTGTGGCCTCCCTGGGGACTGGGTGAATGCGGGGAGGGATTTCCACTGCATCCTGGCCAGACAGAGCTCAGAAATGAGATTGTTCATTCAATCAAGCCCCTTCTACATGCCAGGCGCTGTTCTAGGAGCTGGAGACGCAACACTGGACGACACAGACATGGGCCTGCCCTCATGGGGCTTACAGCATAGTGGCAGAGATGATAGCGTGAGAGACTGAAACTAAGCCAGAAATCAACGTGTAAGAAGATGGCAGGGAGTGATCAGTGTTATAAAGACAAACAGCAGCGTAAGGGGAAATAGAGTGACAGAGACGCATTCAGATGGTGTGGCCAGGAAGGGCCTCTCTGGGGATGGGCAGTCCAGGCAGCGGGAACAGCCTGTGTATCGAAGGCACAGAAACGGCAGGGCAACTGCAGCACAAAAAGTGGCGGGGTCTGTGGGCGGCCGAGGAGGGCGCAGGCTAGAGCCAAAGGGCCTTCCCTGAAGGTCGGGTGAGGGCCTTGGATCCGCTTCCAAAAGGTAAGGCTCCTGGAGGGAATCGGGGCTCTGGTGAGGACTGAGGAACATGTCAGGGCCCTGCCTGGCTCTGCCCAGCCCTGCCCCGTAGGAGTTTGTGGGTGCAGGGCTCAGGTACACCTTGAAAGTTCCAGACAAACTCACTCAGCAGCAGGAAGGCCACCAGAGGGGCGAGGGTGGGAGCTCCACGGCACAGACAGAGGCCTGACGCACGCGGGAAGGGGAAGAAAGCTCCAGAAAGGCTCAGAGGGAGAGAGAGAGGGGCTGGAGAGCTCGGAGCGGCGAGGCAAGGCTCCCTACACCGCCAGGGGCTCCCAGATGATGCACACACCAGGCCCACGCAGGGAGAGGGTCTCAGCTGCGCTCTGTGACGCAGGCCTCGTGCCAGGCAAGGCAGTGACAAGCAGATCCTGACAAAGCCTCCAGGAGGGGACTCAGGGAAGACGAGGGGGAGACGGACAGAGAGAGGGGAGTCGTGATGCCTCCAGAGCCCCCAGAGAGGGAAGGAAGGACACATGGATGGTATCACCCAGACAGACCCCTGCACTCAGGGAGTTCCCCCAACTCATCTCTGCACCCAGGCAGGACTGGCCAGCAGCCCCATACACCGAGACAGACACACAGACAGCCCCCTACAGACAGCTGCCATGCTGCAGGCCTCCCTCCACACCGGCAAAACCGGCCAGCCAGAAACCCACTCCAGGACACACAGACCACCACACACACACCCCAACACAAGAAACACACACACGCACAAATCAGACGCCAGGACTGCCCAACAGCAGAATGCACACACACACACATCTCTCACAGACACGAAGACAGAGGGACAGGCAGACCAGATACGCAGCGCTGACAGACAGAGACAGACAGACAGACGGGGACAGGCCCGCAGACCCTCCCTCAGACAGGCCGAAACACCCCACTGCAGTGGAAAGAGTTGGGTGGGACAACAGGAGGCAGGAGGAAAGAGAGGGGTTCACTAGAAGAGAGAAGTCACAGCTGAGGAGGAGCGTATGAGCCTACGGCCCGCGGCCCAGCACACTCCACTGGAGTCTCCCCACCAGACCAGGGACCAGGGCCGCGGATCTGCCTCCGTATCCCTAAGTCCGCCCCCTGTGGGTGCTGGGTCAGGGAGCATCTACCAAAGGCACGACCAAATTTGCCTGCTGTGAGCCAAGTGCAGGCCAGAGCACTGCACGGGCTGCTGCACTGCAGGAGGTGACAGGTGACAGAGACTCCAAGGAGGGGACTAGAGCACAGCCCAGGAGGGGACATGAATCCCAAGGCAAGGTGCTGGGGAAGGGACGGGGCGAGACCCATTGGGGGACCACATGGACCGGACGTGGGCGGGGAGGGGAAGCGGACCAGCCCAGGGTCTGAGCTGGGTGCTGCCAGGTAGTGGGCATATGAGGCGGGACACCCCAGGCTTTGGCAAAGAGGGGTGTGTGAGTCCATCGTGAGGTGCCCATGGAATGTCCGGAAGGTTGTATGCAGGGAGGGCTGGAACTCAGGGGATGGAGGTGGGGTGGTCCCTACAAAGGGGGAGCTGAGCCCCAGAGTGGGGACAGTCACCAGGCGTGGTGGGAAGGGAGAAGAGGACAAGGAACAACAGTATGTTAGAAGGCCAAGGCTCGGAGAAGGAGTCCTCTGGAAGCAGGGCAGGCTTAGGGGACCAATGTGTCTACAGTCAGATGCCAGAGAAGTTGAGGAAGATGAGGACAAGGTCATGTCTGCAGGGAGGTAGGCGAGGTGCTGGTGAGAGCCATGCGGGAGGTCAGGCACAAATCGCAGCTGGAGTGAGTGAGAAGGAGGTACGGACAGCAAGACAGCTCAGGATGTGGAGGGGAGGGATGGGGTAGGGGCTTGAAGGGGGCTGGGGGTTGCTCTGCAGCGGAAGAGATGGACCGTGATGAGTGGACAGGTCTGGGCTCGGCTCGGAGATCCTGGCTAGAGACCCCGATGTTGGCAGCTTATGTGTGGAGCAAAGGGAGTTGGCAGAAGGGAATGGGGGGATGCCAGGGGCAGGAGGAGGCGGCCAGAGCTGGCATGGAGACGGACAGGCCGGCACATGCCCAGGGTGAGAGCCAGCCTGCGCCCATCCCTCAGAGACAGCGAGGGGAGGAAGGAGGGGTGGAAGAGCCAGAGAGAGACACGGGGCTGGGCTACCCTGGAACAATCTCGATGGAGCCCCCAGGAGTGGGAGAGAAAGGGAGGAAGGCAGAGGTGGGGGAAGGAGAGCGAGGGGGGAGGTGGTGGGCAATCGGGGAGACGCGCGCACACACACACACACACACACACTCCTACAGGGACGCACAGAATAGAAGCAGAATTCAATAACAACTTGGAGAGGGAGCGGAGCGGGAGAGAGCAGGCAGGGAGGGTAGTAGGGGAGGGAGGTAGGCACACGCGGAGCCCGTCTTAGGAGGTGTTCAATAACCGCTGATGGAGCGCAGGAACAAAGACAAGGGGCTCCCAGAGGGAAGCAACAGCTGAGAAAGTTGCAGGATAGACAGACAGACAAAATGTCACGCATACACACAGTGAGAAACACCCCGAGCCTCAAGGGGCGGGTGGGAGGGAGCCTGCACTCGAGGGCCAGGACGGTCTGTTTCTTGCTCCGGGTGGTGGAGGCACAGGTGCAGACACATGTGAAATTCATCAAAGCTTTTCATTTCAGATTTGTGCATCTTACGATATGTAAGTTAGATCCCAATTCTTTGAAATGAGAGGAAGAGGATAAAAGGTGGAAGGAAAGGTGAATGCGTCAGACAGGGAGACAGGAACAGACACACACACACAGGTACCAGTGATGCCCAGGGAAGAACAAAACCCGACCAAGTCAGAGGAAAAAGGAAATAAAATGGAACCTGACCAGGAGAGAAAGACCGACTCCTAGACCCCCACATGGAAAAGGAGAGGCCCCTGGGAGACCTGAATTGGGGGTAGGGGATTTATAAGGCAGGAAGGAAATCGCCTTGAGCTAGAGGGGGGCATAAGAGAGTGGCAGGGGAATGGCCCGGCAGGGGTGACCTGCTGGAAGTGGAGTGAGGCTGCATGAGGCCCCCTGATGAGGGAAGGAGCCAAACAGGATGCCAAGCCCAACGGGCCTTGAAGGGTTTGGGGCCGGGTGATGGGTGTGGGGCCCAGGAGGCAGCTTTGTTCTCAGGTCCCGGTCCAGAACCCACAAGCGGGGAGGGATGGAGATGGAGAGGTGAAGAGGGTGGGCGCTGAAATGGCCCCGCAGGAGGGTGCAGGGGGGCGGGTGACAAGAGTGCAGGCCCAGGAAAGGGGTGGGGAGGTAGAAAAGGGCCCACAAATAACTCTTGGACAGACAGACAGATGGATAGATGGATGGATGGACAGAGCACCCTCTCTCATCTGCAGAGGGAAAGCAAAGCCTCAGAGATGATGCAGAAAGAGACAAGGAGAGGTTTAGGAGAAGTGGAGAGAGAGATGGATCCGGGCAGGTGTGCAAAGGTCAAGATGCAGCCAGAGAGAGCAAAGGGAAGAGGAGATCTGTCTCTCTGTCTCTCCCCCTACACCACACACACACGCGCGCGCGCGCACACACACACACACACCTGTGTGCACAACTCACAAGAGCTGTTCTGCATGTGTGGACCAAAGGAAAGTACAAAGGAAATTACCCCAGGGTGAGAGTGAAGGATTAGGTACAGTGGCAGAGATGATGCCCTGACAGCTTGTCACATACTGGTTCACGTGCACAGACCTCGCCCTGTGAACCCACACACATACAGCCAGGGCAGATTTCAGAGTGCCTTAGAGACTGGCGAGAACAGGTGGGAAGGAGGGAGAAGTGGAGACACACACACACACACACACAGCCCAGTACACAGGAGAGATGTAGAGGTGTTGATTGAACTGAGGGACAAGTGCAAGGGACTCAGAATGAACACAAAAGCCAAGCCCTGCAGAAAGGGGGCCAGGGAGGGGCTGCTGTGACCCTCCACACACACACACACACACACACACACACACACACATGCACATTCTCTCTCTCTCTCTCTCTCACACACACACACACACACACACAGGCGGGAGCAGCTGCTCCGAGACGAGTGTTTTGGGAAGAGCTGTGAAAGTGAAAGAAACAAACCCTCAGCCGATGGCAGCGACCCCAACGCTGGAGCAAGGGGAGGCAGCTGCTGCCCACGCCGGAATCCCACCAGCCTGCAGCCACGGTAGGCAAGAGCCTCGGGGAACAATGAGGAGCCAGACCTGTTAGCTGCACATACACATACTCACGCCTGGGAGGACCCTGTGAGTGTGTGTGTGTAGGGGGGCGCTTAGGAAATGAATGGGAGGTGGAGTCATGGCCAAAACTGTTGGAAAGAGAGCAAGAACACACACACACTCATTCATACACATTCACAAGACGCACACATACACACACTCACACACATAAACACACAGTCATGTACACACATACACACACACATGCACTCACACGCACACTCAGGTACATACACTCACATGCACACATATACACAATACATACACACTCACATACACATACACATGTACACTCACACAGGCACATACACTCACATGCACACTTACACACACACCCCACACACACACATACACGACTTTGCAGCCACTTCCTAACGGGAACAACTAATTAGTGCCTGAGTGGGCTAGGCTAAAACCAACAGGCAAAGATAGAAACAAAGAGACAAAGACTCAGACAACAGAGAAACAAAACAAAAGACAGAGGGAGAAAAACAGACACAGAAACGGAGCCAAAGACAGGAAAAGAGAGAGAGAAAAGGAGAAAGAGAACGACCCAGTGAGAGAAGTGTGCCCCGGCCACCAGGGCTGCCTCATGGGAATGGCTCAATCAGGATTTTACGAAGGAGCAAGTGAAAGGAAAGGAAAGGAAGGGGGGAAGGGAAGGGAAGGGAGGGGAGGGAAGGGAAGGGAAGGGAAGGTAAGGGAAGGGAAAAAGAAAGGAGGAGAGGCCTCGATGGGTGGGAGGGGCATCAGCACAGCCGTCGCTGGATGCAGGCAACCGCAAGGGACCGCAGGCCACGGCCACACCACACACAGGCCGTGCTGCACACACACTGTACCACATCCACACCACCCAAACCATGCAATACACAACCATGCAACACACGCATCACACACCACACACACCGCAGACCACACTCACACCTGGACTGTGGTAGAGAAGGTGTGGGGATTGGGGGGGACAAAGGGAGGGTGAGGAAGGGGGGACCCAGACCTGAGCATGCCACGTGCACACACACACTCATACACAGACACACTCACACACACAAATGCAGGAAGCCCAGAGAAAAGACAAAATGCCAGCAAAACCTCAGAGAGGAGAGGGAAGGAGACAGAAGGCAAATACAGGAGAGACAGGTGCCGGCTGTGCACTTGTCACCCTCTCTTGGTGTCTGTCTGTCTATATGTCGGCCTGGCCCTCTCTCTCACTCCCTCCCATACACACACACACACACACACACACACACACACACACACACCCTGCTGGGCAGGAGCAGCTGCTACATGGTGTTCTAGGAAGAACCAAGGGGGAGAGGGAAAACAACCACCACCCATAGCAGTGACCCCAATGCTGGAGCAAGGGGAGGCGGGCAGGCAAAGGGTCGGGAGCAGGGAGCATGGCCCACCCTGGAAAGCTCACAGCCTGCAGATCTGGGAGAGCAGGAGACCTGGGGAAAGATGAGGAACCAAGACCCCTGCTCCCTGGCAGACACGCCAACGCACAGACACAGGGACACACACAGGTGTTTGTTGCAGGAATGAATGAATGAATGAATGAGGGGACCCCGGAGAAAGAGACAAACCTGTTATGGTGAAAGAGATGAACATAAGCCAGGCACAGTGGCTCATGCCTGTGATTCCAGCACTTTAGGAGGCTGAGGTGGGCGGATCTCTTGAGCCCAGGAGTTCAAGACCAGCCTGAGCAACAGAGTGAGACCCTGTTTCTACTAAAAAAAAAAAAAAAATAGCCGGGCATGGTTGTGCACGCCTGTAGTCCCAGCTACTCAGGAGGCTGAGGTAGGAGGATCACTTGAGCCCAGGAGGTTGAGGCTGCAGTAAGCCGTGATTGCACCGCTGCATTCCAGCCTGGGAGACAGAGCAAGACCCTGTCTCAAAAAAAAAAACCAAACAAACAAACAAACACAGAGAGATGGACACAGAGATGAAGAGGGAGGATGTGGCGTGCGTGTGCATGCACACATGCACACACACATACACACACACGCATCGTCTTGCTTTAATGCACTAACACAAGGACAAACTGCAGAGGCAAAATGAAGAAGACAGACACAGAGAGGGTAGAAGGCGGGGAGCATACACAGCCTGCCCGGCATGGCATTCGCCCAGGCCTGGCAAGAGGAGGGGATCAGTGAATCTATAGCCCATGCACCATACTTTTGGGACCCCAAGAAAATGTTCCAATTTCTTTTAAAATCAGAAGAAAAACGAACTTTTAACTCAAAGAAAATGTCTCAGTATGTCCTATTAATATATTCGTGTTGATACCAGTGCTATCGTAACATGTAATTTTTAATTTTCTTTTCTAAGGAAAGGGCCAAGGTGTCTAGGCCCACGAAGGTCCAAATGGGACTCCAGCTGGGTGCCCAGCCTGCGATAAGACCAAGGCCAGGACAGATCTCACTGCAGGGAGTATCAGAGACAAGGGAACCCAGCAAAGGGGGTTATCAAGAGGGCTTCCCAGAGGAGGTGGGATTTGCAGGCTGAAGAAAGGAAAGATGTCGGCCAGGTACAATGGCTCATGCCTGTAATCCCAGCACTTTGGGAGGCTTAGGCGGGCAGATCATGAGGTCAAAAGATCAAGACCGTCCTGGCCAACCAACATGGTGAAACCCTGTCTCTACTAAAAATACAAAGATTAGCTGGGTATAGTGGCGCACTCCCGTAGTCCCAGCTACTCGGGAGGCTGAGGCAGGAGAATCGTATGAACCCGGGAGGCAGAGGTTGCAGTGAGCCAAGATTGCGCCACTGCACTCCAGCCCGGACAACAGAGTGAGACTCTGT
The DNA here is from genome assembly GCF_000001405.40 of Homo sapiens. Lineage (NCBI taxonomy): Eukaryota > Metazoa > Chordata > Mammalia > Primates > Hominidae > Homo > Homo sapiens. The sequence continues at coordinate 37,409,618 of NC_000020.11, read as the reverse complement.
CTCAAAAAAAAAAAAGAAAGGAAAGATGTCAGGCAGAGGCACCATGAGCAATGCCTGCATGGTGGGGATCAGGATGACACAGGTCAGCCTGTGCACAGGCAGGTGGGGGAGACACAGGGCTCTGAGTGGGGCCAGAAGTGGTAAGAGGAAATGAAAGCCCACAGCAGAGCGTTAAGTGAGAGAAGGCTGAGCCACCCAGGGCATGTGGCTCTGTGCCAGAGGTCCCCCTGCTGACGGAGTGGGAGTGGACAAGTGAGTTGAGTTTTCGGAGGTTGCAGGTAAGATGTCCAGGGATGGTTGCCAGGGAAATTGTCCAGGAGGCAAGCCTTGAGGCTGAGGCTGGACCAGGATGGGGAGTGAGGAGAAGAACACCCCCAGATGCCAAGTCCAGGAGCCTCTGGGACAGGGGAAGTGAGGTGAGCAAGAGATTCATGCACAGACACACATGTACACAGGTGCATACACGTACACAGATGCAAACACACACTGACACGGTGGCAAGAACAGGAGGGAGGGAGAAGGGGAAGTCAGGTGGGAGGCAGATGGACAGCCACAAAGGCACAGAGATCTGGATACATGGACACATGCACACGTGCCCACACACACAACCTGGGGGTGGAACAATCAAAGAAAGAGATGAGCATTTAATGAGACCACAGCAAGAGGCAGGCGGGAGGCAGAGGCTGACACACAGACGGACAGATGGACACGGCCCCAGGATCCCAGGAGACACGCTCCAAGGGCTGGGTGGGAAAAGCCCCAGAAAGGGGAGGGCTGCGGGGAGTGAGAATCGGGATGGACCTCACAGACGACAAACAGATGGACAAAAAGCTTCTCTCCCTGCCGCTCCCTCCCCGCCACCAACTCCAGCCCCTCTGTCTCCATCCCCTTTTCCTGTCTGTCCTGTCTGAATCTCTGAATCTCTGCCTGTCTCTTTTTCTCTCTATGAATCACAGCGTTTCAGAGCCTCTGAGAGAAAAATGGGAAAAGAAGACAGAGATGATAGAAAATGCAGAGTGTGCGTGTGTGTGTGTGTGTGTGCATGTGTATGCGCGCGTGTGTGTGTGTGTCTGTGCATGCGTGCACCCAGCATGAAGTCTGGTCTGGAGAATGTAACTAGGGAGGGAGGAAGAGAGGGGACGAGAGAAGCAGAGGATGAACAAAGAGACTTTCGAAGCTCATAGGAAAAAGCCTGGGAGGCAACAGCAGCAGGGACACGCATATGCCGCACACCCCTACACACACCACACACCACACACCACACACACCCTGCATGCACCCTGGAGACATGCCCCAGACTCCAGGCGGGAGGGGTGGAGCAGGGGGTGTGAAATATGGTTGGTTGGTTGGTTTGTGTTTTCCTGTATCTTTCCTATTTTGCCAGAAAGAATATATATTCTTTTTTTGTCATGGGGGAAACATTTTAGTTTTCTCAAAAAGAAAAAAATGCATGCAGAATTAAGAGTAAAACCAACTGAAGGCAGAAAGGAAAGGCTGAGGGGGCATGGAGCCCTGGGGTCTCATATCCCCGGGAGACACCTGGACACTACACAGGGCCGAAGGAGGGGACAGCGGGGCCAGGAGACTGTGGCCCAGCAGAGTGGATGACATCTCTCGCCTCTGCACTCCATCTCTGTGTGTCTATCTCTGTCTCCCTTACACACCGAGTCCAGCACAAGCCAACTGGACACAGGCCCAGAGTGAGGAAGTCCCAACCGGAGAAGGAGCCAGAGACAGGAGTGGGAGAGGCAGAGCGACTTTCCCGCCTGCCTTCCCTGAGCAGACATTACCAATGTGGCGGGACCTGGGATCACTAGGGAGAACGTCACCCAGTCCCTCAAGCGCTTGTTCTAGTGGGCGGGCTGACACGCTCTGCGGATTCCAGGGCGTCAGGGAGAGCTCCCAGGGCCGGTCTGTGGCCTCGGAGATGTGCTTTGCAGGATGAATAGGAGTTTGCCAGGTTGTAGAGAGGGAAGAAAGGGCATTCTCAGCGGTGAAAACAGCCTGGGCAAAGGCATGGAGGTGTGGGAGGGCCTGGGAAGAGTCAGAGATGTGAAGAGGTGGATGGGGAGAAAAATCTGAGAGGCAGAAAGGGAGGGTGGGGACTAGAGAAAGAGAGACAGCACCCAGGCAAAGAGGAAAAGAGACAGAAATTAGCAACAGTGAGACAGAGAGACACATAGAGAAAGAAAAGGAAAATCAGCCAGGCATAGTGACTCACACCTGTAATCCCTACACTTTGGGAGCCGGAGGGGGCAGATCACCTGAGCCCAGGAGTTCAAGACCAGTCTGGGCAACATAGCAACACCCCGTCTCTACAAAAAAAAAAAAAAAAAATTAGCCGGGCTATGAGGGCACACAGCTGTGGTTCCATCTACTCGGGAGGCTGAGGCAGGAGAATGGCTTGAGCCCAGGAGGTGGAGGTTGCAGTGAGTCACTGCACTCCAGACTAGGGGCAGAGCAAGACTCCATCTCAAAAAAAGGGAGGGAGGGAGGGGAAAGGGAAATAAAGAAAAAGAAAAGGAAAGAGAAAGAAAGAAAAAAGCAAGGAAGGCGGGGTGTGGGATTTTTAAAAACCTACATATTAGGTGCAACGTACGCTACTCGGATGACGAGTGTACTACAAAATTCACCCCTACATAATTTATCCAAGTAACCAAAAAACCACTTGTAACCCCAAAAGCTACTGAAATTTTTAAAAATTAAAAAAGAAGAAACAGGAAATTGATGTAAGGCCAGAGAGGGCTGGAGAGGCACTGACAGACAAGAGAGAGGAAGAGAGAGAAAGACTCAGATGGACAAGGAAGAGGAGAGAGGCCGCGCGGTGGCCGGTCCCTCCTGTCCCGGCGCGCGGGGTTGGGGTTGGACCCTGCCGCGCCGCGCATGCGCATGCGCACGCCTGACCCGCCGCGGCAGCGCGGGCGAGCGCTTTGTCCCGGTTGCGCTCGCACGTGGCCCTGCGCCCCCGGGCACACGTGGGTCCCGCCGGGAGTGGCCAGCGCTGGGGGTGCGAGCCCAAGCTCACACGGGTCCACGGGCACACATGCTGTTCCCACCCACATCCACGTGAACCCAGCTGCACACCTCGGTGCCCACACACTCCAGGAGCCCACAGGCTCATGAAGCCCCTGGATCTGTGTTCACACAGTACACACACATTCTGCACACACAGCCAGAGCAAGCGGACCGGCTCACCTCATCGCGTTAATGCCCAAGCACACACATCTGGGACGCATTTCCATGAGCCCAGGCTCACAGACCACCTAGACAAGTGCTCACACACAAACATCCAAGCACCATGTCTGCGAACAAACAGAGCCCACGCACATACCCCCATGAACACAAAGGCACACGCATCCAGGTATACTCCCACCAGCAAGCAGAGAACACCTGCCACAACCTCACATCCAGAACTCCATCTCTACTCCTAAGACACACGCACACCCACACCCACACACACACACACACACACCCGCCCCCTGCGATCTCCAGATGCCACCCAGATGCCACCCTGACCTGGACACTATGATGTGTTTGGCTTGTGAAAATAATACTGAACAGAAAAATGTCCAGTTTTTGAAATTTGTTTTTAATTAAGCAATGTCGTGGCCAGAGTTGACTCCGGTGCACAGGTGTGTGATCTGATGTATATTTGTGTAAAATAAATGTGTTTGTATAGACGGTTGCAAATCAACCTTCAAGACTGTGTGCTTCGGTGGTGGGGAAGGAGGGAGGAGGGGAAGGGTCTTTGGATTTTTCTTCAGCGTTTTCAGGACTTTTGTGGATCGACCCAGCACCCCTGCCCTGCACTCCTAGGAAACACACGAAGAGCACACACAACGGTATTCTCGTCGTGTATTTGTGATCTCCTCTAGGCAGGCTTGACAGCCCCACCCACTCCCCAATGTCACTGCTACCATCCACCACGGACATTTGAGTCCTGAACTTGTCATGCTCAGGGAAGTCCTGTGATGTGCCTTGTCCTTCTCCCAGGTGCTCACCCCCTAACACAGGTGCAGATGTTCACAAACAGCCACATTCTGCCGTAGCTGTCTCCAATCTGATGTCACCCCTGCCTTGGCCTGAAGCCCTCCAGCTACTAGTGCTGCCCAAAGACCCCTCAAGGGGTAGTTTGTTCTCGCATTCCGCCCCATCTCGCTTTCCAGCACACAGTAGATGTTCAATAAACTGTTGATCAGATTCTGAGGTCTGTTTGTGTTTAATCAGACAATATGCAAAGTATTTACAACCAATTCTGGATACCCCCCCACCCCCCGCAAGTCTGGGCCTTGGAATTTCGGAGCCCCAGGCCCGGCCCAGAGCCAGGGGTCCCCCAGGCCTCTGCATAGTCATCTGAAATCTACAAAACACTGTTAAAAAAAAAAAAAGGACAGTATTAAGACACCTTACACAAAGGGCCTTAGGCAGTTGGAGAGGGATTTGAGAGCTCGCTGGGGTGAGTGAGCCCAGATTTGACTGGAATGGACGGGAGAAGACTTGGGTAATAAAGACGTATGAAAGGAAAAGTTGAAATTTCATAGGCAGGCACTGCTTGGCCTCCTTCCCCACTGGCAGGGCCTGGCTGGCTCAAGAACCCCTGGCAGTGGGAATGTTATTGCTATGATGAGGGGGCCATGGTGAAATGTACAACATGTTTGGGGGACGGAGCGGGGGGGACATTTTTACATGTTAAATATGGACGCACATGGAGACACGCACACATGCACACACATACACACACACAGGGACCCTTGGCAAGATGCCACAAACTGTCAGCTGCCCCTTTACAGATGGGCACACTGAGGCCCAGGGAGAATCCACCACACACCCAAAGGCCGAACAGAGCCAGAGCCCAGTCTCCTGATGTCCCAGGGCTAGGCTCACCATGTGTGTCCTGCCACAGGGCCTGGACCAGAGCTGAGCAGTTGCAGAGGCCATGGCCACATGTGGGGCAGACTCTGCAGCCCAGAGAGACAGCAGGGGCCACCCAAGGTTACACAGCCAGTCCTGGTGCATGGCAGTGGGTAACACGTCCTCTTTCACCCCCGCTTAGGCACTCTTTTCCCTCCTCATGAGTTAAAGGGTGCCGACTTGGGGAGGAGAACAGGGCCAGGAATTGAAATGCCACGGGACAAAGTACGGGGAAGGAGGCCAGGACCAGGGCCTCCTGGACTCTTGGCTCTTCTATGTCTGCTTGATTGCCTCCAGAGCCGAGGGGCTCGCTCCCTTTCATAGCCGGCTGGCTCTGAAGGTCAAACATCACCCACAAGCCGATTGAAGCCTCTCTCTCCACACCTGCACCTTTTACCCTGATTCCCCAGCTCAGCCCCACATCTGCCTCCATGCTGTTCCCAACAGCTGGGCTGAGCGGGCAGCGGCAGTGGGAATCTGCCATCTCGAATGCATCCTCAGACCCCTTGTTTCCTGGGCTGTCCCAGTCTTTCCATGATGCCTCCGACGAATTGTTGGTTCCTGAGGATGACAGAGGGAGCACCGGGTTCCAAGCCCGCCTCCACTCTGAACTGCTCCGTGGCCTTGGGCATGTCACATCCCCGCTCTCAACTGTCTCCCCATGGGTGAAATGGGGGCAAGGAAGTGATGATCTCGAAGGGTCCCTCAGGTCTAAGGAGGGCAGGGTTTGAGGGGGTACTCATCCCACCCACCCACCATCATCAGGCCAGGCAAGGCCTTGTGCTGCCCAGCCTGGAAGCAGCGGCAGAGGGTCTGTCTCGGCAGCCTCTGCCTACAGGTGTTTCCAGAATGGATGGCAAGGGGCAGGGTGGCAGGCAGGCGGGGCCAGGGGCCCATCGCTCCTCTTTGGAAAGGCTCTTTGGCCAGCTCTCGACATAGACCGGGGGTGGCACAGAAGTGGGGAAGGAGTTCAGTGAGCGGAGTAGGCTGAGGCTGGAAAAGGGCACCCTCAGCCCCGGCCCCAGCCCTTCTCCTGGTTCCTCTTCCAGAGACCCACAGAGCTCCAGGAGGGAGTGCAGGGAGAGGCGTGCGGCCACAGCGGGAGCTGGACAGAGTCACCGTGCTGGTCTCGCATACCCACCGCCCTCTCAGGCCACCCTAGGTCCAGAAGCCCCTTCCATGCCACCAAAGAGGAAGGGCCTCGCCCCTGGCAATTCAGCCCCACAGAGAGAGGACCAACAGCAGGCAGGCAGAGTGGGGCAAGCCCCGAGACAGGGGCCACCCAGCCCAGGATCCAAGCCGAGAAGCCGGTCTGGGCCCGCCTGTGCCTAGAGGTTCTCCCCGGGCTGGTACTGGGGCTCGGTGGACGTGAAGTAGTCCTCCAGGAAGGCCTGCAGGTACTCGAAGGTGGGCCGCTCCTCAGGCTCCTTCCGCCAGCACTGGCACATGAGGTCGTGCAGGGACTCGGGACACTCCGGCGGGCAGGGCATCCGGTAGCCCCGCTCCACCTGGTCCAGCACCTCGCGGTTCACCATCCCTGTGGGCAGAGCGAGGCATGGGGAGCCCGGCTCCGGTGAGGAAAGTGGGGTGGGGGAAGCTGATGGGGAGGGCAGCGAGGGCTTCCTGCCTAGGACAGGTTGGGAGTGACCATAGATAAGTCCTGTCCCCGAAGCTGAGAGCATGGACCATCGAGAGAGCCTAACATCAGACGCTCAACTTCTTTGTTTTACGGGTGGGGAAACAGGCCCAGCAGGAGTCATGACTTGCCCAAGGCCACCAGGGCAGAGGGATTCAGGGACCACAGACAGGCCATGAGGACCTTCTTACCAGGGTAGGGCACCCGTCCCTTTGTGGTGAGCTCAGTCAGCAGGATCCCGAAGGACCACACGTCCGACTTGATGGTGAAGCGGCCATAGAGGGCAGCTTCTGGAGCCGTCCACTTGATGGGGAATTTGGCACCTGCAGGAACGAGAAAGGTCAGGGCAGCTCTGACCTCCTGTCATGACCGCTCTGCTAGATAAGCACCATGAGGAATGACAGCTGAGGAAAAAACTGGGGCTCAGAGCGGGACGTGACCTGTCCCAGGCCAAGCGCGACATACCACACAGCCCCTGCCCACCTTGCCGCGCCGTGTACTCATTGTCTTCAATGAGCCGAGCCAGCCCAAAGTCCGCCACTTTGCACACCAGGTTCTCTCCCACCAGGATGTTGGCTGCACGAAGGTCCCGGTGGACGTAGTTCATCCGCTCCACGTACGCCATGCCTGAGGCGATCTGCAGGCGGAACCGTGGGAGCCTGGCTCAGGTGCCACCCATGCCCTCCCAGGGCCACAGAGCACTCTGGGGCTGGAGAGCCAACCACCCCTTCCCCACCCTCCCCACACTTCTTCAGGCAAGTGAGGTCAGTTCACAGTAAATGCTGTTGGCATCGAAAGCAGGAGCAGTGCTCTGCGGGAGTAGGGAGCACAGGGCACAGAGCAGAGGGCAGAAGGCAAAGGTCAAAGGGGAGGCACGAGATCCGATGCAGCCAGGAAAGCGAGGTGACCAGGGAAAGAGGCCCCAGCGGACCCAGACACAGATGAGTGCCAGGTCCTGCCTGCTGCCCAAGTCCCCTCTCTGAGCCTCAGTTTTCTCATCCGTCCAATGGGAATAACAGCCAATCCTCGTCACTCCTGGTCGTGATGAGGATTAAATGAAAAAAAAAAAGGCTTGTTGACCACTGCCTACAGCAAGCATGAACACGTCTGCTAAGCGACTAAATGACCTTTACAGAGACGACAACTGAGGCCCGAGGTCCCACAGTAAGTCAGTGACCCCTGATGCCCAGGTAAGGGCCTTCTGCTGCCCAGAATCACCCCTCAGGGCACCTGTAAGCAGACCTGGTAAATACGTGCGGCAAGATCAGTGAGTGTGGAGGCAATCAAGGCAGGCTTCTTGGAGGGGGCACTCAAGAGGCCAGAACTGGCTGCACCAGATGGGTCTGGGTGCTTGAGGACCAAGGGTGTGGGGAGGCGGGAGGGGCTGACTCACCTGAGCAGCCATGTCCACCAGCTGAGGCAGCCGCAGGTACTTGCCTGTCTCCCCCTTGAGAAAGTCCAGCAAACTCCCTGGGCAGAGAGAGACCCAGCTCCAGCTCCTGCCCTGTCCCTCTGCCAGGATGCAGTGATTCCCAAAACCCATCCTCCCAGGTGGCTGGCCTTGCTTTAACCAGCACAGCAGATTTTACGTAAACTCATCTCTGAATAAAGTCTCACTCAGTGCTTGTCACTCAAAAGGCAAGCAGGATGGGAAACAAGCAGAAGTCCACCTCCAGGTGAACAGGTAAACTGTGCTAATGCAGACAGCGGAGTCCCGCTCAGCAACAACAGGAACAAACTGCTGGGAGATGCAACAAGGATGCATCTCAGGCCGGGAGCAGTGGCTCCTGCCTGCAATCCCAGCACTGTGGGAGGCCGAGGTGGGAAGATCGCTTGAGCCCAATAGTTTGAGACCAGCCTGAGCTACACAGTAAGTCTCTGTCTGTACAAAAAATACGAAAAAAAAAAGTAGCTGGGCAGGATGTTGTGCACCTGTAGTCCCAGCTACTTGAGAGGCTGAGATGAGAAGATCAATTGAGCCTGGGAGGTCAAGGCTGCAGTGAGCTATGATCACGCCACTGCACTCCAGCCTGGGCAACATAGCAAGACCTCATCTCAAAAAATAAAAAATTGAAATGTAAAAAGTAAAAAAACAATGCATCCCAGATGTAAAAGATTCCATGTATGAAATTCTAGAATAAACAAAACAAATTTATAATGACAGAAAGCAAATCAGTGGGTGCTTGGGTTTGGGGCTGGAGGGTACTGTCTGCAAAGGGCATGAGGAACTTTCTGGGTGATGGAGATGTTATATATCTTCATTATGGTTAGGGGTACACAGTAAATCCAGTTGTTAAAACCCACTGAACTGAACACTTAAAAGGGGTGTATTTTATCATATGTAAACTATACCTCCAAAAAGTGGAATTTTGAAAAATAACTAATTAGTTTAAAAATTACTGTGGCTCACACCTGTAATCCCAGCACTTTGGGAGGTGGAAGTGGGAGGACTCCTTGAGCCCAAGAGTTCGAGACCAGCCTGGGCAACATAGGGTCCCATCTCTACAAAAAATAAAAAATTAGCTGGGCCTGGTGACACACACCTGTGGTCCCAGCTACTTGGGTGGCTGAGGTGGGAGAACTGCTTGAGCCTGGAAGGTTGAGGCTGAAGTGAGCTATGATTGCACCACCACACTCCGGCCCAGGCAACAGAGAATTTGGCTCTACTGCATTCCACCTTTGAAGATGCCCATTCTAGACATGAGAGGAAATGAGGCTCATGCTCCCTGCCCTGTCCGGAGTGCCCCTGCCCCCTGCCCCGGCCGCCCAGGACTCACCCTTGCTCATGTACTCCGTGACGATGTAAATGGGCTCCTCTGAAACCACAGCATACAACTGCACCAGCTTCTCATGCCTCAGCTTCTTCATGACCTGGGCCTCCTGCAGGAAGGCCTCTGGAGACATCGTGCCAGGCTTCAGGGTTTTGATGGCCACCCTGGTGGTACCGTTCCAGGTCCCTGTTGAGGAGGGATGCAGGCTGACTCAGTGGAGCCCCCCAACTCCTACCACACAGGGATCCAGGATCTGCCCACCTGGGCGCCAGTGTCAGCTGTGGCCTCCACAGCCATGTGACAAACCCAGTCAAAGCCTGGGCCCTTTCTGAGCCTCAGTCTCCCCATCTGTACAATGGGTACAATGACAGGGTGCTCCTCATGGCACTGTTACTAGGATTAAATGCTCAAGAACCAGTAGCTGTTGTCGGGACTGTGATTATTAAGAATGTCCAGGCTGGGCGTGGTGGCTCACGCCTGTAATCCCAGCACTTTAGGGGGCCGAGGCGGGTGGATCATTTGAGGTCAGGAGTTCAAGACCAGCCTGGCCAACATGGTGAAACCCTGTCTCCACTAAAAATACAAAAATTAGCTAGGTGGTAGTGGTGCGTGCCTGTAATACTGGATACTCGGGAGGCTGAGGCAGGAGAATGGTTTGAGCCTGGGAGGCAGAGGTTGCAGTGAGCCGAAACTGTGCCACTGCACTCCAGCCTGGGTGACAGAGTGAGATCCTGTCTAAAAAAAAAAAAAAAGTCCTAAAAAGCAGCTTATTAGCCTAGACAGATAGGGGACCAAGGTTCCAACTCAACCGGTGTCACTTCTGGGTTAGTCATGTTCCCTCTGAGCAGGACTTTGAACGTGCCTCATGTGTTAGCAAATGCAATGTGTACTGGTGGAAGCCAGGGGTGATGTGGAGCTGGCCCAGGGATTTCTAAGGCTGTTGCCAGAACAAGAGGTCACCTCTGGAGCCCACCCGCCCCCCAAAATGAGACACTGTCCTAAGCATGAGGGCTTGGGGGTCAGGCTGGCCAGAGCCTCTCACCTCCGCCTCCTGCCAGCGGAGAGACCATGGGAGAGTCAGTTCCCCTCTCTAAGCCTCAGTTATCTCATCTGGAAAATGGGGATTCCATAGTGCCTACCCGTGGAGCTGTTTGAGGATTGAATGAGATTTTAACCACTGGGCCAGCCCCACCGTGAGGGCTCAGTAAGTAATGTGGTTATCATTTCACTACTATCTGCTTTTCTAACTGTGGGGCTCTGGGGGAAGCTGCATTCTAGACCAGCATGTTTAATCCAGGTTCTTGTCCCAGTGGGCCTCGAGGTTCCTTTGATGTGTGACCTTGGGCCCGTTCCTCCCAGTCGCTGGGCCTCCGTCCGAGGGTTGGGGCTCAGGCCAATCTCTGTGGCCCTGCTGGCTCAGGCCATCTGCATGTGGCACTTCATGAGTCGACCTGGAGCACCCAGGGAGGAAGTGAGGCCCTTCCCAGGGACAGCACCTCTCACCCAAGCCAGAAATGAGTTTTGCAGCCACCATAATGGCTGACGCTGTGCATTCACCCAGGTGTTGCTCAAGTCCTCACTTTGTGGCTGTGCCCACACCCTGGCTTCTCACCCCTCTCCCCTCTCACCAGCTCAAAGCCCACGCCTCCCCTTCCCGGACAGCCTGACCTCCAGCCTCCAGGCCTCTGTCCCTGCAGTGCCTTCCACCCAGGAGGCCGCTCTGCTCTCCTCCATCAGCCCTCTGGAGGGCGGAACGTGGAGGCAGTGGGAGTGAGTGGAGATGCGGCTCAGATGAAACCACCTTGAAAACAGCGCACCGTGATCCCCGCTAGCACCATGGGCTTACGGGGTTACAACCGCCGTCTCTCCTCCACCCTGGCCTCCGGTCCCTCCGTGTGAGCAGAAAGCATCCGGTGGAAGAGGGGCCTGGGTTTTGTCAGGGCTGCACGGTGCTCATGCTTTGCTGTTTCTCCAGGGTCAGACGGGAAATCGCTAACAGGCCCAGACCATGCCAGACCTAAGCTTCCCAGCACTCCCTCCTGCGAGCCGGGCTTCTCTCTCCATGGCGAACAGCTAGTGTGTGGACACGCACTGGGTCAGGGTCTCCACAGTCTCCCATAGGTCCCACTGTCACCAGCCCCATTCACAGTCGGGAAGACTGAGGCTCTGAGTGAGGCCACCGGGCCCAGCCTACACAGCAGGTCTGTGCAATGCCCAGCCCTGTGCGGATCTTGGAATCAGGCACTATGGTTTGCACGGTCCGGGGCACAGTGCTTGGGTGGCCACAACCCAACTCGGTGCCAGCCACCGCTGGGGAGCTCCAGATTTACAACAGGGCCCCGTCATCCAGCAGAGGCAGCTAAAGGCAAAGGGACCAAGGGAGCCCGGAGCTGCCACACGGGGTGGGGGGTGGATGCCTCTCCCGAGGGCAGGGGCCAGGCCTTACCCATCCACACCTCGCCAAAGCAGCCCTGGCCCAGCTTGACCTCCAGCCGCAGCGACTCCCGAGGGATCTCCCAGGCATCCTTGGCCAGGCCCTGAGTCTGCGGCTTGGACGTGGGGCACACGGTGGTGAGGCGGTGGCACAGGCCATCGGCGTGTTCTGAGGAGGAGGCAGGAGGAGCAGTTAGGCGGGTCTTCTGCCCTGGGGCCTCCCTGCCCCTCAGTGTGTGTCGCCCTACATGCCAGATGCACACAGATTTCAGGGGACACGCAGGGTGCCCTCAAAGCCAGGCATCTACATCTGTGTGCACACAGCCCCACCCCCACACAGGCCCACAGTGCTTTATGCATCTGCTGAGTCAGTCATTCAGTCAGTCATTCAGCAGACAGTAGGGGGTGCCAGGAACCCTGCGGGGAGGGAACATGTCCAGGGAACCTGCCCTCAGGAACTCAGAGTCCAGGGAGGAGCCCCACTTCCCTAATCACCTCCCAGGACCACAGATGTGAATGTGACTGGAGAGCTGTTCGCGCAACAGCAGGAGTGGCCTGGAAGGCTTCCTGGAGGAAGCAGCAACTGAGCTTGGATGTGCAGGACGGTGAGGGGTTAAGTAGGGAAGAGCCCTCCAGGCAGGGGCACAGCCAGAGCAAAGGCTCTGAGGAAAGAACAGCTGCAGGGCTGGAGAAGCGGAGGACAAAGGGGCGCAGGGAGCAGGTGGGGAAGGGTGGCACCAGGCGGAGGTGGGGAGGCAGTTAGGATTAGACCACTCAGGGGCCGGTGGGGGTCTTTATCCCAAGATTCCAAGACAGCCCCTGGAGAGTTCTGATCTGAGGGAAAGGGGTTCAGAATGAGCTACACAGCGGTGGCCGAAGAGACAGAGAGTGGCGGGTGATCCCAGAGGAAGTCAGGAGGCCAAGCTGAGAGGAGGAGGAGGCTCGGGGTGGGGAGTGGACCAACACCTGTGCACAGAGGCCATGTGTGCCACAGACACACGGGCACACAGGCACCCACAGGCCCGACACTGCAGTCAGCTTCGGATGCCCAGGTGGGTGGGCTACAGCACTGCGCCCACGCCCGAGCCCTCACCCAGCACGCAAGCCCCGCGAGCTCCCTCTGCCGCTCTCTTCCCTCTTTGCTGCAATCGATCTGGCCGCCCCCTCCTCCTCTCCCAGCAACCGGTTCAGACCGGTCCTAGGGCTACAGAGACAAATGACACCAGCCTCTGTCCCCTCCCTTCCAGCTTACTCTGGGGCTCCTCAGGGCAGCCCCCTCCATACCAGCCAGCTGCAGAGAAAGGCGGGCAGTGGGACACTGCGTGGAGCAGGGAGAGAGGGGGACAGGGAGGAGGGGGGCTGGGGGAAAGAAGAGGAAGAAGAAGGAGACAAGGAAAGGAGGGAAAAGGGAGGAGAGAGGAAGGGAGGGGGGAGGGGGAAGTGGGGAGAGAAGCAGGATAACAGAAGTCCCCACCCTTCTAGGCTCCAAGGCCCCTCCCCAGAGTCTGCAGCTGAGGCTTTGCCCGCCCGCCCTCCGCCCTCCGAGGCTGGCTCACTGGAGTAGTAGGCCACCAGCTGCTGCAGGCTGTTGAACTGGGTGCGGGAGGTGATGTAGAAGCCGCCGCTGTCCAGCTTGCGGATCTTGTAGTGCTTCACGTTGAGGCCCTTGGCGTTGTCGAAGTCAGACACTGAGAGGCAGTAGGCACCTGCGGGGCACCGAGGGGAGCCGTGACCGCCATGCCCTCTCCCCCCGCAGGCCGCTGCTCTGGACACCGTTCTGTGCCTGCCTGACATTGGAGGGAAGGGAGGCCCAGGCGGGGCCCCAGGCCCACCCTGTCTCTCAACAGCCAGCCCCGGGGCAGCCACAGAGGCAGGGCCAAGGGACCCAAGAGACACTTGATTAGTACGTCCTGCCACGCACCCTTGGCCCCAGCAAGACCTCCATATCCCAGGTGCACATCCTAGCTATGAGACTTGGAGGGGTTGCTGGCCCTATCTGGGCCTCAGTTTCCTCCTCTGCACAATGCGGGTGCTCCCAGGGCTGCTGGGGAGATTCCATGCAACCACATATAGAAGGGCCCGGCACACACTGGGCACTCAATAACTGCTGGGAGCCTGTGAGTGGCTCCCTGTGGCTGTGTGGCCCTGGCCTAACTGCTTTCCCTCTCTGGGTCAGCTTGCGGGGGCACTGTCCATGTCCCCCCAACCTCCTTGCTGAAGACAGGCCCAGGCTCAGGCGGGAGGGGGTGGTTGGCAGAGGCTTTGGCCGTCGTGGGCAGGAGACCACGGGCTGGGTGTGGCCTGAAGGCTGCCTGGGTCAAACGGGGCCAGCCCTGGTGCCTCCCCTCTTTCCCTTGAGCATAGAAAAGCTTTTGGCCGGAAAAGTTTCCTCCCATCCAGCAGGCCTGGGTAGGACCAGAGGCCAAGAGACGCCCAAATGGCATCAGGGAACAAGGCTGAGCCCCGGAGGCAGGGGCAGAGGCTCCAGCAGCCAGGGACAGGCCTTCTCAGGAGCCTGGCCAGGCAGTGCATGGGCATGGGGGAAGCCCAGCCATCCTAGCCCACAGACCTCCCCCTCTGCGATCTTCAGGAGATTACAATCCCAGCGTACAGAAGAAATGAGGTCCAGAGAGGGAAGTGGCCAGCCTGGGGTCACCCAGCAAACCAGAGACAGGGCTGGGGCTCAAACCCACATCCGGGGACTCAAAGCCTGCCTTAGGCAACCATGATTTTCTACTGATGGCCCGGGAGGGTGCATGTGGAAGCCACAGGCCTGAGGCTGAAGCCAACCCCAGCCACATGTCCATACACGCACAGGCATGCCCATGCCCAGTAGCCACACGCTCACACAAGTACACGCTCCCTAGGCCCTCAGGCACCAGACAAACCACAGCAGTCCATTCCCACACAGCAACACACAGACAATTCCACCCCACATGCACACACACACACGCCCAGATGTACACACAGCATGCACACCCGCACATGGCTGCACGACTGCTCGTAAATGCACGGCTCGACATGGATGCTCTGCTTCCCATCTCCCGCTGAGCCCCAGGCCCACAGGAAGCAGCTCAGCTTGGCTGCCATGGTGACGGGCGCCTGCAACCCACTTTCAGAGGGGCTGGAGAGAAAGGGGATGGTCTTCATTCTCTGGCTCAGGGGAGGGACAGGAGAGGGGCAGGGACCAGGACTGCAGTTGGGGGAGGGCAAAACCAGCCTCCAGCATCCAGTGCAGCCCAGGGACCCCTGGGGAAGAGGAAGAAGCGGGGCTCATTGTAGCAGCACCTACCCTGGGAACGAGCCTGTTACTGTGTGACACTCAGACCTCCAGACAACCTATGTTCATCTTTTATCTGAGAAAACTGAGGCCAGAGAGACTAAGCCTCATCTTTCTCTGGACATCTGGCCACCGCGGATTACTCAGTGTTCCTCAAATGCACCTCCCTGACTTTGATCCTGCCATTACCTCCACCCGGAAGGTTCTTCCCTCCCTACTCCACAAACCAAACTCCTGCTCATTCCACAACACCCAGCTCAAACCACTCACAGAAGACTCAGTATCCGTTGGCCAGCAAGAGCGCTCGTACCTTTCGTGGTCTCACTTTCTCGCACGAGGAAGGTCCCTCTCGGGTTCTCTGCATTGAGCAGTAACCGCTCTGACTCCCGTCTGGTGATCTTGCCAAAATACCACCTGGGGGTGGGAGGACGGAGGATGGTGCTGACTGTCCAGGCTTCTGCCCACTCACAGTGCTTCTCCCTGGATATGGCTGGGGCGCTGGACAGCCAGACCTCCCACCCCAGCCCAGGAGAGGCACTCTGCACCGGCAGTGTCCAGGGACGACGGGTAGAGGCAGCCAGAGACGGTACTCACTCCTCAGCCTGGATGGAGTCGGAGGGCGCCACGTAGTTGCTGGGGATGTAGCCTGTCTGTCCTGTGCTGAGCGAGTGGGCCAGCCACCAGTCTCCCTCTCTGAGCAGGGACAGAAGGAGGGAGGAAAGGAGAAGGGAGCCGTCAGCCACAAGCCCGGTGCCCACCATCCTCCTAGGTGCTGTGCTCAGGGCTCTAGTGGCTGAGGGAGGCCCAGGGAGGTGGTGGGGCCAGCGTGAGTCCCCACAGCATGCCAGGTCCAGCTGGCCTGGAACTCCTCCCCTCCCTGGCGCAGACGCCTTTTTGCCAAAGCTGGATCAGATGGACTTTGTCTTGGACCAGGGCAGGACTGGCCTTGGTCATCTGAGGCTCAAATCCATAGGGGAGGAGTCCCGGGACAGGAAGAAATTCACTTCCTTTCAGATGTACCAAGACATCTCAAGATGCCGAGAGCTGCCTTGGGAGGGAGGGAGGGAACCCCCTGTCTCTGCGGGCAAGTAAGGTTGTAATAGAAGAGATTCCTGGCTGAGAGAAAGTCAAGTGAGACCTACAAAGTGTCCCCATGCTCTGAGATTTGGAAGCCCGCTCCTGGGAGCTGGTGAGACCTGGGTGGAGGCAAGCAGGGGCCCTGCTGGGACCCAGTGACCATCCAGGCCCCAACCCTGCAAACTAGAGCAAGGCTTGCCTCTGTCCCAAATCACGGGTCACACCTAAAGGGCTCCTCGGCTGAAAACTACAGGCCTCCTCCTCCAGCCTACCCATCTGCAGGGGGAAACTGAGGCCAGAGGGGGCTGGGACTTGCCCAAAGTCACACAGTGAGCCCTGTCAGAGGGGGTGAGGTGGCAGAGCCCCAATGCCCAGGGCACTTCTATGCGAAAGTGAGGAGAAGGAGTGGGGGGTGTGATGGGGATGGGGCAGGAAGAGCTCCCGGCGTGGTCGGGTCCCCTGGGCCTGGGCGGGAGCGGGGAGGGGCGGAAGTACCTTTGCAGCCATCTGAATGTGAACCAGGTCTGGCTGGAGCGGGGGTCCAGAGACACAGAGGAGGGAGGAGAGAGCGAGAGCCCAACAGGAGAGAAGAGGCAGAGATGGGGGTGGTGAGAGGCGGAGAGTGGCAGAAAGAGCAGGGGAGAGAGCGGGAGAGCCAGGCGGTGCTGGGGACAGGGGACGAGGGGGCAGCCACAGAGGCCTCACATCCAAAGCAACCAAGGGGACAGGGACGGGGTCCACAGGGAGTGAGGAGAGGTCAATGGGCAGGGAGACCTGGGAACTAGGGTCCAGCCCCTCTCATTCCCACTGTACAGCTGGGAAGACTGAGGCCAGAGAAGCAAAGGCCTCTTTGCTCAAGGTCACACAGCCAGGCCCAGGCTCCTGACTCCCAGATAGGAGCACCCCCTGCAGGTTGCAGCAGGGCTTGACAGCTTGCTGGGCTCTTCTCAATCCAAGGCCACTTTTGTACTTCACCAGGACCCTGAGAAGACACACGGCAGGCAGGGTGGCCCCCACCCACCGCCAGGGCCCAGAGAGAGAAAGGCCCTTGCCTACAGTCACACAATCTGAACATGAACCTGGATCCCTGGCTCCCACTTCTTCTGAGCTGCCCCTGGCCATATTCTTCAGCCCATATAGAAGATGGAGAAGTTGAGGCCAGGAGGGAGCAGGGCTTGGGGAGCTCTCCAGGGACCTGTCGGAGGACAGGTGAGCACCTGAGACACTGGGGTTCAGCCGGATGGCTCGAAGTGAGCCAGAGGGTGTTGTGTCCCCTCCTGATGGAGTGAGGCAAGGGGGTGTGACTGGGGCTGTGTGGCCTGTCTTGGCTCTGTGATGGCTACACACACACTCGGGCAGGGGGGCAAGCCATATGGGGTCACTGGAGGGAGGGCCCGGGAGTAAGGAGGCAAGACCCACCTCAAGAAAAGAAGCCTTTGGATGCCCCAAATCCCCACCCACCTCCTTGTTGTACACCCACCCGGGGTGTCCACACTTGTCTCTCCCACTGACCCCCAAGGCCACCCTGCAAGGGAGGAAGGCAGGGCTCCAGGCCCCAGATGAAGAAACTGGCTCAGAAATGTCAAGCGATCAGCGCAGGGACACACAGCACCCAGGTCAGAGTAGCCCAGCACTTTATTTATTTATTTATTTTTTTGAGATGGAGTCTTGCTCTATCACCCAGGCTGGAGTGCAACAGCGCGATCTCGGCTCACTGCAAACTTCACCTCCCAGGTTCAAGCGATTCTCCTGCCTCAGCCTCCTGAGTAGTTGGGATTACAGGCAAGCCCCACCATGCCCAGCTAATTTTTGTATTTTTAGTAGAGACGGGGTTTCACCATGTTGGCCAGGGTGGTCTCGAACTCCTGACCTCAAGTGATCTGCCCACCTCGGCCTCCCAAAGTGCTGGGATTACAGGAGTGAGCCACCGCGCCTGGCCAGCACTTTCTTTAGAGAGTTGGGGAAACTGAGGGACAGAGAGGTGCAGCGACTTGCCCAAAGCTACAAAGCAAGGACTCAAATCACAGAAAACAGCTCTCTGAGATCTTTCAGTTCAAAGCCTCCATTTACCAGTGGGGGAAAATGAGACACAGACAGGCCAGTGATTTGCCCAAAGCCACATGGTCAACCAATGGCAGAGCAAGAGTGAGAAGCAGGGCCCCTGACTGTCCACAGCCAGGCACAGTAGGGCCTCCCCAGGCCCCAGAGAGGCTGAGACCTTTGGGAAAGCCTGTGGCAGATGAAAGAGGAGGCTGCAGGGCGGGGTCAGAGGACAGGCCACAGCGGGAAGGGGCCAAGGTCTAAGACCAGACGCTAAAAATTGAGGCCGTTTGACAAAGCTGCAGTCCGCAGGCTGGCCGGCCTCTGGGGAGTCTCCAGCCACCCAGAGTGGAAGGCTGGCAGGAGGCCTGTGCTCGGAGGCCAGCCAAGCAGGGCCCAAGAGCGAGAGGAGTGCAGCCGATGCTACCCGACTTCAGCGAGCAGGGCTCCCAGCTCCCCAGAGTCAGCCCACCTGTGAGCCTGGGGTTTCATGGTCTAGTCTGGAGG
The DNA here is from genome assembly GCF_000001405.40 of Homo sapiens. NCBI lineage: Eukaryota > Metazoa > Chordata > Mammalia > Primates > Hominidae > Homo > Homo sapiens. Next base: position 37,390,963 of record NC_000020.11, on the reverse strand, counting down.
TTTCATTTCACAAGGGGCAGGGAGAGAGATGAGATGCACTCCAATTTTACTGAAGGACCCAAGATCCAGTCTCAGCCTGGCCCCTGATTTAGAGGGGTCTGAGGGAATGGGCTCCAGTGCTGCACTGCCCTAGACACCATCCCAGCTCACCACTTGCTGGCTGTCTGACCTTGGCCCCTCCATACCACACTCGCCAGTCTCAGTTTCCTCATCTGCAGGGTCAGCATGTCTCCCTCCCAGGATATCAAATGCCAGAACAGACAGCGCACGGTGGCTCACGCCTGTGATCCCAACACTTCGGGAGGCCAAGGTGGATGGATCTCTTGAGGTCAGGAGTTCGAGACCAGCCCAGCAACATGGCGAAACCCCGTCTCTAATAAAAATATAAAAATTAGCTGGGCATGGTGGTGCGTGCCTGTAATCTCAGCTACTTGGGAAGCTGGGAAGCTGAGGCAGGAGAATCACTTGAACCCAGAAGGTAGAGATTGCAGTAAGCCAAGATCGCACCACTGCACTCCAGCCTGGGCCACAGAGCAAGATCCGGTCTCAAAAAAAAAAAAAAAAAAAAAAAAAAAGCCAGATCAGAGCCCAGCACAACATGCATCAGCTGTTAGATCTGGATTTAGCTAAAAAATAAAAATAAAAACAACTAAATTGGTATTTCCACAGTGACCCTTTTTAAAAACCAAAGCAGCACAGTCCCAGTCTCCAACAAGGATTTGCTGTGTGATCTTGGGCAAGTACCCTGCCCTCTCTGAGTCTTAGTTTCCTCATATGTAAAAAGCAGACAACATTCACAGAATCTCCCTTGCAGGCAAAGTGTGTAAACAGTGAGCGTCATGCTGGGCTCAGAGTAAACTGAGATGACGACTGTGATGATCATCTGAGCCTCAGTTTGCCCACCTGTGAAATGGAGATATCAATCCCCATCTTCCCATGTCAAGGGCTTGGGAGGCTCAAAGCTGCCTCCGGTGGCTGCGGTCACCAGTCACAGCAGCATCAAGCCATCAGGGAGAGGAATTCTACGGCATCCAGCACCTTCCCCCGGGCCTGGTCCTCATCAGGTGGGCAGCAAGCAGGGAAGGAAGGGAAGCCTTCCCACCCATGGCTAGAAGAAGGGCCAAGAGTCCCAGAGCCATGATTTTTCACAACTGCTGGTCACCAGCTGTGTGACCTCAAGCAACTGAGTTCACCTCTCTGAGCCTCAGGATCCTCTTTTGGGGCCCTAATCCTTGGGGCCAGCCAGGGTGGCGTGTGGCTCAGGGGCACGGCAGCTTTGGAACCTGGGACATGTGCCAGCGTGGGCACTGACATTCGCTCCCTTGGGCTGCTGGGACTGGTTGGGAGGGCACTCTGGGGATGGCCGCTGAGCTGGTGCACCACAGCTGAGGCTGGCCAGGTGGGCAGTGGCCAGGAGGTCAATTGCCAAGCCCCAAGACCTGGAGCACATGGTCTGTGGGGTGAGGGAGGAGCGAGGCAGGGGTGAAGCCAGCACAGGTCTCTGGAGGAGAGCATGAAGGCAGGACCCCGAGGCTCTAGACTCCCGAGGTGCCCCCTGCCGCCATGCCGGGGGCAAGGAGGCAGAGGCCAGCTGAGGCGCTGTTGCCCAGAAGCGCCTGCCAGAAAACTCCCAAAAGAAGCTCCTGGAATTTGGGTGGGAGGAAGGGGCAGTTCAGGGAGCAACCCAGAGTCAGACCCAGGAGGGGCCCTGACTCCTGAGACTAGGATGTCAGATGAGGGAGCTTGAGGCAGTCAGACCTCAGCCCCAGAGGGCTTCCTCACACCCAGGGCCACACAATACCCAGAATACCAGGACCCAGGGCCATGTGGCAGCAAGATCCATGGCGCGGGATCTCTGGGTCTGCTACTGCGAGGACCCCCACTTGGCCAGACCCCATCCACAGACGGGTTCCTCCTCTAGCTCTCTACTGCCCTGACAGCCAGCCCAGCCTCCACACGTGCCTGGGCCCCATGCTAGATTCAGAAAGCCCCCCACTCTTACAGGGTGGGGGAGGCACTGCACAGTAATAGGCCCTGAGCACTGATGGAGGAAGGACGTGCATGCAGGCGGGTCCCCGGGATGAGGTGTGAGACTCAAACACCTTAAATTCCGGTGGCCCATCTCCTACCAAGCCCCGCCCCCCAAATCCCTTTCCCTCTCCTCTTCTACTAATACCAGCCCCCCACCTACACCTCCCTCCTTCACTTCTTTTTTTTGAGACAGAGTCTTGCTCTGTCACCCAGGCTGGAGTGCAGTAGCACGATCATGGCTCACTGCAGCCTTCAACTCCTGGTTCCAGCGATCCTCCTGCCTCAGCCTCCTGAGTAGCTGGGACCACTGGCATGCGCCACCACACCTAGCTAATTTATTTTTATATTTTGTAGAGGCCAGGTCTCCCTATGTTTCCCAGGCTGGTCTCAAACTTCTGGGTTCAAGCGATCCTCCTGCCTCAGCCTCCCAAAGTGCTGGGATTACAGGCGTGAGCCACCGCGCTCAGCCACCATCTCTGACGTCTAAGCGAAGGAGCATTGGAGCATTGTGACATGAGGAGGGGCTCCCAATCCACCCACCCCCATCTCCCAATCAGCTACCCCAGGGTCTTCCCTGAATGAGATTCCATCACTTCCAGGCCTCCTGGCAGCCCCAGCCTCCTGGCCAAACCTCCCCCAGCCCACCCTCCCTGGAAGACAAGAAGAGTGGAGGGAAAGGGCTGGAAAAAGGCAAGCATGGGGCTACTCTCTGAATCCAGGTGAAAAAGGCAGAACCAAAGTTCTCCCAGCCCTTCCTGCCTCCACAGCTCTGCCCCAGCTGTCACCCCAGTCTGAGACGCTTGGTAGAGACTCCACCAGGACTTCAGAGCCATCCTGCTGACGCCCCTCCCCTGCACGGGCCTCTCCCTCCTGTGGCCTCTGCTGCACCTCCACTGAGCCTTCCTGAAAGGATCATGGGTCGGAGGGCCAGCCTAGTCTTCCAGCTCTGCCACTACTAGCCATGTGACCTTGGGTAAGTTATTTCACCTCTTTGGGCCTCAGTTTCCTCATCTGTAAAATGGTGCAAGTAAGACTTCCCATTTCTCGAGGCTATGGTGATGCGTAAATAAAATAACGCAACTTCAAGCACTCAGCACAGGGCCCAGCTCACACAGAGAGCACAAGAAATGGTGACATTGTCACTGCTGTTCATTCATCCTGTTCACCATCACCTGCTGGGCACCCGCCACTGTGCTGAGTTACAGGTGCTATGGGGACCCAGAAGTGAGGTGCACCAGAGAGCCACCCTCCAGCAGCTCCCAGTTTAGGGGGGAAGCAGACACAAACAGCTGGTGACAATAAGGAAACTGTAGCTTCGCACCAGGACTCGGCCATGCAAGGGGGGAGGCGGAGCCGGGAGAGCCCCCCCTCCCACCCCCCCGCCAAGAGCAGGTTGAGGAGGGCAGAAAGTTGCTGCTTCGGTTCCAATCCTGGCTTTGCTACTTGGCAGCTGTGTGACCTTGGACAAGGGCCTTCACATCGCTGAGCCTCAGTTTCCTCATCTGCAAAATGGAGACAGCCCCCTCCCCGATCACTTCAGCCCTGGCTAGACTGCAGAGAGGAGTCAATACAAGGACACAGGTGGAGACGACTGGCATGGCAACTGGCACCTCTGTTCCCCTTTGCCCCTCTGAGAAGGCAGTCCTGCACTGATCTTGAGCGATGAACAGGAGTTCCCCAGGCAGACACTGGAGAAAGGGCATTTCAGGCAAAGGGAAGAGCATGCGCAAGGCAAGTGGGGCATGAGCAAGCCAGACACGCTCGGGGCAGTGGAAACCCCCAACTTCCTTAGCCAGGCCTTCGAGGACACCCAGGGATCGATTCTCCTCTGCCTTCTAGAACCTTCCTGCCTTCCACACCCGTGAAGGCGTCAGCCCCCTCCAGTCCGGCACCCTCCCGCAAGCTGCCCTTCCACCACCTCCACCTGCCAGATAACTTCACTGGCTTTCCTTCGAGGCCCTTGACCCTCTCAGTCCCTGTGGTCATCACCGGAGGCAGGTCCACAGCAGGGGCTCCAGGAGCCGACTCTGGGCTCGCCCACTGCCTGACTCTTGGCCTGGGCTGGGGCCATGTGCTGTCTCCCTGGCCACATGCTGGCTCCAGGGGGACGTGGCCAAGGCCTTCTCCACCCAGGCTATCCCCATCACAGCACTGGGTCCTGCATGCAGCAGATACTTGGGTGGGCTGACGGGGCAGAATGGGAGGGTGAGTGAGTAGGAAGGTGGATGGGGAGGAGATGTGCAGGAGAGTGCAATGGAAGGGCCCCTGATCGCAGCCTGCGTTAAGGTCCAGGACCTAATCAAATTGGTGGAGGGGGGAGGGGAGAAGCTGGGAGGTGAGGAGCAGCCAAGAGAGCCAGAGATCACAGGCAGGGAGTGGAAGCACATGCAGACAGCAGCCCCCACCCCCCGCGAAGCACCCCGCCCAGCCCGCCGCCCACGGAGCATGTACACACCTGACATCCACCTTCCTCCTAAGGGCCAGCGAGAGAGAAGCAGAGAGAGGGAGAAGCTGAGAGAGGGCTGGAGGGAGCAAGCGAGAGCCAGGGATTGGGAGGAGTTCCCCATGGCTGGGGGAGCAACAGCAGGTGCTGCCCAGGGCGAGAGTGCAGCAGGCGCCTGCCTCCACACTGCCCTGGGCTTCGCACTGCCCTGGGCTCTGCACTGTGCTGCCCTGATGCCAGATCCTGCATGAGCCCCTGCCCGCTTTGAAGTCCCACCACCCAGCCCTGAGGGGCAATAGGGAAGGGGGCACTCACGTGTTGTTGACAATCTGGAGCCGCTCGCCTTTCTTGAAGGACAGGTCTGTCTCCGTCCTAGACTCATAGTCATAGAGGGCCACAAAGGTGGTCACTCCACCTGCAGAGAGGGGTGGGGTGTGTCAGAACAGTGGGGCCACAGCCAGGGAAGGCATGGGCAGGATGGCCCTGTACCCAGGAGGAGTGGATTTGTCTCCCACACGCAAGTGCTCAGCCCAAAGACACAGTCAGGTTCAGTGAAGATGGGCCTGTGCACGTGTCCACTGCATCCGTGTATCTGCGCATCCCTGCAAGGGCGTGTGGGAGCGGGAGCATCCCTTCCTGTCCGCGTCCGTCCCCGGGGCTTTGGGCAGTGCTGGGTGCTGGCTTATCTGTTTGGTGCCTGTCTTGCTCTAGGAGCAGAAGTCGCCAATAACCAGCATCTTTGTTTTGTTTCCAGAGCCAGGCACATAGTAGGTGCTCAAGAAAGAGCTATAGGCTGAAGGAAGCGGTGAATGAAGAACACTCCCCCAGGAGGCTCGCTCTCTCTCTATAAAGTGTGTCACTCTGGGCGCTCCTGGTGTCCAGGAAGATTTGGCTCCAAGTAACTGCCCCCTCAGAAAGGCCCCCGTACCCCCTTCCACCATTTTAAGCTACAGCCTCCACCTCCTCACATCCCCCAGCCCTCCCTCCCTGCCTGTTTTGCGCCTTCGCAGCAGCGCCCCTTCTAACACCCTCCACGAGCTGCCCTTTGCTTCCTTCCCCCAGGTGGGTTCTGTCTGCACCGCTGGGGCCCGGGCAGCAGAGGAGCCCTGGCCTGTAGTAGGAGCTCCACATATACTTATTGAACAAATGAATGGTGTGTCTGTGGGTCTGTTTCTCTCGCTTGGGCGTGCGTCTGCGTCTGAAGGGTCCACGCCTGTCCGTGTGTCTCTGAGTGTTCTCATGTTCTCGATGCACCTGTGTGTATCTGTCTCCTGGGCGGCCACGATGGTGAGATTGTGATTTCCAGCTGAGCGTGTGTCTCTGAATGCGCTTCTGACGGCATGTGCGTGTGTCTTCAGCTACAAGTGTGAGGTCACCTGTGCATGTGAGTTTGTATCTGGGTACATCTGCGTTGGGGATGTGTCTGCGGGTGTCTGTGACCCTGCCTCCACCCCGCATGTGTGCGTGTCCCTGGCGGGGGTGTAGCCGTGTGTGTGGCCCAGCGTGTGCCTGTGGGGAGAGTGAACGGGTCTGAGTGAAGGAGTGAAGTCTGCGTGGAGTGTCTGGGGCACCGCCGCGGCTCTCCAAAACGGCCCTCTCCGGGGCTGCGGTGACCGCAGAGCGCCAGCAGAGGGCGCAGGGGCGCATCCTGGCGCGGGCCCAACCGGGGCCATCCGGTGCCCCGTTCCCCGAGCGACCCAGCTGCCCCTCCGCCGCACGTGGGCCGCGCGTCCCGACTCATCTCTGGGCGGACCCAGGCAACGAAAAAGGACTGGGCGCCAAGGCAGCAACAGGCCCGGTCCCGCGCCGCCCTTCTTCTTCTTGGGCTTAAGCGTCCAATTAGAACCCATTAACCACACCCCGTGTCTTTTGCGCTTGCTCCACCCCAAAGCCAGCGGCGGCGGCGCGGACGCTTCACAGTGTGTACGGCCGCCCCCCCACCCCCCGGACACCCAAGTCACCCAGGGGCGCTACCCCTGGCGAGAGGAAGGGCCTGCGCAGAGGGGGCGACCCCGGGCACACAGCCCCGCCGCCTCCCCGCCGTGGCCCCAGGTGGGCGAGGACCCCGCGCCGCCCGCGCACTGACCGGCCAGCGGGCCCGCCCTCTGCGGGGAGGTGACGGTGTCCGAGGAGTTGAAGCCTCCGAACAGCTTGGGCTCGGCGGCCGCGGGGGCGAAGGCCGCGCTGGGGCCGCGGTGGCCGTCGGCCGAGGCTGGCTTGCTGGGGGTCTGCGAGGCGGGGAAAGCGCCCCCGCCAGCGCCGTGCACGTTCTCGGCGGGCTCCAGGCTGCGGCGCCGCTGGCTGGCATCCTTGGGCTTGCTCTTGTTGCTACCCATGGTCCTGGCAGGAGAGAGAGAAGACACTGGAACAGGCAGGGCTGCCGGGGCCCCTTGGCCGGCCTCCCTCCCACCCATTCCACAGATAGGGAAAACGAGGCCCAAGGAGAGGCAGCAGGGCCGGGCGCGGTGGCTCACGCCTGTAATCCCAGCACTTTGGGAGGCCGAAGCGGGCGGATCACTTGAGATCAGGAGTTTGAGACCTGCCGGGCCAACACGCGGAAACCCGGGCTCTACTTGAAAAAAAAAAAAAAATTAGCCGGGCATGGTGGCACGCGCCTGTAGTCCCAGCTACTCCGGAGGGTGAGGCAGGAGAATCGCTTGAACAGGGGAGGCAGAGGCTGCAGTGAGCTCAGATCCTGCCACTGCACTCCAGCCTGGGCGTCAGAGGAATACTCTGTCTCAAAAAAAAAAGAAAGAAAAGAAAAAAATGGGGGACAGGGGCACCAGCCTTTTTGGGAGAGTTAGCCTCTCAAAACCTCGATGTCTTCATCTGTAAAATGAGCGTAAGGATGGCATCCATCCGTAAAGGGCTTCCTCGGTCCAGCGCCAGGAACGGAAGAAATGCCTCATAATCAGAAGCCCTGACCTTACCCACCCACCTCCCCCTGAGTCACTGTTTCCCTCCCTCCTGGCAGGGACAGTATCTGAGCCACGCCTATGTCCCGGGCACCTAGCACATGGAGGGGGCTCATTGAGGGTTTGTTGAATGAATACGTGGCTGACGGGAATTGCCTAACGCTGGGGAAAGGTGCTAAAAGTGGCAGCCAAGGCCATACAGCAGGAGGTTTGAAGCAGAGATGGCTGGGAGCTCACTCCAGCCACAGGGCCTTCACACATACCATTCCCACTGCCCAAATGCTGTTCCCTGGCCACTTCACCAGGGTGACTGGTGCCTCCTTCCGTTCTCAACTCAAAAGTCCCCTCCTTGGGAAGTGTTCCCCAAATCCTTTCACTGGGTCCCCCTGACTTGTGTCTGTCTTTGATAACATGTGGTCCTGTTTTGTTTTTGTTGTTTGAATTCATGTGGTTATGTGACTACTGTCGTGGGCTTTTGTTCATCTTGTTCACTGCTGTGCTCCCAGTGCCTAGCATGGGGTGTGGCACACAGTAGGTGCTCAGTAAACAGCTGAACGAATGAGTGACTATTTAAGAGCTAAGGGACTTCAGAGCCAGAAACCTGGGAGGTCCAGAGAGACGGAAACACAGAGTAAACCAAGTTGAAAACTCCCCCTGACGCCCACAGTCCTGCCACCACCCTCTGCCTCCCATTTCCCCATCCGCAGGCCCTGGCTGGTCCCAGCTCCCACCCAGATTCGCTGGGATCTCCCCACCCATCTTGAGCCCTGATAGGGCCATCATCTCACCTGGTAGAAGGCAGGGGCTGTCCCAGAGGACCTGGGAGGCAGCCTGGGGTCTTGGCACAAACACCAGGTGTGGAGTCAGGGGTCTCGAAATAGAGGCCCTGCTCCACCTCTCCCCGCTGTGTGTCCCTAGGCAAGTGGCTTTCCCTCTCTGGGCCTCAGCGTCCTCATCTGCAAAGCAGGGATAAAGCAGACATCTCAGCACTGTTTTGAGGATGTCATTAGAAAGAGAAATCATAATGGCGCCCACTCTCTGATCACTGTTCATCAGGCTATGGCTCTAGCAGGCCCGTGCTAAGAGCCTCCTAGACCTGAAATATCCTTCAACCCTCCCAAAGTCTTTTCAACCCTCTCAAAGCAAGAGCGAGACAGGGTATGGCATGGTGGTGAGAGTGGGCTCTGGAGCTGGGCTCTCCACATCCAGATCCTGGCTCTACCCCTAAATAGCTGTGTAACCTTAGGCATGTGACTTAACTTCTCTCTGTGCCGTTTCCTCATCTGTAACGATGGGGTCATTGTGATAAATGCACAAGACACTGTAGGGTGCTAGGGGCATCACAGGTCACCTCAGCCGTTATTGATATTGTGTAATTCTGGACACACCAGGGAGGCAGGTTCCGATTATTCTTTGGGGAGGCAGAAGGCCTGGGAATCGGTCCAGAATTTCCTCTGAGAACCCATGAGTGGGGAAAAGGCCCCCTGACTGGCTGGGTCCTCGGGCAAGGCTGTTTGCCCTGAGCGCCCAGCCCAGCTATGAGACGCCCCCTGCCTGTGTGAATTTCAGCCTGTCCCCTGTGCCCCTGGGGCCTCAGGCTACCCAGCTGCACAATGGGGGTATGGTTTGCATGCTCCCTGGGGACCACCCAGCTCAGAGAATGTGGGGTTGGGGAGGCCCTGGGGAGACCTGCTGAAGAGCTCAAGGGATTACCATGGTCTCCTGAGGGACAAGTCAATGGACCTGGGGACAGGTCCAAAGTCAGTTTCTATGGCAACCTATTCCATTGAGGTCACGATACCCATCAGCACTCACCCAGCTGGTGTCCCACAAGAACTGCTGACCTGGTTACCTGCAGCCCAAGGATTGATGGGGGCCCAACCAGCCCGCCCCCTAGCCACTTGCTTCCTGGTGCAGCATTTATAGTACCTACTAGCAGGCCCTGTGCTCCTCACTATAGGGGGACATAGAGACGAATTAGCCAGGTCCTGCCTCAGGACCCCAAAGCAGGGGACTTGTTTATGAGACTTTAAGAGGAAGTAAAAATTTTTTTAAAAAATTTTTATGGAGGAAGAACTATCTAAGAGCCTGAATTTTCTTTAGAATAAAATAAATGTTGAGGAGTGAGCTCCCTGTCACTGGAGGTAATCAAAGACGGGAGAATGGGTACTTGGCTGATGTGCCATGAAGGGAGACAGAGAGCCAGGGCTAGACCTTAAGGGCCCTTCCAGTATCAAGGATACATGTCACCTCTTGGAAGGGGACAAGAAGAAAAGACACAACCCCTGACCCCTGCACTCACAAACACGAAGACCACTCCACACTGGGGCACTCAGAAAAAGCATAACAGGGACCTTTAAGACGAAGCTAAGGTCCTGAGCCACCAAGTGCAATGTTTGATGGTTTGTGAGACTGTTTTTTTGGTCTTGGTGGTTGATCCTGGTGTTTGTGGAGAGGCAGACGGTTGAGGTTAAGAGCCGGAGTGCTGGAGCAGACTCCCTGGTTTGAATCCTGGCCGGCCGCCCTTCGCCTCAGTTTTCCTCTCTATCGATCGGGAATAACACCCGTGTCAGGACTGCTGGGAGAATCCGTGAGAAAAGTACACGGAACATGCTCAGGATGGCACGGAACGTTACCAGGCCTCCGTAAATGGTAACTTTTATCATTCAGAGTGGACTCTTTGAGAACTACAAGAAGATTAAAAAAAAAGAAAAGAAAAAATAAAAGAAAATGCCCCATAATTCTGCCCCTAGAAGACAAACACCTGGGTGTGGTGGTGCGTTTCCTTCCAGCGTCACAGCAACGCAAGACGGTCAACAAACTGGGGTCCACCCAGTGCCCTCCACTGTGCACTCGCGGCTGTCAGGGCCAGGCAGGATCCATCTCCATGCCCCCAGAGACCAGGACGGGCCTGACACCCACTAGGTGCTCTGGAACTATTTGCAGAATAGACAAAAGACTAAATGGGCATGGATGTATAATTTGCATCCTACTTTGTTCCTGCAATGCCACACTGAAAAGACTAAATATCATTCCGTGGTATTCAAATACTCCCAGAGCTCAGACCTTGAATTGGACCTTGCTCTAAGTACTTTGCAAACATTGACTCATCGGCTCCTCATGATAATCTAGGAGGTAAATACTAATCATGTCTTTATCTTACTGTTGAGGACATTAAGACACAGAGAGGTTGAAGAACTTGCCTGAAGTCACACAGCATGGGTGAGAGTGAAAAGGGGCCACCACACTGGGCAGGTGGGAATCAGGGGCTGAAACTCACAGGCCCCACCTCCTACCCCCAGGGATCTCTCTCACAAAGCAGCCAGATGGCCTTGGAAGAGGGGTGAGAGGATAAAGCAGCCCACCCCACTCCCAGAGAAAGCCTGAGAAAGCTCCGAGCAGAACGTCCTTGAGCAAGAATGGCCCACTGAGGGTCATGCGGGTAGCACTGTGGCCCCCACTTTCCAGATGAGGAAACTGAGGCCCTGAGATACCCAGAGGAGATTCTACACTGCCGCCTCCCTCTTTTCACTTTATGTGTTAGTGTGTTCAGAGCATCTTCTCAGGCCACTCCAAGCTCTCTCGGTCTTTTTCTTTTTTCTTTTCCTTTTTTTTTTTTTTTTTTTTTTTTTACTCCAAGCTCTCTCGTTCTTTTTCTTTTCCTTTTTTTTTTTTTTTTGAAATGGAGTCTCACTCTATTGCCCAGGCTGGAGTGCAGTGGCGCGATCTCGGCTCACTGCAACCTCCGCCTCCCGGGTTCCAGCGGTTCTCCTGCCTCAGCCTCCCAAGTAGCTGGGATTACAGTCACCGAATACCACGCCTGGCTAATTATTATTATTATTTTTTTTTTTTGAGACAGAGTCTCCTCTGTCGCCCAGGCTGGAGTGCAATGGTGTGATCTCGGCTCACTGCACCCTTCGCCTCCCAGGTTCAAGCAATTCTACTGCCTCAGCCTCCTGAGTAGCTGGGATTACAGGTGAGTGCCACCACTCCCGGCTAATTCTGGTATTTTTAGTAGACACGGGGTTCCACCATGTCGGCTGGGCTGGTCTCGAAAGCTACACGGCTCTTCACTCGATGACTCAGTGAGGGTGGGAGTTAGTCTCGGAGGGCTGCTTCCATGCCGTGGGACCTCATGAGAGACCACCCTCCTCCCTGGCACAGAGCTCTATCCTTGCACTTCCTGGTTCTGGGGCCCAACTGCCGAGTCACCATGAGTTGCTCCTTGGAGAGGGGCCAACCCCCCTCATCTCTTCCGCCACTTGCAGCCTCCAAGGTAGAGATAGACCCTTGCGGGGGTCAAGGGGAAGCAGTGGGGGCCCCACAATGGGGCTGCCTGAGGTTCCCAGGGAAAGGTGGCCCCTTTCCTTCGGGAAGCCACTCCTCACCGTGGGCTCTGGACTCCTCAGCAGACAGGGGGCCTGCACTATGGCTCGCTCCCTCGAGAGGTGCCGAGTTGCTGCTATAAGAACTTTTCCCTCGGCGTTCCCAGTGCCTTGAGCTCAGCAGGTCCCCAAGTGGCCTAGTACCTCCCGCTAAGCCTGCATCTCCCCCCCACCCCCATCCCCATCACTGACTCAGCGACAACCCCTGCACATCCCACCCCAGTCATTCTCCAGGTATTCGCAGAGCACCTGCCACGTGCCAAGCCCTGTGTGGGGCTCTGCCCTTGGGGAGCCCCGGGGTAGTTCCTGAATCTTCCTCAAGCGCATTCCTCCCCTCCACCCTGTCTATCTCCAGTCCTTCAGGCCAGGGCCCTGTGATCCTAGGCCTGGACACAGCAGTGTGGGCCCCTCCAGTCCACCCTCCCCCCGCAGCCAGAGGCGGCTCTGTAAACCTCACAGACAACTGGGCCTCCTCCGCTTAAAACTCTCCACAGAAAGCCATTAACAACCTACGTGTTCCTCAGAGAGGGGCTGGTTAAATAAAGGGGCTCCAGTCCTCAAGTGGACAGCAGTGCAGCCATTACAAAGAATGAGAGCTGAGAGTGGCCTGATAAGAGACCCCAACACACTGTTTCAGTGAAAAGAAGGCAGCGGCAGGGTAGAATCTCCTCTGGGCATATTAGGGCCTCAGTTTCCTCCTCTGGAAAATGGGGACGATGCTACCCACATAATAGGGTTGTGAGCAATCAAACATGATAATGCAGGCAGTGGGCTTAATGTGGTACTGGACCTGTAGCAAACATGAGCTGCTATTATCTCTGTAAAGAAGATTGAGCCTGGGCAACATAGTGAGACTGTATCTCTATAGAAGATTAAAAATTAGCCTGTAGTCCCAGCTACTTGGAAGGCTGAGGTGGGGGGATCACTTGAGCCCTGGAGTTTGAGGCTGCAGTGAGCTATCATCGCGCCACTGCACTCCAGCCTGGATGACAGAACGAGACCCTGTCTCAAAAAAAAAAAAAAAAAAAGAGAAGAAAGAAAGGAAATTGCACACACACACATGCACTCTGCCTGAGCAACACAGTGAGACCATGTCTCAAAAAAAATAAAAATAAAATAATAATAATAATTTTAAAAAAAACTAAAAGAGTAGAATTGGATTGTTTGTAACACAAAGGAATGATAACTGAGGTGACGGATACCCTACTTACCCTGATGTGATTATTACACAATGTATGCCTGTGTCAAGATATCTCATGTACCCCATAAATATATACACCTACTATGTGCCCATAAAAATTAAAAATTAAAAAAACTTTAAAAAAAGAAAGCTCTGGAAGGATTCCAAATTCATCACAATGTTTCATCTCAAAAGTGTGGGATGGGGAGAGGAAAATCCCTTTTTCACTTTACACCCTGTATCAGTTGACATTTAGAAATGACTTTGTCATGATTTTCTAAAGTGACAATTTTTAAAAAATATTCAAGAGCTTCCCATCATAAGCCTGTGGATGAGGCCTAAAGCCATCACCTGGGTCCACATGGCCCTGCAGCTGGTGGTGCTGCCGTCTCCCATGGTGTGTCCCATGCTCCCACGGCGTGTCCCATCCTCCCACAATGATCTACCCAACCACAGGGTGCCACACACTCTCTCTCACCTCCTGGCTCACAGATGCTCAGGTCACACTGCTGTTCAGCCACCACACACCAGCCCCTTCCTTCCTGACTCTGAAGAACATCATCTCACCTCTTCTAAGGGTGGAGAGTAGGCCAGGAGCTTAGGAGCTGAGAGTGAGGACTCCAGTCAAACCTGGGTTCGAGTCCTGGCTGCACTTCTTAGTAGCTACATTTTCTTGTGCAAGTCACTTTGCCTGTGAGTTTCCTCCCCTTTAAAATGGGGATAGAAACCTAACAACTGAAAAGTACGAGTGAGAGTCCTTGTGGCAGGAAAAGAATAAGTGCATGACAAACAGCACACAATGTTGTTTACTGTTGTTATTATCATTCCAGGGAATAAGAGGAGGCAGTGGCAGGGCCTTGAATGCCAAGCACAAGGCTGGGCGCTTTACACACAGTTGGTTCTTAATTGACCCAACAGCACAGTGACGCAGGGACTGTAACTGCACCCACTTTACAGATGGGATCAAGGTTCAGAGAAACTAAAACCTTGTCCAAGGCCACACAGCAAGTGAGTGCAGCAGAGCTGGGATGCTCACGGTTCAGGAGAGCAGTGTCAGAACCTACCTCTGGTACCCCGCCCACTGTGCCAATGACCCCATGGTCCAAAGCAACACAGGGGTCAGAGGGCAACCTATGATCTCATCGCCCACATCTTAGACCCTCCAGGGAAGCAGAAGCATCACAGAGCAGTCAAAAACTACAGGTGGGGCCGGGCACAATGGCTCATGCCTGTAATTCCAGCACTTTGGGAGGCTGAGGCAGGTGGATCACCTGAGGTCAGGAGTTAGAGACCAGCCTGGCCAACATGGTGAAACCCCATCTCTACTAGAAATACAAAATTAGCTGGGCATGGTGGCGCATGCCTGTAATCCCAGCTACTTGATAGGCTGAGGTAGGAGAATCACTTGAACCCGGGTGGTGGAGGTTACAGTGAGCAGACATTGTGCCATTGCACTCCAGCCTGGGCAACAAGAGCAAAACTCCATCTCCAAAATATGTATATATATATACAGGTGGCCCGGGGCCAGAATGCCAGGTTCAGATGCCAGCTTGCAACTTCCTAACCATGCAGCCTTGGGAAATGGGAATTGGTGTGATTGTTCCTACATAATGTGGGGTTCATTGTGAGGAAGCGTGATGTCATATTTGTAAAGTGCCTGGCACATAGAAAGTGCTCAATATCTAATTGGCTATTATTATGATTTCTGTGGAAGACCTTGTTCAGACACTTGCCCTCTTTTGCAGTCACTTTGACAGTTAGGCAAAAGCCTCCAAAATGCCTACTACATGTGCCATGCCCTGTGCATGGTCCTGAGGGGTGTTGTCTGGTGGAGTTGATTAGGAGCCAAGGCCTACAAAAGCCCCTTTACAGGGAAAGAACCCAGAAAAGACAAGGATATCACTATGGACTGAATGTGCATCCCCCACCCCAGATTCACATGTTGAAGCCCTAATCCCCAGTGTGGTGGTGTTTGGAGGTGGGCCTTGGGAGGTGATTAGGTTTACATAAGTCATAAGGATGGAGTCCTTATGACGGGATTAGTGCCCTTATGAGAAGAGGAGGAAACCAGAGCCCTGTCTCTCTCTGCCATGTGAGGACACATTAAGAAGGTGGCCGTTTGCAAACCAGGAAGAGAGTCCTCATCAGACACTGAATCTGCTGCCACCTTGATATTGGACTCTCCAGCCTTCAGAGCTGTGAGAAATAAATGTTCATGGTTTAAGCTGCCCAGTCTATGGTATTTTGTTACAGCAGCCTGAATGAACTAAGATACATGTCCACCAGTTAACCCCACTCTAAGATACTTGCCAATACAATTAGCTTAGAAAAAGAGGGTTGGGTGTGGTGGCTCACACCTGTAATCCCAGCACTTTGGGAGGCTGAGGCAGACGGACTGCTGGAGCCCGTGAGTTTCATACTTTCCAGGGCAACATGGTAAAACACCATCTCTAAAAAAAAACACAAAAATTTGGCCAGGTGTGTTGGCTCATGCATGTAATCCCAATACCTTGTGAGGCAGAGGCAGGAGGATCACGTGAGCCTGAGGAGTTTCAGACTAGCCTGGGCAACATGGTGAAACCCCATTTCTACCAAAAATACACAAAAGAAATTAGCCAGGCATGATGGTGTGCACCTGTAGACCCAGCTACGCAGGAGGCTGAAGTGAGAGAATCACTTGAGTCTGGAAGGTTGAGGCTGCAGTGAGCCATTATCACAGCACTGCACTCCAGCCTGAGCAACAGAGTGAGACTCTGTCTCAAAAAAAAAAAAGGAAAGAGGCCAGGTGCGGTGGCTCATGCCTGTAATCCCAGCACTTTGGGAGGCCAAGGCAGGTGGATCACCTGAGGTCAGGAGTTCGAGATCAGCCTGGCCAACATGGTGAAACCTCGTCTCTACTAAAAATACAAAAATTAGTCAGGCATGGTGGCAGGCACCTGTAATCCCAGCTACTCGAGAGGCTGAGGCAGGAGAATCACTTGAACCCAGGAGGCAGAGGTTGCAGTGAGTGGAGATCATGGCACTACACTCCAGCCTGGGTGACAAAGTGAGACTCTGTCTCAAAAAAAAAAAGAATAGAAAAAGAAATTGAAGAATAAATGGAATTAGAAAAGAGAAGGTAAGAGTATTATTATTGGCCAGGTGTGGTGGCTCACACCTGTAATCCCAACATTTTGGGAGGCAGAGGCGGGTGGATCACCTGAGGTCAGGAGTTCAAGATCAGCCTAGACAACATGGCGAAACCCCATCTGTATTAAAAGTACAAAAATAAGCCAGGTGTGGTGGCACATGCCTGTAATCCAAGCTGCTCTGGAGGCTGAGACATGAGAGTCGCTTAAACCTGGGAGGTGGAGGTTGCAGTGAGCCAAGATTACGCTACTGTACTCCAGCCTGGGCAACAGAGCAAGACTCTGTCTCAAAAAAAAAAAAAAAAAAAAAGAGTATTATTATAGTATTTGGTATAGGTATAAGTCTGGGAAATCCAAGAGAATCTACTGCAAAACTATTAAACCAAAAGCAAATTAAGTAAAGTGGCAGGGAATTAAGTTAACATTCCCAAATCAATTATGTGTATATATACCAATTGCAATTAGAAAATAAAATGAAAGAAAGCTTAGCATTATTAAAATATCAGCCAGGGGCAGTGGCTCACACCTGTAATCCCAGCACTTTGGAAGGCCGAGGTGGGGAGATCATGAGGTCAGGAGTTCAAGACCAGCCTGGCCAATATGGTGAAACCCCGTCTCTACTATAAATACAAAAATTAGCAGTGTGTGGTGGCAGGCACCTGTAGTCCTAGCTACTCGGGAGGCTGAGGCAGAAGAATCGCTTGAACCTGGGAGGCAGAGGTTGCAGTGAGCCGAGATAATGCCACTGCACTCCAGCCTGGGCAACAGAGCAAGACTCTATCTAAAAAAAAAAAAAAAAATTATTCATAAATCAATCTAGAAGTTCAATGTGATCCCAATTAAAAAAAAACCCAAGTTTTTTTTAACTAGGCAAGTCAATTTCTAAATTTGTAAGTAAAAACATATGAATAAGAGTAGCCAGAGAACTCCTAAAAAGAAGACTAATGAGGGAGAAACAGCCCAACCAGACAGTAAACCTTACTATAAAGACACAGTAATTAAAACTGTGTGCTATTGGCACATCAGTACATCAGGGGAACAGAATAGAGTCCAAAAGTTGTCCTGAAACATATGGGAATTTACTATATAATGAAGATGGCAGTTTATACCAGTGAGAAAAAGGTGGATGATTTTTAAGATGGAGCTAGGACCAACAATCTGCCATCAGAAAACAAAGCTGGATCTCAATCTCACTATATATGCCAATAAATTACAAATCAATCAGATTTAAACCACAAAATACTCAAACAATAAAGCTCTAAAAAGGGGAAGAGCTGGGCGTGGTGGCTTACGCCTGTAATCCCAACACTTTGGGGGCCAAGGCAGGAGGGTTGTTTGAGTCCAGGAGTTTGAGACCAGCCTGAACAACATGGTGAAACCTCATATCCACAAAAAATATATATATGTATGTGTGTGTGTATATATGCATATATGCGTATATATGCGTATATACACGCATATATGCGTATATATGCGTATATATACGCATATATGTGTATAATGTACATATATGTGTATGTGTATATATGTACATATGTGTGTGTACATGTGTGTATGTGTGTACATATGTAATGTGTGCATGTGTACATATGTAATATGTGTGTGTGTGTGTGCGTATGTACATGTGTGTGCGTGTGTACATATGTGCATGTGTGTACGTATGTACATGTGTGTAGATATGTACATATATGTATACATGTGTATGTGTGTACATATATGTGTGTATGTGTGTATATGTACATATGTGTATATATGTACATATGTGTGTGTACATATATGTGTATATGTATTTATATATGTATATATGTGTGTATATGTGTGTATATATGTATATATGTGTATATGTGTATATATGTGTATATATATGCATAAAGGGGAAAAGATAATGAATTTTCATATCTCTGAATGGGGAAAGCATTCCTAAACATGACATAAGACCTAGAAACCATTTTTTAAATGATAAATCAATCTACATAAAAATCTGATATGGCTCAATAGACATCATAAACAAGTTCAAAGGACAAACAAAGAAAAATAATTGCAACTCATATGATAGGTAAGGGTGTTTTTTTTTCTTAGCATGTATATAATAAGCTCCCATAAAATAAGAAAAATGACAACATATAGTTTACAGAAAAAGCAAACAAATGGCTCGCAAACATATGACAAGATGCTCAACCTCACTCATAAGATAAATGCAAATTCAAACCATACCAGCCACCCAACAACAGCAGATACACGTTCTTCTCAAGTGCACATGGAACATTCTCCAGGATAGACCATATGCTACACCATAAAACAAGCCTCAATAAATTTAAAAGGAGTGAAATCATACAAAGTATGTTTCCAACCACAATAGAATGAAGTAAGAAATCAATAACAGAAAGAAATTTGGAAAATTAAAATATGTGAAAACTAAACAACACGCTCCTCAATTACCAGTGAGTCAAAGAATAAATCACCAAAAAGCTTAGAAAATACTTTGAGATGAAAGAAAATGAAGATACAACATATCCAAATATATGGATGTGGTAAAAGAGAACTTAAAGGGAAATTTCTAGCTGTAAAATCCTATATTTTAAAAAAAGGAAACCGTCTAGATGTGGTGGCTCACGCCTGTAATCCTAGCACTCTGGGAGGCTGAGACAGGTGGATTGCTTGAGCTCAGGAGATGGTGAAATCCCCATCTCTAAAAAACACACACACACACACGAAAAATCGTCAGGCATGGTGGCACCTGCCGGTAGTCCCAGCTACTCGGGAGGCTGAGGCAGGAGGACTGCTCAAGCCCCGGAGTTCAGAGCTGCAATGAGCCATGATCGTGCCACTTACACTCCAGCCTGGGCAACAGAGCGAGACCCTCTCTCAAAAAATAGAAATAGGCCAGGTGTAGTGGCTCACACTTGTAATCCTAGCACTTTGGGAGACCAAGGGGGGGCGGATTGGAGGTCAGGAGTTCAAGACCAGCCTGGCCAACATGGTGAAACCCCATCTCTACTAAAAATACAAAAATCAGCCAGGCGTGGTGGCAGGTGCCTTGTAATCCCAGCTACTTGGGAGGCTGAGGCAAGAGAATTGCTTGAACCTGGGAGGTGGAGGTTGCAGTGAGCTGAGATCACACCATTGCACTCTAGCCTGGGCAACAAGAGTGAAACTCCATCTCAAAATAAGTAAATAAATAAAAATAAAAATAAGAAAGATTTCAAATCAATAACCTAAACTTCTACCTTAAGACACTGTGAAAAGAAGAGCAAACTAAACCTAAAGCTATACAAGGAAGGAAAGAATAAAAATTAGAGCAGAAATTAATGAAATAAAAAATAAAAAGCAATAGAGAAAATCAACAAAACCAAGAGGTGATTCTTTGAAAAGATCAACAAGATTGACAAACCTTTAGCTACACTGAACAAGAAAAAAAGAGAAGACTCAAATTACTAAACTCAGGAATGAAAGGGAAGACATTATTACTAACCTTAAAGAAACAAAGATTATAAGAGACTACTATGAATAATTCTATGTCAACAAACTAGATAACTTAGATGAAATTCCTAGGAAAAAAACACAAATTATCAAAAATAAGAAGAAATAGGCTGGGCACGGTGGCTCACGCCTGTAATCCCAGCACTTTGGGAGGCCAAGGCAGGCAGATCACCTGAGTTCAGGAGTTCAAGACCAGCCTGGGCCACACGTAAATGGTGAAACCCTGCCTCTACTAAAAATAAAAAATTAGCCGGGCGTGGTGGCACATGCCTGTAATCCCAGCTACTCAGGAGGCTGAAGCAGGAGAATTGCTTGAACCCAAGAGGCGGAGGTTGAGGTGGGCCGAGATGGCGCCATTGCACTCCAGCGTGGGCAACAAGAGTGAAACTCCGTCTCAAAAAAAAAAAAAAAGAAGAAGAAGAAGAAGAAGAAGAAGAAATAGAAAATTCAAATAAATCTAAAGCAAGTAAAGAGATGGAATTATTAATTTTAAATCTTCTCACAGAAGCAGCCCAGGCCCAGATAGCTGGACTGGTGAATTCTACCAAATTTTTAAAGAAGAAATTATACCAGTTCTTCTCTAGGAAACACTTCCCAACTCATTTTCTGAAGCCGGTATTACCCCGATACCATAACCACACAAAGACATCACAAGAAAAGAAAATTACAGACCAATGACTTTTATGAAAATGAATATATATATTACATGTATATAAATCTTCTACAAAATACTAGAAAACTGGATCCAGCAACATATGAAAAGAATTAGATGCCATGACCAAGTAAGACCGATGTCAGGAATATAAAGTCGGTTTAACTTTTTTTTTGAGACGGAGTCTTTCTCTGTCACCCAGGCTGGAGTGCAGTGGCACGATCTCGGCTCACTGCAACCTCCACCTCCTGGGTTCAAGCGATTCTTGTTCCTCAGCCTCCCAAGTAGCTGGGATTACAGGTGCCTGCCAGCACAGCCGGCTAATTTTTGTATTTTTAGTAGAAACAAGGTTTCGCCATGTTGGCCAGGCTGGTTTCGAACTCCTGACCTCAGGCAATCCTCCCGCCTTGGTCTCCCAAAGTGCTGGGATTACAGGCGTGAGGTACCAAGCCCAGCCAAAGTTGGTTTAACTTCTGAAAATCGATTAATGTGATACACTATACCAATATAATAAAGGTCAAGAACCAGGTAATAATTCTAATACATGTAGAAAAAAGCATTTGACAAAATTCAACACTCCTTCATGACAAAAACGATAGAAGGGAACCTCCTCACCCAGATAAAAAGCAGCAATGAAAACCTCACGGCTAGGCCGGGTGTGGTGGCTCACACCTGCAATCCCAGCACTCTGGGAGGCCGAGCCGGGTGGATCACCTGAGGTCAGGAGTTAGAGACCAGTGTGGCCAACATGGTAAAATCTCATCTCTACTAAAAATACAAAAATTAGCTGGGTGTGGTGGCAGATGCCAGTAATTCCAGCTACTCAGGAGGCCGAGGCAGGAGAATCGCTTGAACCCAGGAGGCAAAGGTTTCAGTTAGCCAAGATCGCACCACTGCACTCCAGCCTGGGTGACAGAGTGAGACTCCCATCTTAAAAAAAAAGAAAAAGAAAAGAAAGAAAAGAAAAAAGAAAAAGAAAACCCCAGAGCTAACATCCTACTTAACGGTAAAAGACTGCGTGCCATCCCCCCAAGATCAGAAATGAAAAGAATATCTACCCTCACCACTTCTATTCAAGATTGTACTGGAGCTTCTAGCCCGGACAATTAGGAACGAAAATGAAACATAAGGCATCCAGATTAGAAAGGAAGAAGGAAAACTCTCTTTTTTTGCAGATAATATGATCTTATATATAGAAAATCCTAAGAATTCCACCAAAAAATCAGTAGAACTAATAAATGAGTTCAGCAAGGCTGTAAAGTACAAAATCAATACACAAAAATACATTGTATTTCTATAGGTTGGCAATGAAGAATCCAAAAATAAAATTAAGAAGGAAATTTATGATAGCATCAAAAGAATACTTAGGAAAAAGATTAATGAAAGTATAAAACTTATACTCCGAAAACTACAAAAAAATTTTGAAAGAAATGGAAAGACATCCCGTGTTCATGGCTCAGAAGCCTAAATATTATTAAGATGGCAATACTCCCCAATTGGTCTGCTCCCTATCAAAGTCCCAGCTAGTTTCTTTGCCAAAATTGACAAACTGATCTTAAAATTCATATGGAAAGTCATGGGACCCAGAATAGCCAAACAGTCTTTAAGAAAAACAAAGTTTGAGGACTCACACTTTTCAATTTCAAAACTGTAAAACAACAGTAACAGCATGGTACTGGTATAAGTGTAGACTTATAAACCAGTGGAGGGGAATTCAGAGTCCAAAAGGAAACAATCACATTGACAGTCAATTGATTTTATGCAAGGGTGCCAAGACAATTCAAGGGAGAAGAAGCTGGACACCTTCCTCAAATCCTGCATAAAAATCAACACAAATTGGATCACAAACCTAAATGAAAGAGGTAAAAATAAAAAACTCTCATAAGAAAATATAGGCATAGCCGGGCGCGGTGGCTCACGCCTGTAATCCCAGCACTTTGGGAGGCCGAGGCGGGCGGATCACGAGGTCAGGAGATCGAGACCATCCCGGCTAAAACGGTGAAACCCCGTCTCTACTAAAACTACAAAAAATAGCCGGGCGTAGTGGCGGGCGCCTGTAGTCCCAGCTACTTGGGAGGCTGAGGCAGGAGAATGGCGTGAACCCGGGAGGCGGAGCTTGCAGTGAGCCGAGATCCCGCCACTGCACTCCAGCCTGGGCGACAGAGCGAGACTCCGTCTCAAAAAAAAAAACAAAAAAAAAAAAAACAAAAAAAAAAAAAAAAAAAAAAAAAGAAAATATAGGCATAAATGTTATGACCTTGGATTATGATTTCTTTTTTTGTTTGTTTGGTTGGTTTATTTGTGTTTGTTTGTTTATTTGTCTGTTTGTTTTGAGACGGAGTCTCACTCTGTTGCCCAGGCTGAAGTAAAATGGTGCGATCTCAGCTCACTGCAACCTCCGCCTCCCGAATTCAAGTGATTGTCCTGCCTCATCCTCCTGAGTAGCTGGGATCACAGGTGCCCGCCAGTGCGCCTGGCTAATTTTTGTATTTTTAGTAGAGACGGGGTTTCACCATGTTGGCCAGGCTGGTCTCTAACTCCTGACCTCAGGTGATCCACCCGCCTCGGCCTCCCAAAGTGCTGGGATTACAGGTGTGAGCCACCGCACCTGGCCAGATTATGATTTCTTAAATACAACACCTAGAGCACAAGCAACAAAAGGAAAAATAAACTGCACTTCATCACAATTAAAAACTTCTGTTTTCCAAAGAACAACATCAAGAAAATAAAAGTACAACCCACAGAATAGGAGAAAATATTTGCAAATCATATATCTGACAAGAGACTTGTATCTACAATATATAAAAATCTCTTACAGTGGCTCATGCATGTAATCCCAGTGCTTTGGAAGCCAAGACAGGAGGATCTCTTGAGGCCAGGAGCTTGAGACCGGCCTGGGAAACATAGTGAGACCCCTACTAAAACTTTTTTAAAAATTAGCCAGGCGTGGTGTTGCATGCCTGTGGTCCTAGCTACTCAGGAGGCTGAGATGGGAGGATTGCTTGAGCCCAGGAATTTGAGGTTACAGTCAGCTATGATCACAGCATTGCTCTCCAGCCTGGGTGGCAGAGTAAGATCCTATCTCTACAAAATTAAAAAAAAAAAAATTAAGTCAGGCATGGTGGCATGCACTTATAGTCCTAGGTACTTGGGAGGCTGAGGCAGGGTGATCACTTGAGGCCAGGACTTTAAGACTAGCCTGGGCAACATAGTGAGACCCTGTCTCTAAGGAAAAAAATAGATTACATTAATCATAAAAATAGGCAAAGAACTTGAATAGACATTCCTCCAAAGAAGATATACAAATTGCCAATAAGCACATGAAAAGATGCTTAATGTCACTAGTAATTAGGGAAATACAAATCAAAACAGCCAAGTACAATGGCACATGCCTGTAATCCCAGCACTTTGGGAGGCTGAGGTGCGAGGATCACTTGAGCCCAGGAGTTCGAGACCAGCCTGGGCAACACGGTGAGACCCCATCTCCACAAATTTAAAAAAAAAAAAAAATTAGCCAGGCGTGGTGGCACACACTTTTGGTCCCAGCTGCTTGGGAGGCTGAGATGAGAGGATTGTTAGAGCCCAAGAGTTTGAGGTTGCAGTTAGCCTTGGCAACAGAGTGAGACCCTGTCTCAAAAAAAAAAAAAAAAAAAATCAAAACCACAATGAGATGCCACTTCACAGACACTAGGATGGATGGCTAGAATCTAAAAGACAAATGTTGGCAAGAATGTGGAGAAATTGGAACCCTCAGACATTGCTGATGGGAATGTAAAATGGTGCAGCTGCTTTGCAAAACAGTCTGGCAGTTCCTCAAAAAGTTAAACACGGAATTACCATATGATCTAGCAATTCTACTCCTAGGTACACACTCGAAAGAAATGAAAAACATATGTCTATACAAAAACTTGTGCATGAATGTCCAGAACAGCATTACCCATAATAGCCAGAAAGCCCAAATGTCCATCAACTGATGAATGGATAAATAAAATATGGTATATCCATATGATAGAATATTATTTGGCAAGAAAAAAAAATGAAATATTGATCCATGCTACAACATGAGTGAATCTTGAAAACATTATGCTAAGTGAAAGAAGCCAGCCACAAAAGAGCACACTTGAATGATTCCATTTCTATTAAATGTCCAGAATAGGCAAATCTATAGAAACAGAAACTAGATTAGTTGCTGCCTAGGCCTAGGGAAGGGAAGTTTAGGGGGAAGTGGGGAGTGACTGTAATGGGTGAAGTTTCTTTCTGGAGTAATGAAAATGTTCTAAATTTGACTGTGGTGACGATTGTACAATTCCGTGACTCTACTAAAAACCACTGAATTGTATACTTTAAATAGATAAATTGTATGGTATGGGAATTTTATCTCAGTAAAGCTGTGATACACATTTTTCAAATAAACTACACTGGGGGCCACTGTTCACCTATCAGATTGGCAAATTGCACTTATGCAATTTATGCTGGTGAGAGTGAGGAGAACAGAGGGCGTGGTGACACCAGCACAATCTCTCTGAAAGACAATTTGGCAATACCTATCACAATTACACACCCACCGGCCCTGCAAGGTGGAATTGATCCTAAAAGAACACACAAACACAAGGCATATGATTGAGGATATTCATTTGTGGAATTGTCTAGAACAAGCAAAAGCCTGGAAACAACCAAAATATCTGTCCTTAATTAAATAAAGTGTGACTACCATACATGCAGTGGAATACTACGCAACCATGAACAAGAAAAGTGCAGCACAAATAAATGATCTCTGAGGTACACTGTCAAGAGAAAAAAGTCAATTGTGTGTGTTGGACAGGGTAGAGTGTGTGCTATCATTTGTCTAAAAAAAAAAAAAATTCTGGCCAGGGATGATGGCTCATACCTATAATCCCAGTACTTTGGGAGGCCAAGACAGGAGGATTGCTTGAGCACAGGCATTCGAGACTAGCCTAGGCAACATAGTGAGACTCTGTCTCTACAAAAAAATAAATAACTGGCTGGGTGTGGTGCATGTGCCTGCAGTCCCAGCTCCTTGGGACACTGAGGTGGGAGGATCGTTTGAGCCCAGGATTTCGAAGCTACGGTGAGCATGATTGTGACACTGCACTACAGCCTGGGCAACAGAGTAAGACCCTGTCTAAGAAAAAAAAAAAATTCTTTGCAAATATGTAATATTGAGTCAAGTGCAGAAGCTAAAAATATCAACACCTGGCATTCCCATCATTATTGAAATTCACATTATGCTAAAAAAATTGTTAATATACATGCTTATATATGCTTGGATCTCCCTGGAAGGATACACCAGAAATTTTTTCAAGTGGTTGCCTCTGGCAAGGAGACCTGGGTGTGAGAGAGGCTTACTTTTCCCTGTCGTGTGTGTGTGTGTGTGTGTGTGTGTGTGTGTGTGTGTGTGTGTGTGTGTGTTGATGTCTTTTCTTTCCTTTTTAAGAAAAAACACAGGCTTACCTGGTTTCAAATCCTGGCTCTGTCTCTCATAGCTGGGCAAGTTGCTTCACTTCTCTGAGCTTCTGTTCTCTGTTCTGTAAAGGGAGGGACAATAGGATTAATATCCACCTTGTGAGGTTGGTGTGGAAGATGAAATAAGACAGCACAAGCTCAGGGCCTCCCCCTGTGCCTGGCTCCTAGCAAGTGCACAGTCCCTGTTTGCCATTCATCTGTTACTATGGACACGGCAGTGCACTGTAACAGGGACCACCAGAGAGCCTCAGAGCAAGTGTTCCAAGGACCAGCATCTCCTCTGGCTGGGAGAAACTGGGAAAGGCTTCCTAGGGGAGGCAGCATTTGCGAAGGGCTTCGAGGACAAGGATTTCCACAAGTAGAGATGAATGGGGGCCACATTCTTGGCAAAGGGGGCTACACAAGCAAGAGGCCGGGAGTGGGAAAGCCCGGGACAGCCACTCAGTGGTGCACTCCTGGGCTTCTCCAACAAGATTTAGCTGAGCACCTACTGCGCCCCAGATGCCGTAGTGGGAAAAACAGTCAAAAGCCATGTGGCTGGGCTGGCCGAGGGAGGAACTACTGAAAGTATCGTGACAAGGATAACGAGGGGCCAGGTCCACGTGCTCATAGAGCAGGCCAGGAAATGGAGGCTCAGAAAGGGAGAGGGGCCATCCAAGATCACACAGCAGGTTCCCAATTTCTGAACATAGCCTCTCTCAGCTCCACCCTCTCCTTGTCCCCTAGACCTGGAGAAGAGAAAGTCCAGAGGGGTCCTCCTGCCACGCCCTCATCACGGGGTGGACACAGAGGCCAAATAAACCAGGGGCCCCACAAGGAGGAGGGACAGTTGGTCCTCAGAGGATAACAACAGCTACGGCGTCACCATCACGGTGCTCCTGGGTGGCGGGCACCATGCTTACGAGCTCAGTGAACCACCCCAACCCTCTGTGGTGGGCTCTGATTTGCAGATGAGGAAACTGAAGCACAGAGAGGCGGGGCTGCTTGCCTGATGTCACACAGCTCATAAGACACAGCACCAGGAGGCAAACCCAGACTATCTGGGTTCCACCGTCTCGTACCCCAGAGCCCATTCCTCAAAGGAGGCCCCGGCAGGGCATCTATCAGTGATCGCATCCTCTCAGAAGGGCCCAGGGTGGAAGCTGTTCTCAGCCAGTCCTGGAATGCCTCCTGATAACAGTACCCCAATGGCAGGGGAGAGGTGGGAGGCGGGGCAGGGAAGAGCAGTGGTGGGTGTAGTATCAGGCCTGTGCGGGGATGGAGGGGGAAGGCGGTGGGCAGGGACTTGGCCCATTAGCAGCCATCCTCTCCCTGATGGGAGAGCCGAAGGACTTGTCAGGCACCTGCCATGCACCACGCTCATCACACCATCGCACAGATGAGGAAACTGAAGCACAGACAGGTTAAATGGCGTGCCTGAGATCCCAACTCTTAGCAGCCGAGTGACAATCCCTAACGCTCTGCATGTCTCCCTAACCGGGACGGCCACCCAGAGCCCCTGGGAACCGCCCAAGGAAGGAGCCTGGGCTCCTCTTGGCAAAACCCAATGTCACCAGCTGCTCTGGTCCAGGCGGGGGTGGAATGGGGTGTGCTGATGGGGGTGCAGAAACCCACACTTCTCCCCTTCACATCCTCCCGCCCGGGGTTCACGCTCCCCTCCAATGTTCCCAGCAGCCCTGTAGCAAGCTGTGGCCACACTCGTTTTACATACAAGGCCACAGGGGCCCCAGGAGGCTGCCCCAGCCAGAAGGCAGACAGCCAGGATACCAGCCAGATCCGAGGGACACCAGAGCCCATCCTACCCCACCTCCCCTGTGAGGAGCACAGCAAGGGCGACCCAGGAGGGAGCCTGGGTGCAGAGGCGCAGGCGGACCAGGGTGCCAGGTGGGCAGGGCCTTGTTCAGAGCGAGGTCTGGCCAGAGTGTGTTCCGGTATAACTGGGTCACTGCTGGCCCTTGGCCTAGGCACGAGGGGGCCCGGGGAAGACCCTGAGAGGGATATGTTCAATGCAAGTCACGAAGGCCTGCAAAACTGAGAGCAGGGCCAGGAAGCTTTTCTCAGGCCCCTGGGAGCCGGCGGTCAGAGAACAGTGGCCCTTCCCACAGTGTCTTGTCAGGGACCGTCATCTCCAGCTCCAAAGGGCCAGAGGGGCAAGAGGAGACACCTAAACCATGGTGGCCTTCCCAGAGGAGGGGGTATCTCAGCTGAGGCCCAAAGGCTAGGCGGTTTGTGAAGAGAGGGTGGGGAGTGTGATCCAGGCAGGTGGGATGGCTTTGACAGGGCCTGCAGCTGGGACCGCTTAGAGAAAGGCGAGGGAGCTATGTCAATTTCAGTCCTGCAGCCTCAGTTTCCTCAGCGGCAAAATGGGGGAAAGACTGGCACACCAGGGTGGCGCTCTCTTCCCTATACCCACTTCCCACCATCTCTCCCTCCTCCGAGCCCCCACACCCTGGAGTGAGGTCACTGAGAAGGAGACAGCATCTAGGGACTGGTGAGTTGGAGGGGTTAGGAGGCTTCGCAGACCCCCCCACCCCACCCCAGGAACCATCCCAGAGTCTGTCACCAGGCCGCCCCGTAACGGGGTGGGTAGGGCAGCTCACAAGGCCAGGGGGTCACAGCCTCAACCCCCAGGAGCTTTCGTGGGCCCTTCTCCTTGGCAGCTGAGGAGGCTAAGGCTCAGAGAAGGGGGCTGCCGGGCCTTGGTCACACAGCAAGACCAAGGCCTGCCCTGGAATGAGGGTGTGGGCTGGGGGCAATGGCACTGAGGATAAGATTCTTGGGGCACCAGGCCCCAGAGCACTGAGCTGAGGAGAAACTGGAAGAGGAGACAGAACCTTGGGGCCCAGCCTGCTGAGGGCTAACCACCACGTGGCTGAATGGAAGGCTTCCATGAGAATCACTGTGCGGCCAGGAGCAGTGGCTTGCACCTGTAATCCCAGTGACTCAGGAGGCCAAGATGGGAGGATCGCTTGAGGCCAAGAGTTTGAGACCAGCCTGGGCAACAAAGTGAGACCCCCATCGCTACAAAAAAAAAATAGAAAAAAAATGTAACCGGTCATGGTGGTGCCCAAGAGTTCCAGCTACTCAGGAAGCCGAGGTGGGAGGATTGCTTGCACCCAGGAGTTTGAGGCTGCAGTGAGCTATGATTACACCACTGCACTCCAGCCTGGGCAACAGAGTGAGACCTTGTCTCAAAAAAATAAATAAAGACATAAATAAGAGCTAACCTGGGCTTCAGCATCTCTGCCTGCACACAGAGACCCCAGCATCTCTACCTGCACACAGAGACCCCAGCATCTCTACATCTCTACCTGCACACAGAGACCCCGGCATCTCTACCTGCACACAGAGACCCCGGCATCTCTACCTGCACACAGAGACCCCGGCATCTCTACATCTCTACCTGCACACAGAGACCCCGGCATCTCTACATCTCTACCTGCACACAGAGACCCCGGCATCTCTACCTGCACACAGAGGCCCTCAGCAGCACTCCTGCCCTGCCCCTGCTCAGTGTCAGGAGAGGATCACAGAGAACACTGAGGTGGCAAGTTTTGCTCTCTCCCAGCCGTAGGTCATCTTTCCGAGAGCCCCCAGCTGCCCCACCCCTGATGGGTGATGGCTGATGTGCCTTGTGGAGATGGCCGCCAGCCGGCCCCTGCCCATGGCACCCACTGTTCCCTGCCAGCTGCTTTGGGAACACACAGTGCCCCCTCCTCCCCGCCCACACCCATGCAGTATCTCCCTCCAGGGACACTGGTGGGCAGGAGCGCCTAGTGGCCAGGGCCCTCCACACGGCCCAGCCTGAGCCCCAAACCCACCCCCTGGCCCCGTTCAAGCCTGCAGGTGGCCTGCCCCTGGCTGTGTGGTCACAGGAAGGTCAGCCTGCCTTTACTCATCCATGAAATGGGTCTCTGGCAGGTATCAGAGGGAGGAGAGGGCATCCGAGACAGGCTGGGGACGGGTGATCGTAAGATGATAAAAACGATCGACACTCCAGCCTGGTGATCACAGGACCAAGGCCAAACTTGGATGGAGGGGGCCTGCCGCAAGCTCCCATCCCTTGACCCTCCCTTAAACTCGTAACTACCCTCTAGCTTCCAAGCCTTTGCACATATTCTTCCCCCCCTAAGCTCCACCACCCACCTCCCCTTTCACTGCCCCACCATGAACTACAGTGTACCCTTTCGGCCTGACCACAGGCAGTACCTGACCTTGCCTGCCCCCCCACAAGCTGAGAGAGGGACCGCCACCCTTTTCTGGGCTAATGTAGCCTCCACCACATAGGGATTAAGAGCTAGACTACCAGGATTCAAAACCTAGCTCTGGCCCTTCCTTGCTGTGTGACCTTGGGAAAGTTACTCCACCTCTCTGTGCCTCCACTGCCTCTCCTGTCAAATAGTGATACACATCATCTACCTCAAAGGACTGTTGTGAGGATTAAATAAGTTTATATCTGTGAAGCACACAGGACTGGACCCAGACCCTAGCAAGTGTGCCCTAAGTGTTTGCTATCAGTCAAAAGAGTAGGAGCAGCTATTCTTTGTTGAGCACCTACTATGTGCCGGGCCTATGCTAGGCATCCTACTTGAATGATCTCACAATAGCATGACAGCGGGGGCTATTATGAACCTCGCTTTATGGCAAGGAGGGGGAAGTCCAGAGACATCAGTTGCACCATCAAAATATATCTGGGAGAGGAGGGGATTTTTGCTGATATTAAGAAGTTAGGCCATTAGATGGTGGCTCACGCCTGTAATCCAGCACTTTGGGAGGCAGAGGCAGGAGGATCACTTGAGTCAGGAATTGACTCAGGAATGACCAGTCTTGGTAACATAGAGAGACCTCATCACTACAAATTAAAAATTTTAAAAACTAGCCAGGTGGGGTGGTATGCGCCTGTAGTCCCAGCTACTCAGGAGGCTGAGGTGGAAGGATCGCTCAAGCCCAGGAGCTTGAGGCTGCAGTGAGCTGTAATTGCACCACTGCACTCCAGCCTGGGTGACAGAGTGAGACCCTGTCTCACCAAAAAAAAAAAAAAAAAAAAGAGAGAGAGAGAAAGAGAAAGAAATTGTTCACATTTTTTACATGGACTTTAGTTTTATGGCTACTTTTTAAACACAAGAGTCCTTGTCTTTTAGAGATACACACTGAAATATTTCACACGTGAAATAAGATGCCTGTCATTTGCTCTAAAATGACACAAGATAGGATGGGATAGAACAGGTGTGGAGGAGGCAGGACTGGCCATGGGTAGTGGTGCTTGGCTCAGCGATGGGTTCATGGGGTTCATTCTATGAACATGCCTCCAGAATAGAGTGGGAAAAGCAAGATTAACTTAAATGATGCAAAGAAAAAAAAAATGCTTGGCCCTTTGACCCTCCCAATAACTACGCCCAGACTGAGCGAACCGCCACCCCCTAGACTAAGGCAGCAGCCACCTCACTGGTCCACCCACCTCCACCCTCAGCCCCCAGTCTGCTCTTCACACAGCAGCCAGGTGCACCCAGGACCCTCGTGTGACCCCATCTCGCTCCAAGTCCAAAGCCTGCGTTTTAGATGGCTCAGGTGCCCTCCCTGATCCGCCCTCCTCTCTCCATTCTTCCCCTGTTCTTCCCCTTTCTCACTCTGTTCCCCTGGCCCCCTCCAGTTCCACCAGCACTCCAGGCTCTCCCCTGCCTCGGGGTCTCCCCACTGGCTGTTCCCTCCCCAGGGAGCTGCATGGCTCCTCCCTCCCCTCCTTTGTTGTGAGCTTCTTTGAGGTGTGAAGCCTTCCCTGGCCACCATCTAATTGCGACCCATCCTCCACGAGCCCACCAGCAGGCCCACCCGCTTCCCTGCATTATGGATTCGTGGCCCTTACCGCCTTCTTACGGGCTGTGTGTGCAGTTTCCTTATTTGTTGTGTTCTTCTGTCTCCCCCTCTAGAATGTGAGCTTTGCAAAAGCAGGGATCTTTGGTTGGTTCCTTGCTATCTGCAGCTCTAGAACATTGTTGAGCACAGAAAATATTTGTGGGATGGATAGACCGACGGATGGGCCCCACCTAGGGCCCCACAGGAATAAGAGGTGGCAGCCCTCGGCCCCAGATCTGTCCAGTCCCACAGCCTATGCCCCACCACTGTGCCCTCCTGCCACCTGCCTGGTCCATCTCTGCGGCAGAGCTTCTGCCCACCCTGGCTTACACAGGGCAGAAGCAAGTCTGAGACAACTCCAGGCCCTGATCCCCACCCAGCATGGCCCAGGCCAGGAACTGAGGTCCCAGAGGATGTTTGCTGAGTGAGCAAAGAGTGAGTGAAGAGTGAGCAAGGGGCCGTGCGCGTGCCAGGGCAGCCAGGACATGCCTGGTCCCGTGTCCGCGGCGCGAACATGCTCAGGGACAGTAGACTCAAACCGGCTCTGCCAGTGGGGCTGGGGTGGAGACGGCAGGCCGGGGCGGACACCGGCAGACATGGAGGGGTGCACTGGGGACGGGGCCTGCAGCCCAGAAAGGGCAGAAGCCCAGCAGGGGGGCCACGGAGCTCCTACCAAACTCACGCCCTGGAGAGCACAACTGTCCCAGCCCTGACCGCTCTTCTGCTTCCTCCCAGGCAGAAAAGGGGCCTCTATCAGACCCCAATCCCTGGCCTGCACTGTAGGGGACTGGATCCCTTCCCAATGGGACCTGTGCAGGGCCTGGAAGCCCTCCAAGGAAGCGTACTGCCTGGAAGTGGGTGGCGCCTGAAGAGGGCAAGGAGAGGTGAGCCCTGGGCTGTGCAGAGACCACCCGGTACGGAAACCCTGATCTGTCCCAAGGTGCTGGGGAGACTTGAGTGAATCCACGAGCCCTTCTGGACTCAGTTTCCCTGTGTGGAAAGTGGTGTTGGGTATGGATTCCAGGACTGTGAATCCCAAGGTGCTGAGTTACCTGAAAGGGGCCACTCAGCCCTCCAGCCCCTTCCCAAAGCCCAGCTCTGGGGTGACCACGGCCAGAGCCCGGGCCCACACACATGCCCTTACTCCCCACAAAAACAACAGCGATCAAAATCCTTACTAACTACTGAACACATGGCGTATGCAGGACATCAGTTCGGCACTTCACACTCAGTCTCATCGGCTCCTCCTGCCAGCACTGTGGGGTAGGGACCGTTACTGTGCCCAGCCTCCTCCTCTCAGGCTGGCTAATACAGAGCAGGGAACCCTTCTGAAATGTCAGTTTGAACCCTTCGTTCCTGCTTAATACCACCCACAGAACCCACACTCCTGACACAAAGGCCAAAGTCGTCACAGGGGCCTCCAAGGCCCTCAGTGGCCTCCACCAACCCCATCCCTCCCCTCGCTCTACTCCATCCACACCAGCCGCCTGCCCCTTCCCTGAAAAGCCAGCACACTCCTGCCTCAGGGCCTTTGCACCTGCTGTTCCTGCACTGGCAGCACACTCCACCCTCACCTACACCCTCACTCCCTTGCCTCCTTCAGGTCTTCAGGACTCAGCCATCTGCTCAGACAGGCCTTGCTCGACCACCTGTTTCTTGATACACCCAGCCAACTCTGCTCTCCAAGTCTCAGCTCCAAAGCCACT
This sequence comes from Homo sapiens, assembly GCF_000001405.40. NCBI lineage: Eukaryota > Metazoa > Chordata > Mammalia > Primates > Hominidae > Homo > Homo sapiens. Next base: position 37,357,706 of record NC_000020.11, on the reverse strand, counting down.
TCCTCACAGAAAGCCTCCCTCAAACCCCAGTCCAAGTGAGGATCTTCAACTTCTGCTTCCTAGCATGGACCGACCACAGCTCTGATGACATAACTCACTGTGTGAGAACCTGTCTCACGGGGACGGGGGCCACTTCTGTCTTCCCTATAATTTAATACTCTGCAGCAGGTGTAATATTCAAAACAATGAACAGCTGGGATGCTTGGGTACCAGTGGGTCAGAACAGACACTGGCCAAAGGCACACAGCCTAGCATGGAGTGAGTACCTGATCATGGATGGATGGATGGATGGATGGATGGAAGAGCAAGCAGGGCACCCACAGTAGGCCTGGGACTTGCCTGAGAAGGTGGCCCAGAGAAGAGAAGGGCCCATCCGAGCTCACAGCCAGATGTTGGCCAGGGCAGCTGTAGCCAGCCCAGCCTGTCCTCCTGCACAGCCCGACTTTCGTTTCCCACCCTCTGTGTCTGAGGAAGCTCCTTCTCCCCAGGGGAACTGAGTGAAGAGAAGGGGCAAGCAGTCCCCTGCTCCCCAAGGACAGGGGCTCTCAAGCTCCATCCGCCCTCCACAAAGGGGCTTTGTCCTCTGTGCTGAGAGCCCAGGGTAGACCGGAAGCCGCCCCCCACAGCCCAGCAAGTCTCAGTCCCCGAGCCGGCTGGGGCAACAGCTCTAGACACAGACCCACGAGGCGGGCAGAGTGCTGGCACAGCTCTTCACAATATCATTTCACTCTCTCAGGAGCCGTAGGAGGGAAGCTCTAGTGTGACCCCCATTTTTGCGGATGGGGAAACTGAGGCTCTCAAAGGCCAAGGTCTGCCAGCCAGCAGGTAACAAAGCCTGGATTCTAATCCAGGCCCATCTGGCACCAGTGCCAACAGCCACGGCTCTCAACTCCCCCTGTCTAGAGTCCAGACCCTCCAGGTTCAAGAGGGCAGAGGGGGTCTTTATGGAGGCAATCAGGCCTAGCCCTTCACCCACGTCGGGGAGCTTTGCCCTGGTGAGGTTTACCCAAAAAGGAAGGGAGGCCGGGCCCTAACCCCAGAGCCCTTGCCCAATGCCCCAGGCGCCTTGGGAATCTGCCAGTTGGGCTGCAACACGTCTCCACCACTTCCTGCCAGGCAGGCGTCTTCGAGGAAAGGATGGACAGGCAGAAGGACCCAGGGGCAGAAGCTCCCCACCCTGCCCCCCACCACTCCCCTGTCCATCCCAGACCTGGCCATTTCCCCTGCCAGTGCCTGCTTCTCTCCAGGCCCATCTGTTCTCAGTGCGGCCACCAGGGCCACCTCACTGAAGCCACACTGACCCTGACCCAGACACTACCCAGAATGTGGGATACATTACTCTCATCCAGTAGCCCTTCCTCACTGCCCGAGGAGCAGGCCCCCAGGCCCTCTACCCATTGGCACCAGCCAACTGACCCAAGTCAAGACTCCATGGCTCCTCAGACCTCCAAGAGGAGCTGCTCACAGGGCACCTTCAGGCCCTTTGTCAAGCTCTATCTCCCCTCAGAGGTCCCTCCCATCCTTCCGGTAAGTCAGGGTACCTCCTCCCCCAGGAAGTCTTCCCTGACCCACTCCCTCCAAGGCCCCAGGTCAGCCCCTACCTTTTGCCCCAGGGAGAGGTTTTAGATCCCTGTCTTGAACCCTGTGGGCTGCCTTTACTTGGCAAAAGTAATTGAGCCTCTGAGGCCGGTCTGATCCTTCTCTGTCCTCCACACCTGCAGCAAGAGTCTGGCCTCAACCTGCTCTGCTCTCATCACCCCCAGGCCCAAGCCTGAGTGCCCTGTGAGGGTTTGAGGCTCTGCCTGATCAGCCAAGCCACCTTCTAACCCCCTTGTACCTGGCCTGCTGCTCCCCACCTCCATGGCTATCCACACCGCCTGGCTACTTCCTACCCCCAGACATTTTTGCACACGGTCCCTTCTTCCCGGCCCACCCTCACCCTTCTTTTTTTTCTCATGAGCTCCTGCTCATCCTTTAAGATCCAGGCCAGGTATCACCTCCTCCGGGAAGCTCTCCTGGCATTGTGCTGGGTTGCCATAGTTCATATGGCCCCTACCCCATCGTGCCATAGGGAAATGACTGGAGTCTCTCTGGCTCCCCCAGAATATAAGCTATGTCCCAAGTACATCCTCAGGGTTCCCAGCACCCATCACAAGGCCCAGATATCACCGGTGGATAACAGAGAGTCCAGCTGCCAACTCCCTACCCAGAGAACCCAGGGGCAGAGCCCAGGAGCCACTCCCAGTGGCAGCACTGAGTCCTATTTTGCCCGCGATGCCCACAGCTCTAAGGTATGGGTGGAGTGGGCGGAGGGGGGAGCTCGCTGCAAATGGCCAACTGGTAACCAAACCCACTCCGTTTCTAAAACTAGGGCACAGGAGAGAAACGGGAACAGCAGTATTGTCCCCAAATAGAACTATGTCTCATCTGGTTCCGGGGCCTTCGGGAACACCTGGCGGGGTGGGGGTGGGGAGGGCAGGAGGCTGCTCCCGAGGCTTCAAACACAAATCTAAAGTTTAGAGGGCAGGGGAGTCAGCATCACCCAAAATCACCACAGTTGGCGCTGAGATCCTGCCCACTTCACCCAGCGCCAGTCCAAATCCCCACATTATGGGGTCCTCTCCCACTTCACCCACCTGGCTACAGGGTGCTCCCCAAACTGTGCCACCTCCAAGCCTGTGCTCACGTGTATCCTCTACCCAGGATGCTGCTCGCCCCTCCTGCCAGTCAGGATCCTACCCGTCCTCACAGCCGTACCCATTAACAGTGACACTTTCTATAAGCCTGGCATGGGGAGAATGAGCACATCAAGCCTTCCCAACAGCCCGGTGAGGAAGACTCCTTACCCCTTCTCATAGGTGGGAAAACCAAGGCTCAGAAAGAGAAGCCACCACCCGGGGCACGCGGCAGCAAAGGCAGGCAGACGCAGTGATGTGGCAGGATCTGGGTGCTGGCAACCACAGGGCACCCAGAAGGCCTGGTGGGGATTGGTGCAGTCTCCCAACCAGGCCCAGCCTTGAGGACTTGGCACAACTCAGGGACAAAGTCCACAAGGCACAGCCCTGGCCTCCCAGGCAGAATAAGAAGCCAGACCTCACCTCCCCGGCCCCTGCCCCTGCCCCTGCCTAGGGTGGCTTCTAAGAGACTGAGGAGACACACTGGCGGGATAAGATGGAACTGTCTCCCCAACGACATGCACAGAGCATGGCACAGATGAGAAAATTGAGTCCTGGAAGTCCGTCCCTGCAGCTGTTGAGTGCTGCCTCCAGGCCAGGCCTTGAACTAAATGCTTTATGGAGATGACCGTACCCAGTCCCCACCCCAGCCCCACCGGGTGCACACTTGTTACCCTCATTTCCCAGATAAAGAAACTGAGCCTCAGCGAGGGGAAGCAACTGACCCATAGTCCCAGGGCAAGCAGGTGGACAAGGAGGCTTCAACCCAAACTAAAGGCAAGAAATTAGGACCTTGATTGAGTCCCTTCTCAGGTTCTAGGCCTCAGTTTCCCCATCTGGAAAGCAGAATGCGCCCCAGGAGACTTCTGGCTGTGACATCACATTGTGACCTGGCGGATGCTATTTCCTTTCTCTCCATTTTCCCATCTGGATAACGGGGTGGTCTTTCCCTTCTTCCCCAGGTTAATACAAATTGCAATAAAATAACACGCACCGAGCACTTACTGTGTGCTGGCATTGCTGAGGGCGTTGGACACAAGACTTCATCCTTGCAACAAGCCCATGGAGTGGGTTCTACCACTAGGCTCATTTTTCAGATGGGGAAACTGAGGCACAGAGAGGTTAAACTGACTCACCAAAGCCACACAGCTAGTGGGTGACAGCAGTTGGGGGTAGAGGAGAAGTCTCCCTGTCTTCACGCTGCCCAGTGAGGAACTGTGGGGAGGGCTGGAGGGCTGATCAAGGGTCTGTGGAAGTAGAGAAGGGCTCAGCCCAGATGAGGCGGGGCAGGCCTGGCATGCCCAGGAAGCCCTGGGTTCAAATCCATGCACTGGATGACCTTGGGCAAGTCCCCTGGCTCCTGAGCTTCCTCTTTGGTGAAATGGGGCCGGGACCACTACCCCGCGAGGCTGCTGTGAGCATGAGACAACCATTTGCCTGGCACTGCAGAAGGGCTCAACTCCGTGCTGGAGGAATGAACGCTGGCTGAAGGGACCGCAAGGGCTCACGGTGGCTCATTGCTCCTTCAGGGTCCCGGGCGTGTCTGGTCCTCCCTTCAGAAGTGGGAGGAAAACTGGCCCAATCTGCCTCTTCTCTGATTTTTAGAAGGAACCCTCCAAGTCCCTTCAGGGCTGCGTGACCTCAGGCAAGTCACTTTACCTCTCTGAACCTCCAAATCCTCCTTTTGACAATAAGTCATGCTATTCACAGAGCTCTGGGAGAGGGGTCCCAGACTGAGGAGACGGGCTCAGTGGGGAAAGAGTCCAGTTCCATTTGCCCAAGCAGAGAGAGCACCTGGCATGACCCTGATTTGAGGTCACAGTTTCCTCATCTGCCACACAAAGTTTATTACGGTGGTTCTGTCTGTCTCAGCCCCGCTGGTGCTGGGGATGCACAGAGGTAACTGCGGAAAGTTCTTTGTAAACTGTAAAGGGCTGTGCCCTTGGGAATATGGTGATTACCATATTCCCTTAGAGGCAAAAAGAATCCTATGACTTGTCATCTAAGGCAGAATGTGTCAGAGCCATGAGGAAGGGCAAAGAAGGGACAAGGTGAAGTTCAATGGTGGATGTGGGGTCAGTACGGACTCATGGACTCAGTGGGACCGGCAGGGTGTTCACAAAGGCCTTCTGAAGCCAGAAGCATCTCAGCCACTGGAGGGGCACTGAGAGGGAGGGCACACCAGGCAGTGGGAGCTGCAGGGGCAAAGGTGTACGGCCCGATAACCCCGGTCAGGCAGGAAGATAGCTACGGCTCGAAAATATGGGAGATGATCGGGGCAGGGCACCTCTAGGGGCCCTTGCTGTGCAGCCCGAGCCCATCCCCGCCTCTCTCTGAGCTTCAGCTGCCTCCCAAAAAACAAGAGCAGGAACAGCTCTCACCTCTCAGGTCAAACGGGCAAGGATGCTCAAATAGAATCCACCTTTGAAGAGAGGGGCCCATTCAGTGAGGCGGAGGAGGGAGGCCAGGGTGAGGCATCGGGGCACTGGGAGGCTATGCTAGGTCACAGGCAGGCAAGGGCTAAGGCAGAAGCCAGGCTCAGGGAGGCTGGATGGAGCTGGTGGCTTCCAATCAATCCAGTCACCAAGCTTGTCTGTTTCTAGTTAATCTTCCCCCCACTCCCTTCCCCACAGAACAAGCCAACCACAGACAAAGGTGGCTGGTCACTGCCCTGGTGATTTCCGGATCAGTTGGCCTGCAGAGGCCCAGGATTCCTGCCTCATCAGGGAATCACCTTTCTAACAGGCACTCATAAATATCATGCACTTCCTGAGTGCAGGCCCTGCGCCCAAGCACTTGGCACACATTGGCTCATCGGATCTTCATGCCATCTTGTCAAAGCTGGTGCCAGCCTCGTCATCCCCATTTCACAGATGGGGAAACTGAGGTTCTAAGCTGTACAATCATACACAGCAAACAAGTGGCCAAGCCACGATTTGAACCCAGAACCAACTGGCTTCAAAGGCTTTGCTACTTCCATTACCCTTTATGGCATAAGCATCCGTGAGCACCCAAGATCCCAGTACTCCACGTCCGACTGGGGAATCCATCAGCCAGAGCTGGAACCCAGAGAGTCAGGGTCACCTGCCCCCAGCACCGCACCCCTCCTATACCTGGGAAAAGTTTTAGCCACGTTGGGTACACACTTAATAAGAATCAGATCCCCACAAATTACTCAGCAGCCAGAAGTCTGGGCTCACACCTCACTTTGCTGCACTCCTGTGGCCCCAGCTCTTAGCCTCTCTGAGCTTCAGTCTCCTCTTCTGTGTAACAGGAATAAGAGTTTGACTGCTCCCAGGATGGAGCAAGGGACACAATGGGTCACCTTATTATGACCCAGCTCAGAAGGGCATGACATGAAGATATCGACATCAGACAAGGTAAAAGTCAAGGCCATGAATTTGGGCAAAGCAGCCTAAGAGAAGCTAATCAGACCCCAACAGGGAGGCCATGCTTCCCCAGGCCACTCCAGCTCAATTTCCACTCCCAGCAACTGGATTCTGCCTGTGCCAGCCTCATAGCCCAGCAGGTCCAAGGGTTCAAAAGAACCCGTTCCTAAAGTTTCTCAGTGGGTCCACAAATATCACCACCCACCCACCACAGACATCCCCACCCCTACATGAGCACCAAAAAAGACTCCGCTGGGCCTGCCCCTGGAGCACTCCCCAGCTAGGATCACCATCACAGAGCCTCAGTGGGAGGAGTCCTCACCATACAGATGAGGAAACTGAGGACCAGACAGGAAGGGATTTGGCCAAGATCATTCAACTTCTCCTCCCTTCTGGCTTCTCCTTTTACTCTGGAACTTCTCTGGGTAGTTCTAAGGGAGAAGAAGGACCAAATGGACCAAAGTTGGGGGAAAGTCACTTGCCCAAGGACCCAGAGCAAGGAGTAGGGAGATGGAGGTCTGGCTCCCAGCTCTGAGATCCTCCCCGGTCATCTATCCCTGACTCAGCCTTACCAGGCTGTACTGTGGGAAGGAGGAGGCTGGCTGGCTGGGGAGAGTCCTGGATCGAAGACAAGAGCTCTGCATTTTTCTCCCAGCGTAGATGATTTGCCCTGGGTCTTTCTAGCCTCAATCCCCCCGATCTGTGAAAGGAGAAGGTCAGAATAGATCAAGAATGACAAACTCATGGCACACATACAATACTCTCTTATCCTGTGCCCATGGCAGACATGACTAATCTATCACAGCACTCTTTCCCATGAAGCCAACACTGAGCCTCAGAATGCTTCTCAACACAGCACTCTAGGCCAGGGGGATGAAAGCCCAGAAGCTTCCCTAAACTAGATAATATCTGAGTCCCCAACAGGGAGGAGAATGGGGAAAGAAAAATATAAAATTTTCTAAGCACCCAGTAGATTTGAGCCACGGGGAATACATTAGCTGATTTAATCCTCACAAGGGAGGTGTGCAGAGGCTGAGGTTTAGAGAGACTAAGTGACTTGGCTTTGGACAAACAGCAGGGAATGAGGCCTTGAACACAGGGGAGGCCTCTACTGGGTCTCCCTCCCCCAGGAACAGCGACACGGAGCCAGCCACCAGGTGGGGACCTAAGGTACAGCCTCATACCATCCTCTTGTTAGCCTTACCAGGTACAAGCCCTAGGCCCATTTCACAGCTTCAGAAACTGAATCACAGGACAGGGCATCAGCTGCCAGAGGAGGCAGGACTTGAGCAGGTGCCTGGCCCTCCCCCGCCTCCACTGATTGAGTCCCTAATGTGTGCTAAGCACTTTATTTCTGTCCTCTTGGGACATCCTGGGAACCATGACTCACTATCCTACTTCAGGCATGAAGAAACTGAGGCTCCCCAGAGGAAGTGGCCCCCAGGAGCTCAAGGGGAAGCCAGAGGGGTTTCCCACGGAGATAAGGGGTGGGGGCCATGGAGGGGAAGGAAAGGGTTGTGGGAATCCGAAGGGAGATAGAGATGTGGGGACACACACCGAGGCAGGAAATGAAGCTCCGGCAAAAGGCCCAGAGCAGGGAAGTGGTGGCCTTTTTCAGTGGCTCTGCTGGACTAGGAGTCCAGAGCCTACAGCCAAGGCCTGGCCCTGTCACTTGGCAACTGGGAGACCCTAGGCAAGTGGCTTTCCCTTCCTGGGTCTTAGTACTTACAACCGGAAAATGGGACCAATCACACCGAAGGCAGGCTTCGAAGAAGCGGGGCTGGGGCTAGACGCATGGCATTCTCCCCAGTTTAGCCTCTTCATACACAGAGAAGGCAAAGAGAGGGCAGGGCAGGACTCAAAGTCACCCTGCACATTGGCGGCCTTGGCTGCCAACATCCTCTCCCGAGCCAGCCCTGCCCCAACCGGCACCTTCAGACTCCATGAGATCACCCAGGCAAGGGCTTGACCACAGAGCTAGCAGGGCCAGACCCAGAGAGGCCGAGTGACCTGTCCAATGCAACAGCGCAAAGCAGGTCCCATTTGCCAAGTACCTACCGGTGCCAGACACTGGGCACACAGCCCTCCTTTAACCCTAATCCAACAAGGAGGTATCTGTTGTCCCCATTTTCATGACAAAGAAACTAAGTCTCTCAAAAGATACAGTAAATGATCCAAAGACACACAGCAAGTGGGACGGTCAGAACATAAACCCAGGCCTGTCTGACTCTTAAGCCCTTACCAAACCTTTGGTCCCCATCTCTCGGGCTGACCCCTCCCTGCTCCCTACCTCACTCCCAGCTTCCAGCCACCCAGCATTGCACTTCCCACACCCCCGGCTCTCATCCTCTCCAGCCTTGCTGCTAGTGAACTCCTACTCCACTTCCAAAGCCCAGCCTCAAATACCCGCTCCTCTTGAGACCTGATCTAGGCCTCCATAAAATTTTGGAGTCCAGCCTACAGATCTAGGTCTATCATCAGATCTATTTCTATTGGTCAGCTCTGTACCTCTGGCCTCCAGCTTGGGGCTGTTCACACAGGGGACACCGATCAGCCCCCTGTGTGACAATGAAGGCCAAACTCCTCCCCAGGGCCCACAAGGCCCCAGCATGGTCCAGCCCTGCTGATACACCCCCTCATTCTACCTCTTACCCACTCCCCTTCATTGTGCACGCTCCAGCCTCACAGCTTCCCCCACTGATTCTCCATGACAGCACGTCTTGGCACATACCTCAGGGCCTTTGCACATGCACTTCCTGCTGCCTGGCAAGCCCTTTCCCTAACTCCATGCCTGGTCAACCCCTACATGCCCTCTTCAAGATTCCTGTGTACCCTAGGCCTCTCTCCCTGAGTCCTTATCATATCTGTGATTATATAGTAACTCAACTGGCAACTTGTTTGCAACTTTGCTCACCCTCCAGATTCAAACTTCTGGGAGGCCAAGGACCTGTTCCCAGCTCCCCAGCAAGTATCCAACCAGGCTGACCACACCCCACCACCTCAGGGCCCCTGGGAAGGGAAAAAAGAGCTCCCTCTCCCCTTCTTTGCCAAGTGAACTCTTGCTCGTCCTCAGCTCAGGCCCTGCCACCTTCTAGAAGCCTCCATGACTCCCACAGCTCCCACTCCCTGCTAACCCCAGCACAATACTGCTCAGCCCGAGTTCCAAGTTCCTGGTACGCAGCAGGTGCTCAATACAGGGGTCACAAATGCTTATACATGGGGAGGTTTGAGAAAATGGGGTCAGCTGAGGACCACGGAGATGGGCAGAAGGTCCCTCAACAGGTCACTGAGCCATCTCCTCTCTGGTTCCTGGGGCTTGGGGGAGCCAGACATCCCTCCACCCCACCCCCCTGGTCACAATCAGAGAAGCAAAAGCAGGAACCAGGCTGAGCTGTGGATAAGTCATGCTCCAACAAGAGCTAGGGGACAGGGAGAGAGAGCCACGGGCCTTCCTCCTAGAAGAGAGGGGCCTAAGCTAAGCCTGGCGGGGCAAGGGCAGATAAGCAGCACCTGGAGGAGAGGGCACTCTGGGAGGGACACAGTTTAGGAGCAAAGGCCCAGGGGCACGCGGGAGGGCCTAGGCAGGCAGTCAGCTGAGAGAGGTGACACACTGTAAATCATTTCCTTGGGTGGAAAGACCACATCACCACATCACCAAAAAGGCCTCGTGGCTTTCATTCAATCCCTCAGCAGAGCAGTCTTTTCCGACACTGCTGTGTGTGCAGTCCTGTCTTGCGAACCTCCACTGCCCCATCACTGGAGGGATGCAGGGACAGCCAGACTGTGGTCTCTGAGGTCTGGGCTTTCATTCCAGCTTCCAACTATAGGGCCTTGGTCAAGTCACTTCCCCTCTCTTAGCCTCAGTTTCCCCATCAGCAAAATGAAGATAAACAAGAGTCTGTACCTCCTAAAAGGTGTTCAGTAGATGTTGGCAGCTGTCATTACCACTGGCCCAGTTTTATATGTGGCAAAACTGAGGCCAGAAGGGAAAAGTGAATTGCTTACGGTCACCCAGCTGCTGGCTGGCAGGACGGTGCCAGGGCTATTTCTTTCTCAAGGCACCAACCCATCCTCTTCTAGAATGAACTAGCCAGCAACCTCACATCTCACCCATCTTTCTCAGCCAATGTGTCCAGTGAACAATTCATTTATTGAGCATCTACTACACGCCAAGCCTCTACCTGCAGAAGCGCTTAGAATCTTCGCCTGAGGATTCTCATTTCACGTATAGGGACTTAGAGGGGCAGTCTCTTGGCCCAGGTCACTGGGTGAGACAAGAAGACTCGGTGCCTTGATCCCCCAGCCAGGGGGCTGAGAAGAGGGTCTGCAACAGGACCAGCCTGGCCCACCCTTGAAACCAAGTCTGATCCCAGCTGCACTGTGGCTGTGGCTGGGCCTGGACTTACCCCAGGTGACCCAGCAACCACTGCCCCAAATTGTACAGAGTCCATGAAGTTCAGGAGGTCTTGCCCAGGGGCACACACAGGCTCTGTCCACTCCTAAGTCCACCTGAAGGACGCAGGGGCTGAAAGGATACCACACAGGTGAGCCCCTTCTGTTCACCCCATCCTTCCACCAGCCTAGCAATTCCAGCCAGGCCCACCTGCCACCAATGAGGAACCCAGCTCAGAGAGGCAGGCAGTTGTCTGAGGACACACAGCAGGGCAAGTGGCAGCCCTGGTGGGGACTCAAACCCACCCCAATCCCAGCCCAGGCAGACAGGTGGACCTGGCCCGGTGGCCAACCCCCAAAACTTTTGCCAACTTCTGAGCCGGCTGGTAGCTGGGCCTGCTCAGGGGCGAGGCTGGGGGCTGTGGGCAGGGGAGACCAAACGCAGTCTGGCCCAGTCCCTTCCAGGCCGGCAGCACCAGGCCCTACCCGAGGCCCCACGAGGGCAGGGAGGTCCTGGCAGTTCGGCCTGGCGCCCTGACCCCGGGGCCCCTCAGCCCGCCCTGCCGATCCCCCCACCTCCCACCCGGGGCCGGGGGGCGCAGGGCCGGGCAGCCCAGGCAGAGGCGGCGCCGACTGGCTCAGATTTCAGATTTGGCCTAGACCTGGCCCGGGGGCTAGGGCCCAGCTCGCTGGCTTCTCTGGGGGATCCTATGGGGAGCATGAGCTGGAGGGGGTCCCCACGCAGCCAGGAACCCTGCGCCCCCCCCGCCCAGCCCCCTCCCCCCGCTGCATCACAACAAAAGGCCGCGCCGGGCATGGCCCCGTGCGCCCGCCCGGCGCTTGGGTATCGCGGCTTGGCCCGGAGGGGGGGTGGGAATTGGGGGGGTGGACAGGAGTCCCCGCCGGCCCGCGATCCGACGCCAGGGTGGTCCGGGGCGGGGGCTCCCCCGCGCTGGCCGGGGCGGGGGGTCCGCGGAGGGGCGGGGGGCGCTCACCTGGGCCGGCGGGCGGGCGGGCTCACCGGCAGACGGACGCACGGGAGGGCGGACCGCGGGACGTCCAGCGGGACGGGCAGACGGCGGCCTGGCCGCTCCGGCTCCCAGGCCGGAATGGATTCCGGGCCGGGAGAGACAGATCGAGAGAGAAAGGGAGGAGGAGGAGGAGGAGGCGGCGGCGGCCCGGGGAGGGGAAGAGGAGGGAGGGAGCGCGCGAGCTGGGAGGAGGGGCCCGGCAGGCAGCCGGGAGGAGGAGGAAGGAGGAAGCGCGCGGGGACGGATTCCCCGCCGGTGACCCGGGAGAGACCCAGGGGCGGCCCGAGCTGGGGGTCCGGGCGGGGTGGGGACACCGGGCACAGAAGCCCCGCCTCCCACTCCGCCAGGGCGCCGCACCCCGCGGGCCCCATCCGCCCCCAGGCCAAAATGCCCTCCCCAACCCACCCACCTTCTACGCCCCAGATCCGCCTCTCCCGAAATCACGATTGGTAATAATATCAGCGGGCGTGGAGCGCCCGCTCTGGGCCAGGCGCCATGCTAAGCTGCTCAGGTCGACTTCAGGGTTTAATCCTAACCACCACCTGGCCTGAGCGGCGGAAGATCGCCCCACTTTACAGATGGGGAAACTGAGGCACTGACAAGAACCAGGCCTTGGACTTTAGCCTTGACCTGAGTTTCTCAAAGTAGGGGCTGGGGCAGGAGGGACAGGGTGGGGAGGAGCGACATTTATTTTAATAGTTACGGGTTCATTTTAAGTGCATAAGGGCAAAACATCCCTGGCAGCCCATCGGAAGTCCCCTAGTTCTAATTATTACTGCTTAGGAGGGGCTGACCAGGGCATCTGAGTGGCAGTCACACTTCCAAGTAAGTAAAGAGGCTAAGTACCTCTGAACCAGGGCAGGAAATGTAGCAGAAAAACGGGACATTGAGGAAATGCTGCTTTAGGCCACAAAGACTCCCCTCTTACCCCCTGGCGCAGGCTCCAGGGCTATCCTTTTGGGGCTGGGCACCCCACCCTTGGCTCCTTACCTGTCCTGGAATCCTAGCACAGGGAAAGGTGGGCCTGGGTCCAGCTTTAAATATCACACCTGCCTCCATATTCCTTCTTTGAAAGTTCTCCCATTTCACAGATGGGAAATTAAGGCCCAGACAGGTCAGGCTTCTATTCCCTGGGCAAAGGTCCCTGCTGAGAGGAGCTGGGAGGAGCACCCTAGAATGTGGAAGGCAAAGGCCTCTGGGTACAACATACCTTCCAGGAGACCAGGAATGAGCAAAGCCTTACTCTACACTGATCTAGGTTCGCATCTAGGCTAGCTGCCCCTCTGCTGTGGGGTGGACAAGTCGATCAGCTTCCCAGCCCAGCCCCCTCACCTGTAAAACCGGAGTGAACATGGCCACAGAAGATTCCTGGGAAGGTTGGAACTGACCAGTGTGAGGATGGTCAGGTTGTGCTAGATGAATGGTAGCTCTTGCGGTGATAAACTGAGGCTAGAGGGGAAAGGGGCTGCTTGAGGTGCCACAGCCAGTCAACAGCAGAAGCCAGCCTGGGCTGGTGAAATGGCCGCACTTGTTTGCAAGGCTGGCTTAAAGATTAACCGCAGCTTCCCAGGGCTCAGGGCGGGCCCCCAGCTGGAGGAGCAGGTTTCTCAGCCCTCTTCCATTCCTTAGACATGTCTAAAGGCCTTTACTGGCCATACTGGGCTCGGGGGGGAGGCAGGGACATTTACCCAGTGACACGCTGGAGCTGGCCCTTACCTACTTGCAAGAACCAACTGTGCTCATCTCTTCCCAACTCCATATTCAAGAATGTCACACTGATAGCTCCATGTCAGCCACAGTGGGAGTATTTACCCCTTGGACATCGGAATACGCTACCAATCAAGCCTCTTTTTTCTTCCAGAGAGCTGGTTATTCAATATGTACGAGCACATCACTAAACTCATCCCCAGGAGTTCAACAGAAAATTCTGGGCTTTTCGAGAACTGGGATGACAGAGAGCTTAAAAGCACAGATTTTGGACCAGACCCAGGTTCAAGTCTCAACTCTGCCACTTTGCAGATAATGTAAGAAGCCTCAGTATGCCAACCTGCAGAGTGGGCTAAAGATATCACAGCCCCCAGAAGACGCATGTAAGGATGAAATGAGGTGATGCCCGCTCAGCACATGTGAAATCTCTTTCTCATTCATACCCTACATGCTCTTATCAGAGAGGAGGCAACTTAGACAAGTAAAGGTTCTGCAAGCACAGATGCAGCTTCCCACCTGAAGCCACTGCCGACTTCAAGGGCCTGGCTCAGCGGCTGAGGTTCTCAGGAGGATGTGGCCAGCACAATGGTTCCATTATTGAGCGTTTGAAGCACTCTTTATTTTTAACTACCCCTCTGGGCTTTTGCTAGGCTGTAACCCCTGCCAGGAAGGCTCAGCCCCTGTCCCTGGCTACCTCGCCTTGTTCTTCAAAGTCCAGAGTAAACGCCACCTTCTCCACAACATGCTTCCTGACACGCCCTGATGGAGGCACGTGCTAAGTCCGTTCTGAGTGTGTCTGTCCCCACCCTGAGGGCAGTGACCAAGGCCTGGCCCATGCCCAGCACGGAGCAGGCACTGCCCAGTTGGCCAGGCAGCACACACTGACTTGGGACCTACAGACAAGAGTTCAAGTTCCAGCTCTTCCCTTCAGTGACTATGTGAACCTGCCTTCTCTGGGCCTCAGTTTACTCATCAGTAAAACGAGGGTAACAACCCTGGCAAGTTCCAGGATTGTGCAGTTGGGAGTTGCTGGTCTGGCCTGGTAGATAAGTGACTCTTTGTGCAAATTATTTTGCTTAAAACATTCTTTGTTGGTAAAGCAGCAACTCATTGCTTAATTCCTGCAAATCATCGTTAATGGACAGCAAGCATTTATTGACTACCAACTGTATATATGGCCCCAGGCCAGTCTTAGAACACCAACAGGAACCACTTCCCAACCCAAAAGCACCCAGCAGATGATAGATGCTATTGACGTCAACATTGCTGAGATGGTGAGTGCTGGTTGTATAGTCCTCTGTCTCCAGAAACCTCCTCTTCCCTCCTTCCCTCAACCTGGGTGGGCCAAAGCCACAACTGAGGGCAGGGTGGAGGGGGTAGGGTGAGGCCTGGCCCTCCACGACTGGCAGTGAACCCACGAGCCAGAGTTGTCCCATGACATGGGATCAGAGGTGCTGCCCACAGCACACCTAGTGCCCTGGTGACCCTGGCTCAATGATGGCTGATCTGCTATGCCCAGCCCCAGCCCAGCTCACCCTTGCTGCAGCAGCCAGGAAACTGGACCCATCACAGGCCTCAGTGGGAAACTCCAGAACAGTTCTGCCATTCTCCACATGGTGTGCTGTGAGTGGTCTAGTTGAAGCCACCAGGCTCAGGGCTACAGGACAGGGTGGGTGGGGGATGGGCTCTAGCCTGAGTCTGTGGAATGGGCTTGGCACCTCCCCTGGCACTGCACTTCACAGTTTACACAGAGATGTCGTGCTGTGCAGGCCCTGGTCTCCTCCCCTCCTCTACCTGCCTCCTGCTGTCCCTCCACAAGCAGTCCCTGTCCTGAGGCCTTTGCACTTGCTGATCCCTCTGCCCAGAAGGTTCCCCACCCCCTAGTCCTTGGCTTGGCTTCACTCTTCCTTCCTCCTGCAGTGGTCATTTATTGAGCATCTACTATGTGCTAGGGTCTGTGCTACATGCTGGGATACAGCAGTGAAAAAACCAAGGCTGGTCTTTGGTCTCTAACTTAGAGGAGTCAGGGATGGGCAAGTACAGGGGCTGCAGGGCCCAGAGTGGGGCCCCCAACCCAGCATGTGTGTTGAGGAGAGAGTTGTCTATGGAGAGTTTAGAAGCCTGGGGAGATGGTTGCCAGGTGAAAATGGGACAGGGAGGCAGGGCATGGTGGGTCACGCCTATAATCCCAACACTTTGGGAGGCTGAAGCAGGAGGATCACTTGAGTCCAGGAGTTTGAGACCAGTCTGGGCAATATAGTGAGGCCCTGTCTCTACAAAAAAAAAAAAAAAAAACTAAAAATTAGCCAGATGTGGTGGTGTGCACCTGTGGTCCCAGGTACTGGGAAGGCTGAGCTGGGAAGATAACTTGAACCCAGGAGATCGAGGCTGCAGTGAGCCATGATCGTACCACTGCACTCTAGCCTGGGTGACAGAGCAAGACCCTGTCTCAAAAAACAAGATAATTATAATAACAAACAGGACAGGACAGGTGTGCAGGTAGAGGGACAGTGTGAGCAAAGACAGAGATGGGGAACGCCGCTGCGTCTGCAACTCCATGCAGAAGCAGGTGGTGTTTGCGAAGCACAGCATGGCGGTTGGGCTGGAGTCGGGGAAGTGAGGTGGGAAGGGTGGTAGGGGAACCTGAGGATCCCTGAGTGCCAGGCGTGGCTTCTGTCCTGGAGGTGGTGGGAGCCACGGAGGGTGGTGAGCAGAGCAGGGCCTGGGGAGACATGGAGTGGCGGTCACATTAGGGGACAGGGAGGGGGCAGTCAGGAGGCCTCTGTGCTGAGGAGCAGCGGGGACCCAGCTGATGCAGAAGGCCTGGCTCACACAGGAGTGTGTGCATGGGCATATATCCGTGTTCCAGGAAGTGAGGCCAAACTGGCCGAAGGTGGGAAACCCAAGACACTAGAGAAGCATCCCCAACCCCATGGGAGTCAGGAGCCAGGAGCAGATGAGCTTGTTCTCCCCCAGCGGCCAGCACCGGGAGGGGCGTCCAAAACATGGGTGTCAAAGGCAGAAAAGAAAAATCTGAAAAACTATCAGAGCAAAGAGGAGACATGATCCTGGGGCAGAAAAAAGACATTAGGGAAAGACTTAGGAAGTCTGACTAAAGCATGGACTTCAATTATAATAATGTATCAGACCAGGTGCAATGGCTCATGCCTTGTAATCCCAGCATCGAGGCTGAAGTGGGAGGATCACTTGAGTCTAGGAGTTCAAGATTAGCCTGGGTATACAGTGAGACCCCTGTCTCCACAAAAAACAACAACAAAAAATTAGCTAGGCGTGGTGTGCACCTGTATCCCAGCTACTTGGGAGGCTGAGGCAGGAGGATCGCTTGAGCCCAGGAGGTCAAGGCTGCAGTGAGCCGTGATGGTACCACTGCACTCCAGCCTGGCTAACAGAGTGAGACGCTGCCTCTGAAATTTTTTTAAATAATAATAATGTATCAATATTGTATTGATTCATTAATCATAACAAATGTGCCCCCGTCAGGGAAGAGATGGTGACAGCAGCACCTGAGCAGGTGGCGCCTGAGTGGTGACCTTCAAACGGCATTAACCACTGAGCACAGCCCCACACATTCAAACCCTCACAGCCGGACCTTCTGGGCTGTGTGGCCGGTTCACAGATGGGGAACCTCAGGCTCAAGTGTGTCTCTACCCAGCCCAGAATCTGGAGACAAAACACAGACGTCAAAGGCAGAAAAGACCTGCCCATGTGAAAATGGGGGAGACGCCTGGCCCCACTGGGCTCGCATGACGGCCAAGTACGCTCAACACCTCACTCCCCTCAGGCTGCAGAAGAGGCCCAGAGAAGGACAAGCATTCTCCCAAGGTCACACAGAGAGTTGCTGGCAGGCAGAGCCACCATCCCACCCCAGCCCAGGCCTCCTTCCGCCACATCCCAGAATGTTTGTGAGAAAAGATGAAAGGAGGCTGGGCCCTTGATCTGCCTGGCCTGATGGGAGGGCAGAGGGCAGCCGGAAATCTGCAGCTAGAGCTGTGACCCCACAGTCCACAGGGGGTGAGAAACCTGCCGCACAGAGAGGAGACGGTCACGACAGGAGGGCTGAAAGAATCATTGTAAAAATAATCACCATGGCTCACAGTCCTGGTGCAAGGAGTTTCCTGAGCAGGGAATCGCTTCCAGGGACTCTGGATGTAGCATCTAGTTCATTCTTCACAACGCAACAAGGTAGGAGCTAGCTATTGTTATCCCACCATACAGATGAGGAAACTGAGGCTCAGTGAGGTGACATGACGTGGTGAGGAAGGGCGGGACCTTGAATTCAAACCCAAACAAAATTCAAGCCTTCCTGGCTGGGTGCGGTGGCTCACGCCTGTAATCCCAGCACTTTGGGAGGCCGAGGCAGGTGGATCATCTGAGATCAGGAGATCGAGACCAGCCTGGCCAACATAGTGAAACCCCATCTCTACTAAAAATACAAAAACTAGCTGGGTGTGGTGGCAGGTGCCTGTAATCCCAGCTACTCGGGAGCCTGAGGCAGGAGAATTTCCTGAACCCGGGAGGCAGAGGTTGCAGTGAGCTGAGATTGCACCACTGCACTCCAGCCTGGGCAACAGAGCAAGACTCCCTCTCAAAAAAAAAAAAAAAAAAAAAAATTAAGCCTTCCTGAATCTGGAACTCAGGTGCTGCGGTTCTGTGCTACCCGGGTCTGTGAACCTCAAAGCTCGCATATTTCACATCCAAGAGCAAAAGGCCAGATCCACAGGGGCCGGGCAGGGAACCACTGCTGCCCCTCTGAGCACTGGCCTCCACCTCAATGGAATGCCTCCATCCTCCACATTTCCTAAGCATTGGGAAGATGCAATGTAGCAATGTTTTGTGGGAGTACTTTGAAAAGTAGATAGAAGAAAAAATATTCACACTATACTCCACCCTCAAGGAGAGGAACATTACTCCCCAGTCCCTAGATGTGGGCTGTGCTTGGTGGCTCCCTTCTAAAGAGTTCAGGGTGGAAAGAGGGGTGGGGGCGGTGCCTTTGCAGTGCAGGAA
Source organism: Homo sapiens (assembly GCF_000001405.40). Classification (NCBI taxonomy): domain Eukaryota; kingdom Metazoa; phylum Chordata; class Mammalia; order Primates; family Hominidae; genus Homo; species Homo sapiens. The sequence continues at coordinate 37,339,487 of NC_000020.11, read as the reverse complement.
CCTTACAAACGCTATCTCAGCCAGGTGATCAGGACAACATCAGCAGTGATCGGGCCTGCTGATAACATTTGCCCTTGATATGATGTGATTAGAATGGCATTTTACCTCTGTGGTCTTTCTCCTCAGAACCCGGAACCCCAGTCTAGCCATGAGAAAAGCCTCAGACAGATTCTAATAGTGGGGCATTCTACAGAACACCAGACTAGGCCAGGCACTGTGGCTCACATCTATAATCCCAGCACTTTGGGAGGCCAAGGCAGGAGGATCACTTGAGGCCAGGAGTTCAAGACCAACCTGGGTGACATGGTGTGACCCTATCTCTACCAAAAAACAAATTTTTTAATAAAATTAGCTGGGCATGGGGGCACATGCCTGTAGTCCCAGCTACTCAGGAGGCTGAGGTGGGAGAATCGCTTGAGCCTGGGAGGTGGAGGCTGCAGTGAGCTATGATTGTGTCACGGTACTCAAGCCTGGGTGACAGACTTAGACACTATCCAAAAAATAAAAAATAAAAGGCCAGGCAAGGTGGCTCATGCCTGTAATCCCAGCACTTTGGGAGACCAAGGCGGGCGGATCACAAGGTCAAGCGATCGAGACCATCCTAGCCAATATGGTGAAACGCCGTCTCTACTAAAAATACAAAAATTAGCTGGGCGTGGTGGCACATGCCTGTAGTCCCAGCTACTCGAGAGGCTGAGGCAGGAGAATTGCTTGAACCCGGGAGGTGGAGGTTGCAATGAGCTGAGATTACGCCACTGTACTCTGGCCTGGCAACAGAGCAAGACTCCATCTCAAAAAACAAACAAACAACAACAACAAAAAAAAAAAACACGAAAAACAAAAAACAGAACACCTAACTAGTATTCCTCAAAACTGTCAGGGTCATCAAAAAAAGAAAAGTCCGAGAAACTATCAAAGCCAAGAGGAGACATGATCCTGGGACAGAAAAAGGACATAGGTGCCAGGCGCAGTGGCTCATGCCTGGAATCCCAGCACTTTGGGAGGCCAAAGCAGGTGGAACACCTGAAATCAGGAGTTCGAGAACAGCCTGGCCAATACGGTGAAACCCCATCTCTGCTAAAAATACAAAAATTAGCCAGGCTTGGCGGTGCATGCCTGTAATCCCAGCTACCCAGGAGGCTAAGGCAGGAAAATAGCTGGAACCCAGGAGGTGGAGGTTGCAGTGAGCCGAGATCATGCCACTGCACTCCAGCCTAGGTGACAGATCGAGACACTGTCTCAAAAAAAAAAAAAAAAAAAAAAGGGGACATTAGGCATTAGGGAAAAACTAAGGAACTCCATAGCAAATATGGACTTTAGTTAATAATAATGTATCAATATTGGTTCGTTAATTGTAACATACTATACTATCATGGATATTAATAATCAGGGATTCCCTAGCAAGCCCACTTGAGAAAAAAAAAACTTAATATAACAATAATAATAAGGGAAATTGAGTGTGGGGTATGTGCCATGTTCTAGAGCAAAGGACTGAATTTTCGGACAGGGAGGAAGTTAAGACACTTGTCTGTAAACATTTCCTTCTAAACCCAGGGAAACTTAGGACCAGAGAATAGAAGTGACTTGCCCAAACTCAAACTGCAAGTTTATGACAGAGCCTGGACTAAGATCAAGCTTTCTCAATGTCACAAGAATTCAGTAACAGCCTACTGTATACAAGGCACCAGCCTAGGTCCTCATCATGGTGAAGGCTGGTGGGGAGGTTCAAAGATTTGTCCATGGGTCAACACCTCCCCAAGGCCAGGTCTCCAGGGACACAGACTCTGCCCTTTGAAGGCTCCAAGCCAGAAGAGGAAACAGACCCTGAAACACTATGAGCAGGAGGGCCAGAGAGCGACACACTTTGGTATCCAGGAGACCCAGCCCCACTGCCTGCAACCCTGCAACCTCCCTGTGCCCCACTGAGCTGCTCAGTAAAATGGAACTAAGGATGGTGCCAACTGTCAGTGATGCTGAGAGGTACAACAAGGAGGTGAAATGTGAGACCCTGTGCATTGTGGACACCCAATAAACAGTGATTCTTTTTATTTTTAAGTGTGTTCTGAGTGCTACAGGAGTTCGGGGGTGGGGAGCATTTGTCAGTTTGCCTTGATAGGGGATTCTCGGAGAGTTTACCAAACGAGGGACATTTAGATTGAGTCTCTGCTGGGTGCAATGGCTCACGCCTGTAATCCCAACATTTTGGGAGGGTGAGGCAGGAGGATCACTTGAGCCCAGGAGTTTGAGACCAGCCTGGGCAACACAGCGAGGCCCCGTATCTACAAAAATGATTAAAAATTAGCCAGGCATGGTAGGTGTGCCTGTACTCCAGCTACTCAGGAGGTTGAGGCAGGAGGATCACTTGAGCCCAGGAGTTTGAGGCTGCAGTGAGCCATGATTGTGCCACTACACTGCAGCCTGGGCAGCAAAGCAAGATCCCATCTCCAAAGTAAAAAAATAAAATAGATTGGGTCCTGAAGGATGGAAAGGACTTTGCCACACCGGAAGGATGTGAAAGCTGCGGTCCCAGCTTTCAGTTCTCACAGTCTGGTCCGAGAGAGAAGGGGACACGTCAAGCCACCCTCCCAGGGGATTCCCACGCAACAGGACCTCCCCATTTCCTGGCCTGGATGGCTCCTTTCTGGCCTGCCTGGCCTCTGAGATTCACCAGTGCCTGAGCCAAGGCCACAGACAGCAGGGGAGGGGCAGGGGTGGGGGCACGCACCAGGGCTGAACAAACCCAGGGCTCATCTGGAAAGGAAACCAAACCCTGCCTCCCACTCACCAGCTGAGTGTCACTTGTACAGCTTCCTCCTTCTGTTCCTGTTCAGGAATTACCCAGGCAGGGCTCTGTGGTGGGGCTGGGGGACGGGGGGCTGGTGGGGGAGTGGGGCTGCCCCAGAGGCGGAGCCTGGAGCCTCCTTGGTCTGCTCTGGCCACGCCCAGACTCATCCCCTCTGGCTGGCTGGCCTGCTCCCAGACCCATTTCTCTCCTCAGCAGGCCAGGTTTCCTCCCTCCTCCACACACCTGCCCACGCAGTACCACCATCTCCTCTCTGCTGGTCCAAGCCCCACTCCCCTTTGGCCCAACCCCGGCCCCTCCTGGAAGTCTTCCACAGAGATCCCTCCCAGTCTTGCCTTCCTTATCGTCTTTATCCATTCAGGCCTGCATGTCAGCTCCTGTGCTGGAGCTGGGGACAGACAAGTGAGCAGTGAGTGACCAAGACTGGCACCGTCCCTGCCCTTTGGACCTGGAGCCTCTAATCCCTATGTCTCGTGTGTCCCGCATGCTTCATCCACACCCCAGTGGGAAATCGGAAGCCAGGACTGCAGTCCTGTGCAGCCTCTGAACAGTGTGGCCTTGGGCAAGTCCCTTCCCCTCTCTGGTCGGAGTGGTTTCCATAGCTGCTAAGGGAAGCAGTGCGATGTCCAGGGGGCAGGCTGGAGGGATGGTGATGTCTGCTCCCCCAACCCTTCCTGCCCCAATGTAATGCCCTGCAAATAAAGTTTCCCTCCAAGTGGAACTGGTAAAATGCACACACGGGGCTCTGACTCATCAGAATTTTTTTGCAGAAACAAATATAGGGGTCAGTGGGAGGGACCTGCCGGGTGGCTGAACATCACGGTTAAGAGCAGACCTGGGTTTGAATCCTGCCTCGGTAGCTGTGTGGCCTTGGAGGTCATTAACCCCCGACTCTCACTTCTCTCATTGGTAAAACGGGGATACTTGTACACACCTCATATGGCTGTGTAATGACACACATGCTAGATACCCAGTGAATGCATATTATTATCATTTCTGGTGCAGCCGGACAAGTCCATTAATAAAGTAGATAATTATGACGGCCTTAAAATTAATAATGTAGATCCACATAACTTTTATTTTCTTTTTTAGTTCTTTTGAGAAAAGGTCTTGTTCTGTTGCCTAGGCTGGAGTGCAATGGCACAATCACGACTCGCTGCAGCCTCAACCTCCGGGGCTCAAGAGATCCTCCCACCTCAGCCTCTGAATAGCGGGGACTACAGGCGCACACCACCACGCCCAGCTAAAGATTCATATGTTTTGACATGGAAAGAGTTCATGTCATATTAGTAAATTAAAATATTATAGCATTAATGATGTAACTATTTCTGTCTTTTAAAAAAGTGGGCACAGGAAAAATGGAATAAACACTTCCATGATACTAGCAGTTGCCCTGGGGGTGGGGGATCACCGATGAGCTTAATAATTTTTTCTTTTATGCTTGTCTTTATTTTTTACGTTTTCTTCTCTCTCTCTTTTTTTTTTTTTTTTTTTGAGACAGTTTTGCTTTTGTCACCCAGGCTGGAATGCAGTGGCGCTATCTCGGCTCACTGCAACCTCTGCCTCCCAGGTTCAAGCCATTCTCCTGCCTCAGCCTCCCAGCTAGCTGGGATTACAGACATGCGCCACCACACCTGGCTAATTTTTGTATTTTTAATAGAGATGGGGTTTTGCCATGTTGGTCAGGTTGGTCTCGAACTCCTGACCTCAGGTGATCCACCCGCCTCGGCCTCCCAAAGTGCTGGGATTACAGGTGTGAGCCACTGCGCCTGGGCATTTTTTAAGTTTTCTACAGTGAGCTAATGTTGCTCAGGCAATAGAAAATAGCTTAAGTTAGTTTTATGTATTTATGTGTTTTTTAGACACAGGAGGTCTCATTCTGTCACCCAGGCTGGAGTGCAGTGGCATCATCACAACTCACTGCAGCCTCAAACTCCTGGGCTCGAGGAATCCTCCCACCTCAGCCTCCAGAGTAGCTGGGACTAGAGATGAGCGCCATGACACCTGGCTTGCCTTCCTTTCTTTCTTTCTCTCTCTCTTTCTTTCTTTCTTTCCTTTCTCTTTCTTTCTTTCTTTCCTTCTCTTTCTTTCTTTTCTTCCTTTCTTCCTCCTTTCTTTCCTTTCTTTCCTTCCTTCCTACTTTCTTTTCTTTTCTTTTTCTTTTTTTTTTTAAGAGATAGGGTCTCACCATCTTGCCCACACTGATCTTGAACTGGGCTCAAGTGATCCTGCCACTTCAGCCTCCCAAGTAGCTGGGACCACAGGCGACCACCACCATGCCCGGCTAATTATAAAAAAAAAAAAAAAAAAAAAAAAAAAACTTTTTTTGTAAAGACGAGGGCCTCCCTATGTTGCCCAGGCTGGTCTTGAACTCCTGGGCTCAAGTGATCCTCCTGCTTTGGCCTCCCAAAGTGCTAGGATTACAGGCGTGAGCCACTGCACCCGGCCTATGAGTTATTTTTAAAGTGCCATCTAGCGCCCTCTAAGCACACGGATCTTTGCTTCCCAACTAGTCGGGAAGCCCAAGTACAAGGCCTAGTCCACAGCCCAAGGTTCCTGGGGGCCAAAGTCCTCAAGGCGGCTGGTCATGCACTTGGCCTTTCCGCACCCGCTCTGGGCTGGTCCCTCTGGGGGCACCTGCTGGGGATGCTCTGTGACATCCGTTGTGCATTTTGCACCTGTCGTGGCACCATTGATGAGAAAGAGTGCTACCCCCAGGAGGAAGTGCCCAGTTCTTCTTCGTGACGTTCTGGGATGTCCCCTTCCCCTTCCCCTTCCCCTTGGCCTTGACTCACCCTTTCTACGTCCACACACGTTCCCGGGGTAGGGCAGAAGCGGGTAATGAGGAAGGGAGGCTCCTTTGCACTGGGCCTGGGCTGAGGACACAGCCAGTGTTAGCCCAAGAGGAGCCAGCCCACTGTCTGGTGGCTTCAGCTTCACTCTATCTTAGTTCAGGTTCTCCTGAAGCAGAGCCCGAGACTACTCTTTTGAGAAGTGACCCCAGGAAGCTGGAGCAAAGAAGCAGGAAGGGAAAGGCAGGGAAGGAGAAAAGCCAATACATGGAGCGCTCTGGAGGTCACCGCTGTAGGATCGAGAAGGGACTACCTACCCAGCTGCATGCCAGATCTCCCTCCCCAGCCCTGGCCTCCCTCCAGAACTCTGGACCCATCTGTCCAGTCATCATCCAGACCTTTCCATAGAACGTCCTCCTACCCCGACACAGTATCCCAGAGACTCCACTCATCCCAGGCAGAACATATCTTCTGTTCCCTGAAACTGGCCCTCCTCTGGGATCCCACCCTTTCAAGAACTTCAGCCAGAGAACGGGTGAGGTGGCTCACACCTGTAATCCCAGCACCCTGGGAGGCCGAGGTGGGAGGGTTGTTTGAGCAAGCGAGGTTGAGGCTGCAGTGAGCCATGACTACTGCACTCCAGCCTGGACAACAGAGGGAGACCCTATCTAAAAAAAAAACAAAAAAGAACTTCCACCAGAAACCTGGCATCCCTGGCCTCCCTCCTCCACTCCAACTATCCCCTCCTTTCATCCCCTCCCTGGTACTCAGGTGGGGCCTGGCTCATCCAGATCCCAGCTGTGCCCCTCCCTAATTCATCCTATAACAGTCCTTGTGGCCAAGCTCAGTGGTCAAGCCTGTAATCCCAGCACTGTGGGAGGCTGAGGTGGGTCAATCACTTGAGGTCAGGAGTTCGAGACCAGCATGGCCAACATGGCGAAACCCCGTCTCTACCAAAAATACAAGAAAATGAGCCAGGCGTGGTGGTGTGCACCTGTAATCCCAGCTACTCAGGAGGCTGAGGCAGGAGAATCGCTTGAACCCAGGAGGCGGAGGCTGCAGTGAGCCGAGATCGTGCCACTGCACTCCAGCCTGGGTGACAGAGCAAGACTCCAACTCAAAAAAATAAAATAATGTTAAAAAACAGTCCTTGTGTTCTTCTTTCCAAATCACAGCTCTGATCCTTCAGTGGCTCTCCAGGGGCCTTAGGCCAAAGCTCACACTTAAGAGGCCACCAGGGCCCCGCCAGCCTCTCCAGTCCTACCTCATCTGCCTGCAAGGCTGAACGGCTGAACCTCCACCACCCCTCTTCCCTGCCGCTGTCTCCCCAGTGGGCCCTGCTCCTGCTTGCCCTCTGCTGGGATGTCCTTCCTGTCTCTAATCCCCTGCTAACTCCTGTTCCATTCTTTGGTCCCTCCCCTGACCCCCAAGCCCAGGTCAAAGCTTCGTAGATCCCATCTGCACTCCTCCCAGTGGATGTTTCTCCAGCAGGGAGAGGGTGGGCTGGGTCATCATCATGTTCCGGCATTGCTCAGACCAGCGCTTGACGCTCAACAGGCCCCAACACTTGTTGGGACAGGAATCTCAGGCCTGGATTCCCCAGATCGGCTGGCGCCATGCCAGGCCCATCTCAGCCCCTGTCTGAGGCTAGCACATTAGCTCTGGCTTCCAGAGCAGGAACTGAGCCAGCCACCCTGCCCCCCGTCACACCCTGAGTCTGGCCTCACCTTCTCTCAGGGCCCCGCCAGCTCAGGGAGGACTCCGGAGGCAGGGATCCCCAGGCAGCCCGGAAGGAGCCCAGCCCCAGTGCTGGCTCAGGCCTCAGCCGCCTGGGGCCACAGGCTGTGGCTGTGACCTCTCCTATCCAGATGGTTGGATCTGGGGGAGGCTCCTTCCCACACCCCAAATTTGAACCAAGCCTCGGGCCGCTTGTGGTCCATGCTTAACTTCCCACCACAGCTGCATCCCTGTCATTAAACATCTTTAATCATCTAATGGTGCAATTAGCTCCCTGAGCTTTGAGCTGGCTCCCCTGCAGCCTTCTCATTCCTGGAGGTGTTGGCATCGAGGTTTCCAGGTCCTTCTGTTCAACTCAGCAAACACTCGGGGAGCTCTGTCTGTGGAAGCTTGCCCTCAGAAGTACCCAGCACGTGAAGGGCCAGCCTGGGCAGCCTCCCCTCCCTGCCACAACGTGGGCCAGGGATAAGAGGAGGCATCCATCACCAGCCAGGCCCCTCTACCTGCCAGACAGGCCCAGAGAGGGTGAGTAACTTCCCCAAGGCCACAGAGCCCAGGTCTGGAGATCTGATTGAGGCCTTGGGAGTGGGTAAAGCATTTGTTGAGTGACTGATGGGGGCTCGTTGGTTAATAAAATGCACACGGCCCCTGCCTTTGTGGATTTCACAGGTTGGTGTGAGAGGTGGTCGGTAAAAAAATTGAACCAAGTGATGCAGAAATGCAGAATGTGCTACCTGCTAGGACAGGAGTCAGTGAGGGACAGGGTGAGAAGGATGTGAGGAGTTCTGAGGACAGCAGGTCAGAAAGGCTTCCCAGAGGAAAGTAGCTAAAGCTTGGTTTTTATTGTTCTTATTGCTTTTTAGAGGGTCTTGCTCTGTTGCCCAGGCTGGAGTGCAGTGGTACAGTCCTGGCTCACTGCAACCTCAAACTCCTGGGCTCAAGTGATCTTCCCGCCTCAGCCTCCCAAGCAGCTGGGACTAGAGTTGGGCAGCTAAACCTCGAAGGATGAAAAAGAATGACCATACAAAGATTCGGGAGAGCTAGGCATGGTGTCATTCCAGCTCTTTGGGAGGCTGAGGCAGGAGGACCGCTTGAGCCCAGGAGGTTGAGGCTGCAGTGAGCTATGATCGTGCCACTGCACTCCAACCTGGGTGATAAAGCGAGATCCCATCTCAAATAAAATAAAAAATTAAAAGAAAATGATTTGAGGAAAAGAACATTCAGGGAAAGGCCCTCAAGGTGGGAACTGGTTATATTGGATCTGGATGGAGAATGGGTGGAGGAAGATTAGTGGGAGATGGAACCAGAGCTCTTCACAGGGACTAGAGCCTCCTGGGGTATGGGGAAGGGGCTTGAGCTTTACTTCCAGGCTCTGGGAGACCACTGTGGATGTTAAAGGAGGAGACAGGTGTTGGTGACAAGATGTTAATGTATTTTTTTTTTAATTTTTTGTAGAGACAGGGTCTCCCTGTGTTGTCCAGGCTGGTCTCGAACTCCTGAGCTCAAGGCATCCGCCCGCCTTGGCCTCCCAAATGCTGGGATTACAGGCATGAGCCACCAATGTATGTTTTTGCAAGGCCCTGCCAGCAGCTGCATAGAGCGGGATTAAGGGACGTGGGTGGAGGCAGGGAGGCCAGCAAGGAGGCTGGGATGTCCTCCAGGAGGGAGGGAAAATGTTGCAAGCCTGGCAGGGGAGGTGGTGAGAGTGGATGACTTGAGTGCATTAGGAGGAAGCACCCACAGTCCCTGCTGATGGATGAGGGGTGTGGGCACAGAGAGGGCAGCTCAAGACGGATTCTCAGGCTTTGGGTGGGTGAGTGGAGGTGCATTTACTGAGATGGGGAAGGTTGGGTAGGAGCCCACTGAGGCCAAAAAGTCACGAGTTTGGTTTTGGCCAAATTATTTTGGGCAAACCTGTTAGATATCCATGGAGATGTTGAAAAAAATGAATAATTTAACCAACACTTTTGAACACACTGCATCAGTTGCCAAGTGCCTTATATGCATTAACTCATTGCAACCCATTGGAAAAAGTGCTACAGGTTGAGTCTCCCTTATCCGAAATGCTTGGGACCAGAGGTGCTTCCATTTTGAATTTTTTTGGATTTTGAAATATTTGCATTATATATATCCCTAATCCAAAAAATAAAAAATGAAATCTGAAATGCTCCAGTGAGCATGTCCATTGAATGTCATGTCAATGCTCTAAAAGTTTCATATTTTAAAGCATTTTGGATGGCAAATTTTTGAATTTGAGGTGCTCAACCTGTATCATTATTCCCATTTCACTGATGGTGAAGCTGAGGCTCAGAATATGATGTTTTGTAAAGGATGAGAAAGCCAGGAAGAGCCAGGGGGAGTCCTCATGTCTAATACGCTGCAGGAAGAGGCCTCCAAAGAGGGTTATAGGCTTCCTGGAAGGATGTTGTTCTGGGATTAGATGTTGCTGGGAGATCACGTGAGATAAGTCAGGGCCAATAGTGTCCAGGTCATTGAGCCACCAATCACAAAGCAGCTCCAGCTGACCTCAGGGAGTAAGGTTTCAGGGGAGTAGAGGCGGGAGCTAGACCACTAGAGGTCCTGGAAAGAGTGGGAGGAGAGGTGGAGGCAGCTAAGCCTGGCTGGGGAGGGCAGGGGGGAGACAGACGCCGCTTACAGGGACTGGGGTCCCAGGATACTCTCCTGCCCATCTAGAGCCAGAGACTCCAGGGATTTGTCAGAGACGGACACTTCAGAATAAGAATTTCCTTTTTGAGTCTGGGCGCGGTGGCTTACGCCTGTAATCCCAGCACTTTGGGAGGCTGAGACAGGCAGATCACCTGAGGTCAGGAGTTCGAGACCAGCCGGGGCAACATGGTGAAACCCCATCTCTACTAAAAGTAAAAAATAAAAAAAATTAGCCGGGCATGGTGGCATGTGTTTGTAGCCCAGGCTACTTGAAGGCTGAGGCACAAGAATTGCTTGAACCTGGGAGGTGGAGGTTGCAGTGAGCCAGGATCATGCCACAGCACTCCAGCCTGGGCAACAGAGGGGGACTGTTTCAAAAAAAAAAACAAAGAGTTTCCTTTTTGGTACTGATCAGCAGCTGTGCACCTCAGTCCTTGGTATTATTGAGGGCTGTTTCTTGCCTGCAGCAATTCTCCAATGGACTGAGGACAAGGCAGGGGTCAGGAGAGGGCAGGGTGCCTTACTCTCCCCTCTCCCAGCTCGAGGTGTTCCCACACACATTGGGACTCAGTCAGAGCTGAGAGGGCTGCCAGGCAGCGCCCTTATGCTCCCAGAGGACTCTGGACCTGTAGGAGGTGAAAAAGGCCACAGCCTTGGGTGCCAGGATAGGACAGTCTCTCCTGGCCATGGACGGGCGCCCTCCAAGCTCACAACGAACATTAACACTTTCCCCACCCAAGAAGTCCAGAGGTAGGGAGACCTCCGCCATCCCCTGCAAGTGCATTCTGGGAAGACCCAGACCCAGACTGGGGAAGGGCCTTGCCCAAGGTCTCATCCCATTTGTCCGTCACCTCCTCTCATCAGTGCCGCCAGATGCGAACCCTCCAACATGGCCACCTGCCCCAGAGGCCCTCCTTGGCTCTCCCCTAGGCTTGGTTAGGCCCTGGCCTGTGTTCCCAAAGCCCCTCAGGCCTAATATCCCCAGGCTTGCCACAGCCTATGGTCATAGTCTGTCTGTGTGTCTGCCTAGCCCCACTGATTGGAGGCTGGGGCCAGATCTGATTCACCTGGCATCCCCGATGCCCAGCATAGGGGCTAAACAGGGCCGGGGCGTCAGTGTATTTGTTGAACCCACCTGAGCTGAACTGAACCGCTTGGGCTTTTGCTAAGGGCCATAAGCCTGGATCCTTCTCTGGCTTGAGAAGCAAAGTGCCACATTTCAGGTTCGGCGTTTCTACCAAGTGACTACATAGGAGCAAAGACTCAGGATCCCTGAATGATAGGAAACCACAGGGAACATCAGGCATCCTGCCCTCATCTTCCAGAGAAGGAGGCTGAAGCTTAGAGTGATGCGGGATGAACCACAGGCCTGCCAGCAGTGGGGATGGGTCGTACTAAGATGGCCTCGGCCCACAGGCCCGCCAGCAGTGGGGATGGGTCGTATTCACATGGCCTCGGCCCTGCTCCTGGCTCCGTTTCCATAAATGTGAAAGCCCAGGTTTCCTCGTCTGCAAAACTGAGTTGGACTCGGCAGTCTCTGAAAGCTCGGCCACTGTCCAGTTCCGTGAACTCACAGGCTCCAAGCCCCGCAGCGGGGGGAGGAGAGGCCCTTTCAAGAGGCTGTTTATCATCTTGTTGTACCCCCTTGAGCTCTTGGAGCAAAACATTCCCAAGAAACAGGGTGATTCATTCACAGCACCACTTGCCAGTTCCAGAGAAGAGGCAGCCCATGAAACATACTCTGTGACTTTTAAGGAGGAGAAAAAGACTTTTTTTTTTTTTTTTTTTTCAGAGACAGGGTCTCTCTCTATTGCCCAGGCTGGAGGGCAGTGACACCATCACAGCTCACTACAGCCTCCACCTCCCTGGGCTCAAGCGATCCTCCCACCTCAGCCTCCCGAGTAGCTGGGACTACAGGTGTGCACCACCGTACCTGGCTAATTTTGGGTGTTTTTTTTTTTTTTTTAGAGATGGGGGTCTTGCCATGTTGCCCAGGCCGATCCTCAACTCCTGGGCTCAAACAATCCTTCTACCTTGGCCTCCCAAAGTGCTGGGATTTCAGGCATTAGCTACCACACCGGGCCAGCATTTTTTAATGAAACTTCTCTTTAGCAGAAGAAGGCCAAAGAAGCTGGGACACATACGACTTTTTTTCCTCCCGGAGAACCAAGCTTTTTTGGGAGGAATCTATCATCACCATTTAAGCCTAATTCTCTCAAAACACAAGATGGTACCTTCTAACAACACAAGAGACGACACTGATTTTGAACAATGTGATGGGCTGAACCTGACAACAGCCACTCTTATTGTTGATTGATTGGATGTGGGTTAAAACCAAATTAGATTGGCTGTTTTTGTAGTTCTTGACATGAATCCATGTCAGAACTCTGAGAGTCAAGGAGCAGATGAGAAACTCATGCTAGCTCCTCTTAAATTAAGCAGAGGGAAGCTTGTGGAATGTGTTGGATTGGAAATCTTGCCACCCAAAAAGCCACGGAGGGAGGGAATAGGTGAGTCTGGTTGGGGGTCCTGGGTGTAAAATGGGATAATTGCAGCAGGGTGAATGGCAAGCCTCTGTGATTCACAGAAAACCAGCCTGGAATGACTCCAATAATACAAAGACAGATGGAAAGCACAGTCTCTCATTTTGAAGTCACAGGATATCTATGCCCTGAATTTGGGCCTCCCATAACGTGAATGTTATACTCAAGTCTTTAGAAATTATACTTTGAGTTCCCAACCTCCAGCTGGGTGGAGGTGGGAGTGAGCTTGACTTCTTTGCCCAAGTGGGATGCAGTAAGAAAGCTCTGGAAACCTGGATTCTAGTTCCATGCTGATTCCAAAGAGCTAAGTGGCATTGAGTATGTCTCCAACCCTCTCTGGGACTCAGTTTCCTCTTTTGTAAAATCTTAGGGAAAAGAATGGGTTGAGAGAGAAGACGTAACCCTTAAGGTATGGGCTTTCGGGTCATAGTGCCGGGTTTTTTTGTTTTGTTTTTGTTTTTGTTTTTTGAGACGGAGTCTCGCTGTTGCCCAGGCTGGAGTGCAGTGGCGTGATCTCGGCTCACTGCAGGGTCCCCCCCAGGGCTCTCGCCATTCTCCTGCCTCAGCCTCCCAAGTAGCTGGGACCACAGGCGCCCGCCACCTCGCCCGGCTAATTTTTTGTATTTTTCGTAGAGACGGGGTTTCACCGTGTTAGCCAGAATGGTCTCGATCTCCTGACCTCGTGATCCGCCCACCTCGGCCTCCCAAAGTGCTGGGATTACAGGCGTGAGCCACTGAGCCCGGCCATAGTGCTGGGTTTTAATCCCACCTTTCTTAATGAGGCAAATTGTTTAACCCTTCTGAGCTTCAGTTTTCTCATCTGTAAGGCAGAGACAATAATATCTACCTTAATGAATTTGCTTACAAGTTAAATGACATACTGTGTCCCAAACACATAGCTTACGTCCTGACCCACAGGAAAAGTTTTTTAAAGTTTTTTATTTTTATTTTTTTAATAGAGACAGGGCCTGACTATGTTGCCCAGGCTAGTCTCCTGGGCTTAAGTGATCCTCCCGCCTCAGCCTAGAAAAATATTTTAGGAAAAAACAACTTACACATAACAAAATGCTCAGATCTGAAGCATTCAGTCAACTTGGATAACTGCATATCAAGATATAAAACATTTCCAGCAGGTGGTGCAGGTGGTGGCTCACTCCTGTGATCCCAGCACTTTGGGAGGTCAAGGGGTGGATCGCTTGAGCCCAAGAGTTAATGACCAGCTTGGATAACATGGCAAGACTCTGTCTCTACAAAAAATACAAAACACTAGTTGGATGTGGTAGCACATGCCTGTGGTCCCAGCTACTCAGGAGGCTGAGGTGTGAGGATCACTTGAGCCTGGGAGGGGGAGGCTGCCGTCAGCTGAGATCCCGCCACTGCACTCCAGCCTGGGTGACAGAGCAAGACCCCACCTCAAAAAAGAAAAGCAAAGAAAAAATTCATCATCCCAGATAGTTTTCTCATGCCCTTTCCTAGTCAACCCACTTCCCAGAAGCAGCCGCAGATCTGCTTTCTATCACCACGGGTTAGTTGTGTCTGTTTTAGAATTTCACTGGAATAGAACCAGACAGTACACAGATGCTCCTCAACTTGCAATGGTGTCACATCCTGATAAATCCATCCTAAATAGAAAATATCATTAAGTCAAAAATGCATTCGGCAGGGGAAGGGGCAACGGTTAGGTAGAATGGCTGGAGTTTGGTAGAATGAATAAGATCTAGTATTTGATAGCGTAACAAGGTGACTACAGTCAACAATAATTTGTTATACATTTTAAAATAACTAAAAGAATATAACTGGATTGTTTGTAACACAAAGAAATGATAAATGCTTACCTCAATGTGATTATGACACATTGTATGCTTGTATTAAAATATCTCGTGTACCCCATAAACATATACACCTACTATACCGACAAAAAAAATTTTTAATGCATTTAAGCCAGACACAATGGCTCACACCTATAATCCCAGTACTTTGAATGCCAGGAATTCAAGACCAACCTGGGCAAAATAGTAAGACCCCACCTGTACAAAAAAAAAAATTTTTGAAAAATTAGCCACACATGGTGGTATATGCCTCTAGTCCCAGCTACTCGGGAAGCTGAGGTGAAAGGATGTCTTGGGCCCAGGAGTTAGAGGCTACAATGAGCTATGATCATACCACAGCACTCCAGCCTGGATGATAGAGTGAGAAGTTATCTTTAAAAAAAAAAAAAAAAAAAAAAGTAAAAAAAATGCATTTAATACGCCTAACCTACCAAACATCCTAGCTTAGCCTAGCCTGCCTTGAGTGCGCTCAGAACACTTACATTAGCTTACAGTTGGGCAAAATCACCTAACACAAAGTCTATTGTATAATGATGTGTTGAATATCTTAGGTAATTTATTGAATACTGTCCTGAAGTGAAAAACAGAATGGTTGTACGGGTACTCAAAATACGGTTTCTACTGAACATGTATCTCTTTCACAGGATCATAAAGTTGAAAAATTAAAGTCAAAAATCATTCATATTCATATTGTGTGTATCTGTAATCATTTCTTTCTTTCTTTTTTTTTTTTTAAGAGACGGGATCTCATTCTGTCACCCAGATTGGAGTGCAGTGGTGCAGTCATAGCTCACTGCAGCCTTGAACTCCAGGACTCAAGGGATCTTCCCACTTCAGCTTCCTGAGTAGCTGGGATTACAAGCTTGAGCCACCATGCCTGACAGTAGATCATTTCTTGATGGTGTGTAGTATTTCATTGTATAAATATGCTGCATTTTACTCATTCTATTGTTGATGAGCATCAGGGCTATTTTTAGTTTTTGACTGCTATGAATAAAGCAGCTATGAACAATCTAGCTTGAATTTAGTACAAGATTTTTGTGGACAAATATTTTCGTCTCTCTTGGGTAATATCTAGGAGTGGAATGCTGGCTCATAGGTTAGATGTATGTTAAATTTTTAAAAGAGACTCCAGTTTTCTTTAATTTTTTTACTTTTATTTTAGGTTTAGGGGTGCATGTGAAGGTATGTTACATATGTAAACACATATCACGGGAGTTTGTTGTACATATCATTCCATCACCCAGTTATTAAGCCCAGTACCCAATAGTGATCTTTTTTGCTCCTCTCCCCCTCCCACCCTCCCCCTTCAAGTAGACCCCAATGTCTGTTGTTTCCTTCTTTCCGTTCATAAGTTCTCATCATTTAGCTCCCAGAAACCCCAGTTTTCTAAAGTGGCTGTACTGGCGGGGCATGGTGGCTCACGCCTATAATCCCAAGGCTTTGGGAGGCCAAGGTGGGAGGATGACTTTAGGCCAGTAGTTCGAGATCAGCTTGGGCAACATAGTGAGATCCTGTCTCTACAAAAAATTTAAAAATTAGTTGAGGGTGGTGGTATGCACCTGTAGCCCCAGCTACTCAGAAAGCGGAGGCAGGAGGATTGCTTGGGCCCAGGACGTCGAGGCTGCAGTGAGCTATGATGGTGTAACTGCACTCCAGCCTGGGTAAAAAAGCAAGACCCTGCCTCTAAAAAATATATAAATTTGGAACAAGATAGAGGTGGTGGCTATACAACACTGTGAAAGCACTAAAATGCTACTGAATTGTATACTTTAAAATGGTCAGTTTTATGTCATGTGAATTTTACTCCAATAAGTTAAAAAATAAAAACAAAACTCTTCTCTAGAGTCTCTTCCTCATTGATGAGCACAATTTTGCCATTAGTGATTTAGTCCTTTAGATAGTGAAGTGGGCAAGGAAGGAGTGGAGGGAAATGGAGTCAGAGAGGCGAAGGAGGTGAAGTGGTTCTTGCAGGCTCTGTGGGTCCCAGTGAGGACTTTGGCCTTTACCTGAGTGAGATGGGGACAGGTGATGGAGGTGATCTCACAAGTTTTAAGAGGATCCCTCTGACTGCTGTTTTGAGAACAGACTACCAGTGAGGAGGCTGCTGCAATATCCAGGTGAGATGAGGATAGTGAAGTGGTGAGATAGTATCATTCTGGATTTTTAAGGTTGAGTGTCAAGGAGATACTTCAGGGTCAGAAGTGGAGTATGACAGAGAGAGGGAAGTTAAGAATAACTTCAAGGTTTTTGGCCCAAGCAACTGGAAGAATTAAGATGTTGTTTAAGACACAGAGAAGTGAAAGATATTCCAATGTGTTCATGGATTGGAAGAATTAATATTTCTAAAATGTCCATATTACCCAAAGCAACCTACAGATGAAATGTAATCCCTATCAAAATTCCAATGGTATTTTTCACAGAAATAAAAAAGAAAATCCCAAAATTCATATGACCCACAAGAGACCTCACATAACCAGAGCAATCTTGAGAAAGAACAAAGCTGGAGGCATCACACTTCCTGATTTCAAATTATATTACAAAGCTCTAGTAATCAAAACAATATGGTACTGACATAAAAACAATAGTTCAATTGAAAAGAACAAAGAGCCTGGAAATAGACCCAAGCATATATGGTCAACTAATCTTTGACAAGGGCACTAAGAATACACAAAAGGGGAAAGATAACCTCTTCAATAAATGGTGTTGGGCTGGGCAAAGTGGCTCAAGCCTGTAATCTTAGACCTTTGGGAAGGTGAGGCAGGAGGATCACTTAAGCCCAGGAGTTCAAGACCAGCCTAGGCAACATACTGGGACTCTGTCTCTACAAAAAATAAAAAAATAGCTGGGTGTGGTGGTGTGCACCTGCAGTCCCAGCTACTTGGGAGGCTGAGGCAGGAAGATCACTTGAGTCTTTGGCTACAATGAGCCATAATTGTGCCATTGCACTCCAGCCTGGGCAATAGAGAGATTCTGTCTCAAAAAAAAATAAAAAATAAATGGTGCTTGGAAAACTAGATAGCCACTTACAAAATAATGAAATTGAACCCTTATACTATATACAAAAATCATCTCAAAATAGATTAAACACTTAAATATAAAATCTGAAATTTTAAAACTCCTAGAAGAAAACAGGGAAAAAGCTTTTTAAAATCATATATATGTAATTTAATTTTTTTTTTTTTTTTTTTTTTTTTTTTGCAGAGATGGTGTCTCACTATGTTCTCACTATGTTGCCCAGGCTCGTCTCAAACTCTGGGCCTCAAATGTCTTCCCAGCTAGGCCTCTCAAAATGCTGGGATTATAAGTGTGAGCCACCACACCCAGCCGGGAAAAAGCATTTTGACATTGGCCTTGGCAACAATTTTTTGGATATGGCAACTAAAGCACAGGCAACAAACACAAAAATAAAAAAAATAGGACTGCATCAAACTAAAAAGTTTCTGCACAGCAAAGGAAACAATCAACAAAATGAAAAGGCCATCTACAGAATGGAAGAAAATGTTTGCAAATCATATATATGATAGGGTATTAATATCCAAAATATATAAGAAACTCATACAACTCCATAGCAAAAAAACAACCCAACGAACCCAATTTTTTAAATGGTCAAAGGACCTAAATAGACAGTTTTCCAAAGAAAACATACTAATGGTCAGCAGGTCTATGGAAGGGTTATCAACATCACTAAATATGCAAATCAAAACCGGGAGATATCACCTCACACCTATTAGAGGGGCTATTATTTTAAAAACAAAAGGTAACTGTTGGCAAAGATGTTTAGAAATTGGAACCTGGTACTCTACTGGTGGGAATGTAAATTGGTACAGCCATTATAGAAAATGGTGTGGAGGCTCCTCAAAAAATAATAATAAAAAAAGAACTACCAAATGATCCAACAATCCCACTTCTGGGTATTTATCCAAAGGAAATTAAATCAGTATCTCAAAGAAATGCTACATTCCTATGTTTATTGCAGCATTATTCATAATAGATAAGATACAGAAACAACCTATATGTTCATCAACTGATGAATGGATAAAGGAAATGTGGTGTACATACAATGGAATATTATTAAGCCTTAACAAAAAAAAAAAAAGGAGGCCGGGCGTGGTGGCTCATGCCTGTAATCCCAGCACTTTGGGAGGCCGAGGTGGGCGGATCACGAGGTCAGGAGATCGAGACCATCTTGGCTAACACAGTGAAACCCCATCTCTACTAAAAATACAAAAAATTAGCCAGGCGTGGTGGTGGGAGCCTGTAGTCGCAGCTAATCGGGAGGCTGAGGTAAAAGAATGGCATGAACCTGGGAAGCGGAGCTTGCAGTGAGCCGAGATCGGGCCACTGCACTCCAGCCTGGGCGACAGAGCAAGACTCTGCCTCAAAAAAAACAAAAAAAAAACCACAAAACGGAAATCCAGGCTAGGCACAGTGGCTCACGCCTATAACCCCAGAGGCCGGGGCGGGCAGGTCACGATGTCAGGAGTTTGAGACCAGTCTGGCCAACATGGTGAAACCCTGTCTCTACTAAAAATACAAAAATTAGCCGGGCATGATGACGAGTGCCTGTAGTCCCAGATACTCAGGAGGCTGAGGCAGGAGAATCACTTGAACCCAGGAGGTGGAGGTTGCAGTGAGCCGAGATCGTACCACTGCACTCCAGCCTGGGTGACAGAGCGAGACTCCATCTCAAAAAAAAAAAAACAGAAAAGAAAAAAAAAAAAAAGAAATTCTGCCATTTGCAACAACATGAATGGACCTGTGAAATAAGCCAGACACAGAGCGAGAAATATTGCATGATCTCATTTATATGTAGAATCTAAAATAGTCAAACCTGCAAAATCAGAGAGTAGAATGGAGGTTGCTAAGGACTGGGAGTAGTGGGTGACGGGGAGCTGTTGGTTAAGGGGCACAAAGTTTCAGTTATGCAAGATGAAAGCGTGCTGGAGATCTAATGTATAGCACGGTGACTATAGACAATGATACTGTACTATAGTCATCCCTGGGTATCTGCCTGGGATTTGTTTCAGGACCCCCACAGACATCAAAATCCACACATATTCAAGTCTCGAGGTGGGCCCTGTGAAACCCACCTCTAGGAGAAGTTAGTCCTCCATATATGTGGATTTCGCATCCCACAAACACTATTTTTGATATGCCCTTGGTTGTAGATGTGGATGTGGATATGAAGGAATTGTATTTACTGAAAAAAAGCTGCGTATAAGTGGACCACACAGTTCAAACCCATGTTGCTCAAGGGTCAACCGTATATACTTGAAATTTTCTAAGATCCTAAGTGTTCTCACCCCCACGCCCCACCGCCCGACACACACACATATAACTATGTGAGGTGATGGATATTTTAATTAGCTTGATTGTGGTGATTATTTCACAACATATACGTATATCAAATCAGCAAGTTGTATATTTTAAATAGATACTTTGTTTTTCTTAAGATGCTCTTTAAGATAGGGAAGACCACGAAAAGAGCAGGCTTGGGGCTGCTGGTGAGATCAGGAATGTGCTTTGAGATGCCTGTTGTGTATTCAAATGGAGATAATGAGTAGGAAGTCAGATATGTGAGTCTGGAGCTCAGGAGTAGGGCTGGAGAGATCCGTCTGGGAGACATCAGCATGTGAGTGGTGTGATGGTTAATTTTATATGTCAACTTGACTAGGCCACAGGACGAGCAGGTATCTGATTAAATAGTATTTCTGGGTGTGTCTGTGTTCCGGAAGAGATTAGCATTTGAATCTGTGGACTGAGTAAAGCGGGTGGGCCTCATCCATTTAAGGGCCTGAACAGAACAAAAAGAGGAAGGTTGGACTCGCCCTCCCGCTGTCTGACTGCATGAGCTGGGACATTTGTCTTCTCTCAGCACTCCAGGTTCTCAGGCCTTCAGACTCAGACAGAATCTACACCATCGGCCCCTTACTGGCTTTCTTGGGTTTCCAGCTTGCAGGCAGCAGATCGTGGGACTTCTCGGCCTCCATAATCACTGGAGACAATATCTTGTAAGAAGTCTCGCTGGGTACGGTGGTTCATGCCTGTAATCCCAGCACTTTGGGAGGCCAAGGCAGGTGGATCACTTGTGGCCAGGAGTTCGAGACCAGCCTGGCCAACATGGCGAAACCCCATCTCTACTAAAAATACAAAAACTAGCTGTGCGTGGTGGCACATGCCTGTAATCCCAGCTACTTGGGAGGCTGAGGCAGGAGAATCGCTTGAACCCGGGAGGCGGAGGCTGCAGGGAGCTGAGATCGCGCCACTGCACTCCAACCTGGGTGACAGAGCAAGACTCCATCTCAAAAAATACAAACTTTTAAAGTCTCCTTCTATGTTTCTCTGGAAAATCCTAATACGGGTGGTATTTAAAGCCACGAGCCTAGATGAGATCTTCAAAGGAGTACGTGCAGAGAGGAAGTCTAGGGACTGGAGCTTCTGTGTAACAGAGGATAGAGGACTAAGGACTGAAGCCTGGGCCCCTCTCAAGAGGAGGAACCAGTAATGCAGGAGGGAAATCGGGAGAGGATGGGTCCCGAAAACCAAGAGAACCAAATGCTGCAAACTCTGCCCACAGTACATGTGGAAGAAGGGTTTGGTGGAGCAGAGGATGACAGCCCTTGCTTTCTGAGGGCCATTCTCTGGCCCAGCCTTTAAGGGAAAGAATTTAAGGAAGTTGGATCTATTGAGGTAGCACTGCTCCCGGGAGCCAGAAGCTGTCTCTCCTCCACAAGCTGAAACAGGTCTGCACTATAGGCCTGGCCCCTGCTCTCCCAGCCTCATTTCCCTGTGGTCTCAAGTCCTGCTGAGCCTTTAAGATTCAGCTCCATCACTTCCACTCTGCCAGGTGGCTGCACCGACCCCTCGAGATTGAGCTGGGTGCCCCTGGGAACACCTGCTGCTCCTCTGTTGGAGAAACTCCCCACATCAAACCTGCTTACATGTCTGCGTCTCCCACTCAGCCAGGTGCACTCTGGGTTTCCGGGAAGGTTCCTTATTTCTGCATCCTCAGTTCCTAGCATGGTGCCTGGCATTGAAGCTCTCGGTAAGTGTTATGAAACAGAAACAATCCGCAGAAGCTCCTTCTCAAGCCAGTATCTAGCCCTTCATTATGCACAATCCCCAGCCCCTGGACTTCCTCTCCTGAAACCTGAAGTGCTGGGAGATCTTGCCAAGCCCCTCTGCAGCAGAGCAGGACCCTCATAGCACTGTGCCTACCAACACTCGCTAAATACCTGTTAAATACCAAGGAATGTGCCGTGGGCTGGGTCTAAATCCCAGCTTGGACATTCTCAAAGTAGTCTGGACTTCAGTTTCCCATCTCCAAAACAGAGATGATAGTCGCTCATCTCTTAAGATCCTCATCAGTCCTGGCATTTGGGAAAGCTGTCTGGCAGGCTGTAAATGAGCTGGGCAAATCCGAGTTACCAAGAGGTCAGGGCTTTTCCTCAGCAGCTGATTCAGGGCAAGTGACTAGACCTGGCCAATGCCACGTAAGGCCTTTTACTGTATTGCACTTGGTTTTTCTCAAGCCACTTTGAAGACAAGCAGCATCTTCCTCAGAAGGAACCTGGGGAATGAGTGGGGCCTGGACCCAGTGGAAACTCTAACACACCCACGGCCATTCACAAGTGTTTCCAGTGACTAAGGGCCACACGAAGCACTTAGCCGGATCCTTCCTGAAAACTTCTTCCAGAATGGCTCAGCCTGCAGAACTGCTCTTACCGAAGCCATCCTATTCTGGCCATCCTCACCCCCACTGTCCCACTTCTCTGGGGGTCAAGCCTTTCCCTCATCCCCGGGGCAGGGCCCTAGGCTTCCCCTCTCCCTCAGCAAAAGACAACACAGGCAGGTTCTGAAGCATGCATGTCAGTTTATTCACCATACTTCCCCCAGGAACCCTCTCACTGGTCAGGGAATGAAAGAATTGAAGGGATGGGGGATGTACAGGTAGAAGTAAAAGGCACACCTTGAACGTGCTATGATGGGTTGAAAAGAGGTTGGTCTGAAATTGACGAGCCTCCCATTTCAGAGGCTCAGGAAGTTTGTGCCCAGGAAATATGCACGCCTTCAGCCAAATCCCCTGCACCTGATGGAGCAGAAGCAGGCACTGCCTACCCTGGCCTGGCTGTCTGCTGGCTCTCACGCCAGGCATTTTCTGGGCCTGGCTGTCACAGCTAGTGGGATCACTAACGCTGCATGTCCATGGCATCTTGGCCTAAACAAACAGGTGAGGCCTGGCTCTGTCTACACAGCAGCAACAAAGGTGACTGATCAGGAGGAGATCTGTAGTGCACAAATAATGGGAGAGGGTGTGCTTGTCAGCATTAGACAATGACTCCCAAATGTAGTGTAAACCCACAAGGAGGGGGCAACTCAAGGAGGGACACATGACTAAGCAAGAAAATGTGACTCTGTGAGCTGACCCGGCTTCTGAACAAACCTAATACAGTCTATGCTCACAGTGTGTTTCAGCCCCCTTGACTCTAAACCGTCACAGAAGCAGAAGGAAGAGGAAGTGGTGGATTGCCCAGCTGGAGCCTGGGGACTGTTACGACTGTCTAGATCTCTGCGGTCATAGGGCGTCACAGCCTCCTCAGACCCTGAGCCTGGAATGCGGGGGAACACAATGTAGATTCCCAGGAGGGCTGTCCCCAAGACCCTCTCCCTGCCCGCCCAGCTCCTCAGGCCTCCTCTTCTACCGCTTCTTCTTAGTCTCTTTCTTGGGCCTCTTGTTCACAGAAGGAACAGCAGCCTTGGGCTTCCTCGTCACCTCAGCACTTCTGGGCTCAGACGGTTCAGCCTCCTGTGAGGTGATAAAAAGGAGAGTCCTGCTTAGATGGATCAAGCCTGACGCCAGCAAAAGGAGATCACATCTGAAAGCAAAGAAGCATGCCACAGAAACACAAGAGATGGAAACTGTCATTCCCGGGACCTACCACCCACACGGATGTGGGACTGCCCCGGAGCATCGTGGCTCTCAGTGAAGAATAAAGGAAGCCCCACGGGGAGGGAGCAGCTTGTGGGGTCTCAGACGCCCAGGTAGAACCTGGGATCCTTCCCTTTCCAGCCAACTGACCTTGTGTGAAACTCACTTCCCCTTTCTGTGTCTTGGTTTACTCACCTGTGAAATGGAAATAGCCACACCCGCCTTACAGGGCTGATGTGAGGAGGCAAAACTACGTGGAAAGCACCCAGGAAGTGCCAGCTGCACCCAGTGACTGGCCGATCACCTCGTGCCAGGGACTGGACAAAATGTGGGCGAGGAGCTGGCTATGGGGCA
Source organism: Homo sapiens (assembly GCF_000001405.40). Classification (NCBI taxonomy): domain Eukaryota; kingdom Metazoa; phylum Chordata; class Mammalia; order Primates; family Hominidae; genus Homo; species Homo sapiens. The sequence continues at coordinate 37,315,830 of NC_000020.11, read as the reverse complement.
GACCCACTGTGGCTTGCCCTCCTCTGGCTGCCATTCTTGTCCTCCCATTCAACCCACAGAATGCCAGGACTGGGAGGGGTGCAGAGGGCCAGCCGGCAGGTGGGCAGTCCCACACTGTGTTCTGCGGAGCCTGTCAGAGGTGCCTCTGTGGGGGAGGGCAGAGGCAGCCTCGGGGCAGAATTCCAGACTCCCTGGGCGACAGGAGCAGCTCTGATTTTCAATCTATTTCATACACTGTGATTTGTCCCTTGTAAGATTGAAATGAAACAAAGTTCTGCTGCTAAGGAACGAAAGGTTGAAACCCACAGATCTAGCCCTGGCGTTCATTGTGCTGATAAGGAAGGGAGACTCCAGGGAAGGGACACAGCTTGGCCCAGCCACTCAGGCTCATGTCAGAGAAGTATCTGGAATAGGCTCAGTGTGCTCCTATCTAGTGTCCTCTCCTCCTCTGGGTGATAACTTGCAGTGTGCCGTGGCCAGAAAGGACGGACGTCAGAGAGGCCGGGCTAGCCCAGAGAACGCCAACCACAGCCCACAGGCCTCGTCCAGGCCACAGACTTCATCTGGCCGGCAGTGTTTATTTAAAAATTTAAGCCAATTGGGAGATTTCCCATGAAATCTGGATTCCTAGATTCTCTTGAAACTAACCATCCGGTGACAATGGCCCTGCATTCCCTCATGGCAGTGAGGGGCTGAGGAGGCGCTGCCCCTTTTCAGGTGCCGACCGTGGCCCCCACACCCTGCCGCCCCCAGCACTATGATTGGGAAATGTTTCTCAGTGCCCATGTTCTTTATTGAGAAATGGGAAAATAAGAAGCAGACTAAGACTCCTGGGAGGGGGGACACTTCCAGATGAGAAAAATACCCCTCTGTGTTTCATTTCCCAACCCCGGCTTCCAGCTCACTTTACTCCCTGACCTTCCCTGCTTGCCCCATTGGCCCGTGGCCCAAGCCTCAGCCCACCCTACAGAAGAGGAGGGCCCATGCAGGGAAGGGCAGTCCCTGCCTCGGATCTGATCCAGAGGCCTGTCAGCTCCCTCCTATCGGCCAACATCGTCTCCCATCAGCCAGGCGAGATAACCAGATATGAAGAGCCAGCCAGGTCCCAGGCCCCCAAGGAGTGATTGTCCCAAGATAACTGGAGGGCTTCCCCTCCCCAGCCAGGCCTCTCACTGCAGTGCTGGATTCCTTCGGCCTGCTGAGCCTCCTCCCACCAAAAATCAAAATGATCTGAAGGTCCCCCTACTCTGTTTATGTAACTTGGCCAAAACAAAACAAAACAAAATTTGCAAGGCCTGCCTGGATCTCTAGGAAGGAGTCTGCCTTCTGAGCTCAAGGCTGGGGGCTCCTCCAGTTTCAGTGGGGCTCAGTTCAGAGACCACAGGGACAGTGAGACCCAGTTGCCGCCCCAGTGCCTCCCTCACTCCACAGGCCCTGTCTCTAGAGCCTCAACCATTCTGGCACCTCCCAGACCTCTCCCTTGATCCAGCTGTCTGCCAGACAATCAGGACTGGCATCTCCAAGGCACCTCCAACTTAACTGTCCCAGACCCAGAAGGCCCGGCCCTCCTCCCACTGGTGGAGCAACCAGAGACCCGGTAACCTCACCCTCTCTCTGCTCCCCACTGTCCAGTGGGTCACCATGTCCTGCTGACATGACCCCCTCTACCTCTTGATTCTGCTACTCTCTCCAGCATCCAATTCCCCCTTCAGTTCCGCCCACAGCTAAGCAAAGTGCCTGCTGTCTCTGTCCATTCCTCATGCACCCACGAAAGGAACTATTCTAAAGTGCAGGTCTGACCACTGCACCTTCCACCTTAAAGCTTCCAGTGGCTGTCTCTGGAATGGCATCTAAGAAAGGCCACCTCTCCAGCCTCACATGGGCTCCTCTTCATCCCTCACACTGAGTCAGGCCCCAGAGCTTCCGCTGGTCACCTTCATCAACAGGAATACCTGTTTCCTTGGCCACCCGGCAAACTGCTCCCATGGTTTGGCCCTGTCCATGAATACACTCCTACTCACTGTCTAGCCTTCCTTCCCTGCTCCTCCTTCCAGCTGGGGGCAGCCCCTCCTCCCTCCTCGGGCCCCTAGGCACCCAGGAACCTTATAATGCCACCATTCTTTTTAAGACAAGGTCTCACTCTTTTGCCCAGGCTGGAGTGCAGTGGCTCGATATTAGCTCATTGCAACCTCCGCCTTCCAGGTTCAAGTGATTCTCCTGCCTCAGCCTCCTGAGTAGCTAGAATTACAGGCACCCGCCACCACGCACAGCTAATTTTTTATATTTTTAGTAGAGATGGGGTTTTATCATGTTGGCCAAGCTGGTCTCAAACTCCTAACCTCCAGTGATCCACCCGCCTCAGCCTCCCACAGTGCTGGGATTACAGGCGTGAGCCACTGCGCCCAGCCCATAATGCCACTATTATTTTCCCATAGTTACATGTTTTCTTTGTTTTTTTTTGAGACGGAGTCTCGCTCTGTCGCCCAGGCTGGAGTGCAGTGGCTCGATCTCGGCTCATTGCAAGTTCCGCCTCCTGGGTTCATGCCATTCTCCTGCCTCAGCCTCCCGAGTAGCTGGGGCTACAGGCACCCGCTACTGGCTAATTTTTATGTTTTTAGTAGAGACGGGGTTTCACCATGTTAGCCAAGATGGTCTCGATCTCCTGACCTCGTGATCTGCCCGATTCGGCCTCCCAAAGTGCTGGGATTACAGGCGTGAGCCACCGCGCCCAGCCAGTTACATGTTTTCATGTTAGTCTCCCCTATTAGCCCATGAGCACTTTGGGATAGCTTCAACTGTTGCTGAATCAATGAATGAGTGAATGAATGAATGAAATGAAAGAACAGCCAAGGTCTCCCAGTAACCATGAGAACTTCATTCTTGTTTATTCCCATGAAAATACAGCACTTAAAACCAGGCCTCACTTTTCCATGATCACAGAGGATATGAACAGACTTAAAACCGAATATACATACCCTGGCCTAAATTATGCCTTAAGCATAGCTGCCAATAATAACAACAGCTGGGCGTGGTGGCACATGCTTGTCCTCCCAGCTACTCGAGAGGTTGAGACAGGAGGATCACTAAAGCCCAAGAATTTGAGGCTGTAGTGCGCTATGACTGTGTCTGTAAATAGCTACTACACTCCAGCCTGGGCAACAGAGAGAGATTCCCTCTCTAAAAAACAAGAGCCACAACAGCTGCTAATTATTTATTGTTTATAATATGCCAGACCCTGTGTTATGTGTCTGGACATGACGGCCTCACAAAGTGCCATAATGAGGCCCAATTTATAAACAAAGGAACAGACACTCAGGTCATATGACTTGCCTAAGGCCTTAGCTGGTGAGTAGCAGACCCAAGATTTGAAACTAACCTCTTCATGGGTACACGGTCCAGCCTCTCCCAGGTTTCCTGGGGCCCTCAGGGGTAGGAATAAGTTGAATCTGAGTTAACTATGAAATCTACTCTCTACTTAGCAGCCCCCAGAACCACAAGGTGCCTCTGGAATGGTAAGTACAGCTCCTCTGAGAACCTATCTGTCAATGGGTCACCTACAACCCCTTGTTTGTGACTAAAGTCCCTACAGCAATCAGAAAAGTGGGTTTGTGCTCCAGATCACGCTTGATTTTTTACAGCTGAAGGGAGTCTTCTGTGGGTGTGTGTACATATTACAGTTATCGAGTCATCTGAATGCTTGATCTGTCTCCTCCTCACCCCAGACCTCCTCCTCTCTTCCCTACCTCAGCTTTTAGAGCCGTCACGCACCCAGTTACCCAAGCTAGATACCTCCAAGTCATTTATGAGTTCTCAGCATCCAACCTGTCCCCAAGGTCTGTCCATTCCGCTTTCCAACGGGCTCTAGACCCAGCCAGTCCCCTCTGGACACACTCCACTGCCCAGATCAGACCCAGGTCCCCTGCCGGCCCCACTGGTTGCATCTGCCTCCCACAGACTCTCCTGCCCGTGCCTCTACCTCCCCATGCTCGTCAGAGTTTACTTTACGTTCCTTTCAGAGTCGATTTTCCTAAAACAATGACAACAGGCCGGGCGCGGTGGCTCACGCCCGTAATCCCAGCACTTTGGGAAGCCAAGGCAGGTGGATCACCTGAGGTCGGGAGTTCAAGACCAGCCTGACCAACATGGAGAAATGCCATCTCTATTAAAAATACAAAATTAGCCAGGCGTGGTGGTGCATGCCTGTAATCCCAGCTACTCAGGAGGCTGAGGCAGGAGAATCACTTGAACCCAGGAGGTGGGGGCTGCCGTGAGCCGAGATCATGCCATTGCACTCCAGCCTGGGCAACAAGAGCAAAACTCAAAAAAAGTTTCGCTCAAAACAAAAACAAACAAACAAATAAAAAAAACAATGACAACAACAATCCCAATCGTGTCTGTTTCCTCCTTCAAAAACTTTGCTGGTTCCCCTTTGTGTGAGATAAATTCCAAGACACCCAGCAGGGGCTCCAGGCCTCTTGCTCGGTCTTGGCCCCTGTCTCCAGGCAGGCCCCGTCGTGCAGCCTACTCTTGTCACCCTGAGATACTGGCCAGCCAGTGTCTCCCAGTACTCTGCTCCCTTTCCTCCTCTGTATCTCTACCTGCACCCAGTACATGTGGGCACTGTGCCACGGGGAATGAAGATGAGAACGCACACTTAGTGGCTGTGTGCCATGTGGATGCTCACCGAGCCTCTCCATCGCCCTGGTGAGCCAGCCACCACGAGCCACACTCCACTGGCAAGGCCACTCAGGCTCCCTGAGGCCAGGTGACGGCCCCATGCAAGCTGCAGGGAAGCAAAGGCGGCCGTGACCCACATGACCTGGGCCCTGGGGTCCCAGCCACACAGGGCCTGTAGCTCCAAGTTCTTCACTGACAAGAATGACTCTCAATTAAGGGCTGCCTTTTCATTTCTCCTCAAATGTACGCTGCCCGTACCAGCCACACAGACGGCAGACTACAAAGCCGACAGCCCTGCCTTTAAATCTGGGAGCACTGCGCCTCCTCTCAAGCGAGCCTCAAGTTTCCTCAGCAATCACACTGTCACATATAAAAGAAAACTCCCGAGGCCAGGTGGCTCCTGGGTTCACAGTGGCGTCCTCTGTGGACACAGGCCCCATCAATAATGAAGCAGCTCTGCAGCGCTTACCAGGCCAGAAAATTGCTGCTATTCATCAGATCCAAATAATCAAATGTGTGCCACAATACATCATATCCCTTCCAGCATGAAAAGTGCATTGAATTTTATGATTTCCACTCTACAGTTCAATGTGGATTTAGTCCTGTAAATCAGGACAAAATGTCATTCTACGCAGGCCACTCTTTCCTTGAAAATGGCCCAGGTGCTATACTCAGGCATCTTCGTGCACCTTATCTTGCATGACCCTCTAAGAACAATGGAGTTAGGCAGGAATATCCTCTTCTGATGACGGAGGCAGACTAAAAGCAGGTCAGCACTCAGACCAGTCTGCTTAACGCTGAAGGTGCTGCCCATCCCAGCGGGCCATGAGGGCCTGAGACAGGGTGGGAGCTGAGAAGGCCTCGCAGAGATGAAACTAGCAGTGGCCTTGAGGAAAGATAGGACTGGCTGAAACAGAGAGCAAGGAAGGCCATCCATGTGGACTCAACAAGGCAAACGGAGACACGGAGTCCAGGATGCGCTTGGCAGGCGGGGAGAACTGTGATTAGAAAGAACAGCCTTGGGAGCTCATTCCAGACACAATTCAGCACGACTATGCTGGCCCTCCCCACTGGCTGCTCTGTGGCTCCTTGTGTGTCCAGCCGTCTCTCCCAAGAACCGGTCGGTACACATCTCCAGACCACAGGCTGGTGGAAGCATGTTTATACCCTCATCACACGGCAATCTCTCCAGAACGGGTCATTAAGTAAAAAACAGCCTGCCTCTCAATTCAACTGCAACCTCCTCCCAAGCTTTAAAACCACACAGAGCAGAAATGCACAGTTGCTTCTGTGAGTCTGTGTCCTGAGGTGTTGAGAATGGGTGGATGCTTGCCTGGGGCTCATTATTTATTTACGGCAGGCCTCACTGGCAACTAGCGGCCTCGTTTAAAATCAAGACCCTTGTGCAAAATTTTCCAGAAGAGTCCTGACCTTCTAGGCCACTGTCCTACTGCACCACAGGAATGAGCCACCTGTGGTGCAGTAGGTGCAGGTGGCTCACCATACTGATGAGCCAAAACATCATCAGGGGTCTAAACACTGCAGGGCTTTCTGGTTGGTTGTGAAGTCTCCACGGGCATCATATTGAAAGCCACCACTCTCACCATCGCCCGTGGCGAGTCCTCCACTAGATCGCAATGCTGGCCACCGGCTGTCTGTCTTCCCAGCACCTCTTTTCCATGGGGACCCTGCCCTTTCCCTATCCCATGGGGGTCTGGGGGACTCTCAGTCACTGGGGTCACAAGAGTAGGCAGCTAAATGTGGCCTGGCCAGAGACAGCACTCATTCCTGCTTCCCACCTGTGAGACAAGGTGTATGTGGCCAAGGAGAGGCCTTCCATGAGACTCAGAAGGTGAGGAGAGGCAGAGAAATGGCTTCTCTCACCTGTCAATCCCGACTGATAAGGGCACTGACTGTGGCTGCTGCAGCCATCTTTCCCAACACAGAACAAGGGCCTAGGAAGGAAGCCAGCACTCCCAGGAAAGCCAGGAGAGAGAGAGACACATGAAGCCCTGGAGACCCCTTGAACCCCTAAATCCAGCTGTCCTTTGAAATTCCCAGTTCCAAGAGCCAATACTGTTTCCATTCGGGGAAGCTGCTGGAGCTGTTTCTGAACTTGCAACAGGAAGAGTCCCCACTAATATGAGACGGTGGCAATCAACAAACATGGCAGAGTAGAAGTGAAAGGACCTGCCTTCTAGAAGCAGGCAGCTGGCTGTGAGCTGACGAGATGCACTATAAGCATATGAACAGATGAGAATAGTCAACACTGAAACTAGGAGAGTTTCTGATTCACTACCGTGTATGACTGACTATCTGCCACACAAGTTGCTGAACTCAAAGTCTACACCCACTTGCTTAGTTACCTTCGTGCACCTTATCTGGCTGAATCAACACTCTGTGTAGAAATCGATCCGGAAGAGGCTTGGAGGAGGGTTATGGGGAGGAGGAAGACAGGCTCCCCACCTTGAGAAGAAACCTGTCCCCCACTTCCCACTGCACTCCATGTAGAGAGGCTATGGACCATCTCCCCCAGAAAATGTGCCTAGGCATATAAAACCTCACATTCTTGTACACAATTTGAGGGGGATCACAGACCCCTCAAACCTATCCCAGGACTTCCCTAGAAAGCCAGGAACTCCCTATTGAGAACTTTCTTCTACTGAAACCCAACTCTGAAGGACGGCAGCTGGAACACAGTGGTGGTGTCAGACTAGGCTGGCTTTCCCCAATCCTCTCCAGGGAACTGGTGTCACATGTGCTCTCCATGAACCACTCGGTGGACTTCAGGGAGGCCACACTCTCCTGGTCTCCTGCCCACTGCTCTGCCTGTCACTTGAGAGAGGGAGAGAAAGGGAGACCCCAGCTTTGTCTGCCTAGCAGTCCCCCTGTGGGAATGGACCTTCCCATCCTCACTCAGAGGTCACTCCACAGAACCCTCCCCTCCCCTCCACTGGCCACAGCTGTCCCAAGCTGGGTCAGCCACAGTTCCTTCCCTGGGGATGCTGGAACTGAGACCAGCAGGAAGGCATGGTTGTGTTTAGTGGCTGTGCTGCATCTCACCACAGGGCCAGCAAGCAGAGAAGCAGGGTCCTAGTTAGAAAAGCAAAAGACAGGAGGGAGACAGGAAGGGAGGCAGAGGGCATGCCAGTGAGGAGCAGTAAGTCCCAGTTCCCACCACTTCCGGAGGCCCTGCGGCGCTCCTGCTCTTGGGTTCTAGGACAGCACCCGCACCTTCTCAGTCTATCTACATTGCACGGAAACTACTTCAACAGGTTGGGTATGCTCCAAGTTCACGTCTTTCCTGGATCTTCATTTCCCTTGCAAAACTCAGCAACTCATTCTTGGGTTTCAAGTAATAATGCTGTATTTGTTTGGTTTCCTTTTTTTTTTTTTTGAGATGGAGTCTCGCTCTGTCGCCCAGGCTGGAGTGCAGTGGCACAATCTCAGCTCACTGCAACCTCCATCTCCCGGGTTCAAGGGATTCTCCTGCCTCAGCCTCTCTAGCAACTGGGATTATAAGTACACACTACCACGCCTGGCTAGTTTTTGCATTTTTAGTAGAGACAGGGTTTCACCATGTTGGCCAGGCTGGTCTTGAACTCCTGACCTCAAGTGATCCGCCCACCTCAGCCTCCCACGTGCTGGGTTTACAGGCATCATAATGCTCTGTTAATAAAATAATTGTCAGGTCTCTATTCCCAACTTCTTGCTCGCCTTTCCTTTCCCACACGGAACATTTTGCTATTATTTCAAACTTAACACATCTAAGAACTGAACATATCCTGTCCTCCTAAAATTGGTTTGTGTTTGAGGGAAATTATCTAAAGACTTGAGTAGTGGCTGCATATTACAATCACCTGGACACTTTAAAAAAATACTGATCCAAGCCGGGCACACTGGCTCATGCCTGTAATCCCATCACTTTGGGAGGCCAAGGTGAGAGAATCACCTGAGCCCAGGAGTTCAAGACCAGCCTGGGCAACATAGTGAAACCGTGTCTCTACAAAAAAATTATTTAAAAATTAGCCAGGTGTGGTGGAGCACACCTGTAGTCCCAGCTACTGAGGAGGCAGAGGACGGGAGGATCACTTGAGTCCAGGTCGAGACTGCAGTGAGCTACGATTGTGCCACTGCACTCCAGCCTAGGCAATAGAGCAAGACCCTGTCTCAAAAACATAAATAAAAAGAAAATACTGATCCAAGGCTTCAGAGAACAACTGAATCAGAATCTCTGGGTGTGGTCTAGGCCTTTGAAAGTTCCCCAGATGGTTCTATGTGCAGCCTTGTGGAGAATCATTGGCCAGTCCAAGGACCGGCACTGTCATTCTCTAATCCCAGCTCACAGCAAACAGACATCATTGATCAATTTCTTTCCTCCAGAGCAAAGCAGCAGCCCCCAGAATCCTTTTCACCATGGCCACCAAGCAATTGATCAGACTTGGCATGAGAGATGAAACTTACCAGCTAACCTGGACTAGATGGAAATGGTACTAGGACCTACTATCTTCTATTTTAGAATCCAGCCTACAAGAAAATGCTTGGATTAAGTGTGGCCCACGCCTCCATCAGGCTCAAACAAATGTTTGTTTTCTTAGGTCTGAGTTTAATGAGTTGCCAATGAGAAAACCTTTTCATTTGGCTTACGATTCTAGGGACTTGGTTTTTGATTTTACAAATTGACTCTTGCTCCTACTATGAAAAGGAAGGGGGTGGGGTGGGAAGCATTTGTATGTGTTCCCTCTTTTCCTCCCTGATTAACCCCAAAAGAGCTTTCAAATAATCTGCTAAGTATTGAAATACTGAAGTCATAAGCAAGTTGCAAAAAATCGGCTTACTAGAACAGGAAACATTCTTTTGCTTTTCAAAGGCTTTCCCATCATCTGGAGCCAAAAATATTATCTTCTGACCCAAAAAGCCACTAATAAACCCTGTTTCTATAGGCTAAGCAAGAGGGAAGATTTTGCCCTGAGCAAAACGGCAAAGAGGGCAAGACTGTTCTCTGGGTCCTCCCACCCTCACTTCTGCCCCCTCTCCTACCTCCTGCCACCCTCCACTTCCAGGTATCTCCCAACTGCCCTCTGGCTGCCTAGTGTCTTACAAGCTGCCCCCACTCCCATGGGCTCCCTTTCTCCCTAAGAGTACCCCGTCCCCATGTTAAAACCCCCTTCTTTCCCCTCCAAACTCCTTCCAAATCTCAGCTATTAGGGACAACCTCTAAGCAGCACAGTCTCAGCATCCACCCTCTCTTTGTAATCCTGTTTATGCACAGAATGCTGTGTTTCCTTTCTATCTAGTTAGGAGTTTCGGAAGTGAGAAAGGCTGCCTTATGGAGACACACAGAGAGCTAGCGACAGAACCCCCTGTATAACCTGGGGCCATTTGCTCCCCTGATGCGCCAGTAAAAAGTTAGATCAACAGTACTGTATTTTTTTGCTACTGATCCATTGAAAAGCTAAAAAAAAAAAAAAAAAGTTAAAACAGTAAGCTTCAGTTATGAAGACAATTTACTTGTGTGAGCCTTGTTTCCCTAAATGCAAGATTAATAAAAATGAGAGATGTCATGTACTATATTTAAATTTAAAAACATGAGGTTGTTGTCCAAAAGTAACCTCTAAATGGCAGTGGGTAGGGGGGTATGATGGCATATTTTTGAACCCTTCATCAACTCCCTGCCTCAAAAGACTTTAACGCACTATCCCACTGAAAATCTTAAAGAGAACAATAAAGGGGCTCCTTTTCTGAAGTTTGCTGAACTAACCCAGGCTTCTGTGGCTTACTTCTAAGGGCTTCAAACACAACAGGAGGTGAGCAGCCTCCCTGCTCTCCAAACAGCCACACACCTCTGCCTATAAAACAAGAAGGCTCATCACCTCCCTCCCTCGGGACTCTTAGCAGGCCTCATCAGCCACCAACAACCACATTTGTTATTTATAATACCGAATAGCATGCCACGTCTGCAGGGACAGAGCCCAGGAGCACAGAGGTGATGTTTTTAAAATGCGATACAATTGTGGGTGGAAGAACGCCAATAGTGATCTCCTTCTCAAGATACCAGAATAAGAGATGGACAAGACAACCTAGAGGCCACGAACCCATCCCTGTTCACCAAGGTTTTCCCACCCTTGCTGGCTGCTCCTCCCCTGCCTGTGCCCTCTATGCTGGAGCCCCTCCAGCTCTGGCCTAGGTCCTCTTCTCATCTCCCTCCACATTCTCTCCTTAGGAGACCCTGTCCCCTGCCGTGGCTTCAAATGACATCGTATCAACTCCCACATGCTGGTCAACACTCAGCCCATGCACTCCTCCTGCTAGAGACCTTGTAAATCCACCGGCTTTTTTGACAGAACCACCCAGACATGTTAAAGTATCTGTTTAAAACTGAACTTGGCATGTTCCTTCCCTGCACCCACCCTAAGCCTGTTCCTTCACCATAGTTCTCCACTGCATCAATAGGTTCCACATTGTATCAGTAATTCCCCATCATCCTCCCAGCTACAGAAGCAGCATCTCCAGGAACAGTGATATCCAAGATATATGGATCTCCAGAACATATTGCGTATGTTAAGTGAAAAAAGAAAGTTGCAAAACTGTGTTTAATAGTATGCTATCTTTTATTTAATGAAGGGGGGAATATAAATATATATGTACACACCATACACATATATATGCATTTGTTACTGTTTTCAAAAAGAAACAAAGGAAAGATAAACTAATAACAACTGTTAACTATGTGGGAAGGAAGGGAATAGGGTGGAGGAGAATGAGATTAAAGGAAACTTCTGTAAATGTACCTTGTTATATAGTTTTGACTTTGAGAAATATTGTATATAAATGTTTTATATAATTAAAACAACAAATTAAATCAAAATTTTAAAAATCTCTAAAAATTAAAAACAGATTGAAGCAAATTAACCAAACTATATCTCATGATGGGAGACCTACACAGAGAAAAATAGTTACTAAACACAACATTTTGACCTTGTATCTCCACAAAGACATATTTTAAGGCCAAAAAAGAATCACAAAGAAGTCTTAAATTTCATTCTGAGTCTTAGTAGTAAAAAATATAGTTATTTTAAAAGTGTAACTGGTATATTGTAGATGAGCAGAATAAAGTTAATATAAATTGCTAATCTTAGAGAAGCATGCTTGCAAGGTTGGCCCTTGACTGGCATCTGGGAACTTGGATTCCAGGTGGTTCTCACAATTCCCAGAAATGATAAGAGTGGCTCACCACGCCTATACTGTGTAAACAATAAGGTTCATGCTGAACACCTGCTTGCTTTCTGGAAGTCTGGAATTTTGGTACATGCTAGGCCAAGGGTGCTTCTGTAACCAGTCCTCAGTAAGAGATGTGGGCACTGAGTCTCTAACTCACTTCCCTGCTAGATAACACTTCACACACATTGCCACAAATCCTTCCTGTGGGTATCCAATGGGAGAGCACTCAGACGCCTGCGCCTGTTTCCTCCAGTCTCTGCCCCATGTACCTTTTCCCTGTGCCGCCATACCTGGTATCCTTTCACTGCCACAGCTGAGAGTCCTAGTGCATCACTGAACCTGGGGTGGTCCTGGGGACCTCAGATTCAGTAGGATCTAGCAGATACATCATTTTGTTAATGTTATTGAGAACAAGATTTCCAGCATAAGATAAAGAGTTACAAGACACTAGTATAAAATCAAATAAATAGAAACACTATCACCTTACATTTGAATTGGAAATACCAGTATGAACTCACAACTTTTTCATTTCTTAAAAAATGTTTATTTTCTATTTCTGTTTATTGAAAGGCCTAGATGCAATCACAGCTCAGTAGCACTGAAAACTTCTAATGTCCCAACTGTAGCCTCTAGATACTATTTTCTAGCTAAAAAGAACCAGAGCATTTTAGAGAAATGACTGATTCCAAGACTGGGGCAGGAAATGTACAAAATGAGCCTGGGGCCAGGCGCAGTGGCTCATGCCTATAATTCCAGCACTTTGGGAGCTCAAGGCAAGTGGATGGCTTGAGCCCAAGAGTTTGTGACCAGCCTGGGCAACATGGCAAAACCGTGTCTCTACTAAAAATACAAAAATTAGCCAGCCATGGTGGCACACCTGTAGTCCCAGCTACTTGGGAGGCTGAAGCAGGAGAATTGCTTGAACTTGGGAGACAGAGATTGCAGTGAGCTGTGATTGTGCCACTGCACTCCAGCCTGGGCAACAGACAAGACCCTGTCTCGCACACACACAAAAAAGAGCCTGTGACATCTTATTGAACCATGAAGCAAGGAAGCTATCAAAGACTAATGAAGTATGACAAAGAACAAAGACATCAACTTAAAGGGGCTCCCACTGAACATAAAAAACAAATTAATGGCAGATAAGTGCCCTCAAAAAAAAAAAACTAAAACATATTAAATATATTAAAAATATGTTCAGAATGCTATGAAAACCAAAGCTTCATTGGTCATCATTGGAAGTTGCTAGAGTCTGAACTCACAACTTTGAAAATTGATAAATAAAGGGAAAGAACCAAGCATTTTTCCTGCTTTTCATTATGAAGAGCAATTCAGAGTAATCATACAAGTGATAAGGAAAAGGTCTTTGTTAAAGAATTCCAGCTAACAGATGCAGAAGGAAATAATGGATCTAAGCAACGACCATCAATGGATGCTAAAACCGCTTAGGTGAAAGACTGACCGGATTTTTATAATGGAGGGATCAGCTGATACCACCTAAACCCACCGATCAATCCAAGAATCTCTAAATGTGCAGCAGCCAGACACCACCTGCTTGTTGATGCCACACAGTAGGGAGTACATAGCACCAGCTCTGAGGTATTCGTACCCAATAACCTGACTGGAATGGAATCAGGCCTCTACATGGAACTCCTGTTGACAGGAAACACAGGGAACAGAGAAACACGTTAAATGACACCACAGAGAAGCAATAGCCAATTCCTGGGATGTAGGTATCCCACATGACAAACGACCTGCTTTCTCCAATAAATCAATGTCACGAGCAAATGGGAGTGGGCAAGAAAGTGGGTAGAAGGAGGGTGTATAGTTATAAAGATACTTACAGAAGAAGAGTCAAAACAACAACAAAAAAGCCAATTTGACCATGTCATTCTCACACTTAAAACCCTCTGGCCCCTGCCCACACCTCTGGCTGCACCACTCATCATGCCCCCTCTGTGCTCTGGCCACAGTCACCTTCATTCAGTTCCTTGAATTAGCCCCTTCCTTTATTGAGTCCCTTGCACGTGCAGTGCCCTCTCCCTGGAATGTTGTCCTCGCCCCTTGCCCACTTTCACCTGGCAGAAGCCTGCTCATTCCTTCAGTCTCAGCTCAAACACTGCCTCCTCGGCAGGGCCCACAGCCCAGGGTAAGATCAGGTCTCTCTCCCCCTTGTTATATAGCCTCACTGGACTCTGTACTTCTCATGGGAGCACATGGAGGTATGTTTTTGTTATCTGCCTTCCTCCCAAGGACTAGATGCTCCTCAGGTGCAGACACTACATCTTCAGCAGAGTCTGAAATGTAGTAGGCACTAAATAAAAATCTCCTTAATGGGTACATGAACAAATAAAGTATTAGCTATGTGGTTCAACCCACCAGGTGGAAATTCAGAGGCACACTAAATCAAAAAGGCCCAATGTAGACCCTGCTGATCTCAGTTGTGGTGGCACCTACTGTTAGTACTCAGAACCCAGCCTGGCACTCAGAGGAGCTGAGGCTCCCAGGGAAAAACTCACCGCCTCGTGGGACTTGGGAATGGGTACGATGATGGCCAGCACACAGATGAGCTGGAAGATGGCTCCCAGGAAGAGTCCGTACCGTAGCAGGTTCTCCAGGAAAGTGGGCTCGGGCACCTCCGGAGGTGAGAAGTCTAGGTCAGAGGCCATGGCCCAAGTCGCTTGCTGCCTGACGTCTCTTCTGACTCACCACTCTTTAGAACCAACTTGTAAATGCAAAGGGTCAGTGTCATATTTCTGTAACTGACATTTATTTATTTATTTATTTATTTATTTATGAGATGGAGTCTCACTCTGTCGCCCAGGCTGGAGTGCAATGGCATGATCACTGCAACTTCGGCCTCCTGGGTTCAAGTGATTCTCTTGCCTTGGCCTCCCGAGTAGCTGGGATTACAGGTGTGGGCCAACACACCTGGATGATTTTTGTATTTTTAGTAGAGACAGGGTTTCACCACGTTGGCCACGCTGGTCTTGAACTCCTGACCTCAGGTGATCTGCCCGCCTCAGCCTCCCAAAGTGCTGGGATTGCAGGTGTGAGCCACCTCACCCAGCCTGTAACTGACTTTTAACTTGAACACACACACACACACCCAAGAATATATACAGGAATTGTGAAATGTTAACAACTCTTGAATCTAAGTTGGGAACATATGGTCAGTCAATGAACCATTCTTTCAACTTTTCTGTGTATCTGATGTTTTCCAAACATAAAGTTGAGAAAAATAAATAAATGCAAAGGGAAGCACTTCAACAAAAATCTCAAATCAACATACATTTACTAAAGGCTGCTACGTTTCAGGTTTTGTTGTTTATTTATTCATGTAGTCATCCATTCAACAAATATTTCTTGAATACCAAGCACTGAAGAATGAGCAAAACAGACAAACCCCTGCTTTCTTGGAGCCTCTACATGCTCAGGATGGAAGCAGACAATGAACACGTCGAGATGTGATATGCCAGGTAGTGATAAGCATTTTGGAAAAAACTTAAGGGCATCATTTTATTTTGTGATGAGAAGGCTCTCTCTGAAGAACAGAGACGGGAATGGAGTGGAAGAGATAAGAAGTGAGAGAGGGAGCCATTTGTGTATCTGAGGGAAACACGTTCCAGGCAGGGAAAAAAGCAAGTGTGGAGGCCCCAGGGTGGGGAAATGAGGCCAGTACAGGCAGAGAAGTGATCAGGAGGGAGGGTGGAAGGAGGTATGATCAGAGAGGAGTGGGGGCGGACCCTGATACCTCCAATTTGATTGAGTAAAATGTAAAGCCACTGAAGGGTTTTGAGCAGAAAAGTGACATGATCTGACTTCCATTTTTAAATGGAGGAGGGACAACAAGGGGAGAGGCAAAGTGGACACAGGGAGAGCCAGGAGGAGGCCCCTGCCAATAAGCCAGACAAGAGCTGCTGATGGCGTGAATGACAGGGGCAGTGGTGGCCAGTGGTGCAAGGTCCAGCCTCAGCCCAGCTCTCCAGCCTCTCCTCTCAGCAGGGCCCCCACTCCTAATATCCTAGTCAAGCTGAAAGAACTGCTGTGGTTCTCCAAGAGCACTGGGCTCTTTCAAAATCCTGGGCCTCTGCCCAAGCTGCATACTCTGCAAAGAATGTCCTTTCCCACTGTGACTGCTTGACAAAGCCCCCACTCTGCCTCTAAGGCTGAGCTCAAGTGTCATCTCCCCAACATGCCTCTCCTGTCACCCTCCTCTTCCCCTGGCATGACTGAACTGCTCCCCCTTTACCACAGCACCCATCAGTGGCTTTCTTCTGCCCATCCCAATGATAAAGGGGCAAATTTACTTTGGAACCAGGCCCACTTGAATCTAAAACCCTTTGTGTTTCCAGAGATCTGTGCCACAATGCAATATTTTGCTAAGTCTGAGCTATCCAATATGGTGGCCATGAGCCACACATGACTATTAAGACTTGAAACGCAGCTAGTTTGAATTGAGATGCTAATTACACACCCATTTTCAAAGACCTAGTATGAAAATAAGAATGTAATCTATCTCATTCATAATGTTTTCATATTGATTACATGCTGAAACGATTGCAGTGGCTCACGCCTATAATCTCAGCACTTTGGGAGGCCACGGTGGGCAGATCACTTGAGCTCAGGAGTTTGAGACCAGCCTGGACAACACAGCGAGACCCCATCTCTACAAAAAAAATAATAAATTAGGCAGGAGTGGTGGCTCACTCCTGTATTCCCAGCTACTCGAGAGGCTGAGGTGGGAGGATCACTTGAGCCCAGGAGCTTAAGGCAGTGAGCCACGATCACGCCACTGCACTCCAGCCTGGGTGACAGAGCGAGACCCTGCCCCCACCCGACCCTGCCCCCACCCCACCCTGCCACCAAAAAATACACGTAAAAAATAATTGGCTGGGCATGGTGGGTTACGCCCAAAGTGTAAGCCCAACACTTTGACAGGCCAAGGCAGAAGCATCACTTGAACCCAGGAGTTTGAAACCAGCCTGGGCAACAGAGTGGGACCCTGTTGCTATAAAAAATTTAAAAATTAGCCGGACATGGTGGTACACACCTGTAGTCCCAGCTACTCAGAAGGCTGAGGCAGGAGAATTGCTCCAGCTGGGAGGTCTAGGCTGCAGTGAGCCAATGAGTCGTGATTGCGCCACCCTGAGTGACGGGGTGAGAGATCCTGTTTAAAAAAAAAAAAAAATTGAATTGAAAGCAAGGACTCAAGATACTAATGTTCATAGCAGCATTATTCACAATAGCCAAAAGATGGAAACAACTAAGAGTCCATAAACAGATGAATGGATAAGCAAAACGTAGTATATACATACAATGGAGTATTACTCAGCCATAAAGGAAATGAAATTCTGATACATGCTACAACATGAATGAACCTTGAAAACATTATGAGCTTTGAATAAATATATATGAAATAAGCTAGACACAAAAGGACAAATATTGTATGAGTCCCCTTATATGAGGTACCTGGAATAGGCAAATTCAGAGACAGAAAGTAGAATTGAGGTTACCAAGGGCTGGAGGGAAGGGAAATGGGGAGATATTGTTTACTGGGTACAGAGTTTCAGTTTGCAAAGATGAAAAAGTTCTAGAAATAGACAGTGATGACGGTTATACAACACTGCAAATACCACTGAATTGTAAACTTAACAATGGTTAAAATGGTAAATTTGTTACATATATTTTGTCACAATTTTTTAAAAATCTGTTTCTTTTTACCCATTTATTTATTTATTTATTTAGAGACAGGGTCTCACTCTGTCACCCAGGCTGGAGTACAATGGCACAAACATAACTCACTGTAGCCTCAAACTCTTATGCTCAAGTGATCCTCCTGCCTCAGCCTCCCAAAGTGTTGAGATTACAGGCATCATCCCTTTTTGCTTTTTAAATGTGGCTACTGGAAAATGTAAAATTATACATAGTCTGTATTATATTTCTGTGGGGAAGCCCTGGGGTAGAGACAATCCTAAAGACCTGCCTCACAGGGCGCAGTGGCTCACGCCTGTAATCCCAGCACTTTGGGAGGCTGAGGTGGGCAGATCACCTGAGGTCAGGAGTTTGAGACCAGCCTGACCAACATGGAGAAACCCCGTCTCTAATAAAAATACAAAAAAATTAGCCGGACATGGTGGCAGGTGCCTGTAATCCCAGCTACTTGGGAGGCTGAGGCAAGAGAATCGCTTGAACTCGGGAGACGGAGGTTGCAGTGGGCCGAGATCACGCCACTGCACTCCAGCCTGGGCAACAAGAGTGAAACTCCATCTCAAAAAAAAAAAAAGGCCTGCCGCCACCTTGGCTCTGCTGCTTCACTGCTTTGCACCATGTTTCCAACATGAAGTAACCGAAGAATAATAAAAACAACCTTCGTAAGTAAACAGAGCCGGACTTACACACGAGTATTGCTTCCCTTTCAGCCTGGTCACTTCAGAAGGTCATGTGCCTGGGGCAACAGGATGGCCACTTTTCACATCAGCTCTGTCTACCATGGGAATGGCCTTCAAAGCTTGAGGCTCTTTTTCTTCCCAGCCAGAATCCTCAGAGCTGGCAGATCTTCATCCTCCCAGGAAGGATTTGACTTCTGGAAAGAGCCCAACATCATCTGGTTCCAAGTGCAGTGAATCAGGTGGCACTGAGCTCAGGAATACCATTTTTGGTCAAATACAAGGTATGATGCTCAGACTCCAAGCAGATTACTTGGGGTGGCTCATAAACTGGCCCTGAAGTGAATTCCAAGGCGGCTGCAAGAACAGCTTCACTGGAAGAAATGTAACAGCCTCTACCAGCACCACCACCATGTGAATACCAAAGCTTAAGAACGCGTCCTCATTTCTCCGCAGTTGCACCTCATAAAGTGTGCATTTTTTAAAACGCCCTTGGCCCCAAGCTTTTTGCTTAAGGCTGTAACAAGCTTTATGAGCTTATAAATACTCAGATTTACTAGTGTTACTACTAACAGCAACATTGTGATAAGAAATATTTGGAGTGGTACAATAGAAAGATAGGGCAAGAGTTGGGAAGCAGAGGACAAAAGCCCCTGCTCTATCTGCAAGTAGCTACACTTTGGGCTAATAATCTCTTGACCTCTGGAGACGGGATGTTCTCATGAGCCAAGCAACAATGATACCTATAATACATTTAGGCCTTTTTTTAAAAAATGGCAATTAGACAAAATATAACAAGAGCCATAAAAGTGATTATATCCTTTGACTGAATAACTTACTTCCTAGAATTTATAGTAAGGAAACAATTCAAAAGAAGAAAAAGCCTTCAGGTACAAAAAAGTTCATGGCAGCACTATTCATAATACTGAAAAACAGGAAGCAACCCAGGCGTCCAACAATCAGGAAGCAGTTAACCCAGTGATGGTACATCATGGCATAATCCCTCTTCACTAACCCGGCAAATATAAACATTGTGTATCAGGTCAGTGGAAAGTCTTTGCAAAGTAACAGTAATTGAAAAAAATAAGCAATTGTATAAACACTATGATTGGAACCATCTATAAGCTGATTTCATGGGCTAAAGATCAAAAGATGCTACAGAAACATAAATAGTTGCTGTTAAGGTGAATAAGTCATGAGTTTTAATTTTTTGGAATGTTATGAAACAATAAAGTATCTAAGAAAAATCTATGCCCTACCTACTTCCTTCACAAGACTTTTGTTAGGGTATAATGTCATACTGTCCAATAAAGCTTTCTGCAGTGATGGAAATGTTCTGTATTTGTGTTCTCCAAATGGTAGCCACCAGCCACATGTGGCTGTTGAAAACTTAAATGTTACAGAGAAACTGAATTTTTCATTTTATTTAACTAATTAACAATAAAAAGCCACATGTGGCCAAAGGTTCCCTACTGGACAGCACAGGTGTAACAGGAGGGTGGTTGTGAAAAGGTTCTGGAAACATAAACTGCTCTACACACACTGTGCGCCGTACGGCTCTCATCTAGTTCTCTCTGCACCTCTGTGCTTTACTTCCCAGCCCTCCTGCCAGTATTTCTGGGCTTTCCTTTCCTGATGACCAAAGTCAAACAAGTCCTATTCATCCTGCAGATCTCAACTAGGAGACACCCCTTCGACTGGCTGTGACAGGTTTTGTTCCCTGGCCATTGTTCCAGCAGCAGCAGCAGTCGGCAAATGAACGGCCAGGTGTTGCGAACAGCACTTTACAGGCAGCAACTCGCATACTTCACCACCACACTGGGAGGTGGTATTACTAATGAGGATGAGGAAACCAAGGCTTGGAGAGGTTATATGACCTACCCAGGGATAACCTGGCTGATAAGTGGCAAAGGCAAGATTCAAAGGGGCTGGCTTCCCCAGAGTCAGGGCGCTTACCCAGTATGTCAATCGTTTTCAAACTGCAGGCTGTGGCCCATTAGTGAGCCAGGAAAACCATTTAGGGGGCTGCAACCAGCATTTTTTATTAGCCAGCACTTTATTTAAGTAGGTAAATAACAATAGAAAATATCAAAGAGTATCACATTAAGGGCCGGTATTATATCCTGAAGCTTTTTCAACATCCATCTACATCTGAGCATGCATGTGCTGGATCAAATTTTAGAATGTTATTTCTTATTGTTTGAGAAATATTACACTGGAATCTACTGTTTTCTATTTGATCCATTGTAATCTCTTGAACAGCAAGGATCTTGGGTACATCTTGAGTTTATTCCAGGTCCTGACTCATAAATATTTGGTAAATGACTAAGCCTATGCCTCTGTTTCCCACCTCGAAAGCAAGAGCAGATGCCTCAACCAACAGAGTCATCATTTAACGACAAGGAGGAGCTGAGAGGCCACGAGGTTTCCCTAGACTCTCCTGATGAGTCAGGGCAGAGCTGCTATCCTGGTCTCTAGCCCTGTCCTGCTCCAGACTTGCTTACAGGTAGAGGTTTTTATACACCAGGGGACTTTCATACCCCATCAGAATTTAACAAAAGGTGCATAATTAATTATTACTGAACGTGGCAAATAATTTCATGAGGTTACTGGACACTGCGAAGTTCACCCCTGAATGCCAGACACTGGTGACGTAAGACATTAATTCATTGGACAAATATTTATTGTGAATCTACTATGTGCCAGGCACTGGTCTAATCCCTGCCACGGAGTTTCCATTCAGTTAGAAGTACTCACATACACACATACACATGCAATGTCAGGGGTGAGTATTACAATACATACAGGAAGGAAGAAGAGGATAGTACTATTTAATATGAGGTGGTCGGGGAAGGGCCTCTCTGCAAAGGTGACATTTCAACAGAGGAAAGAAGAAAGCAAAGGAAGAAGTCATTTAAACATCTGCCAGAGTATCCCAGGATGGAGGGACGGCAAGGGCCAAGTCCCTGAGGCAGGAATAAGCATCATGATCAAGAACAGTCAAGTAAGCAAGCTGCAGGCCATTATGAGGACTCTGGCCAGTCTCTGAGTGAAAAGGGAACTACTGGAAGGTTCTTAGCAAAGAAATCACATGGTCTCACTCATTTCAAAATGATCCCTCTGGCTGCTTTGTTGACAACAGACTGTAGGGGACAAGACTGAAAGCAAGGAGACCAGTGAAGAGGCTACTTTAACAGTCAAAAGACACATTTGCACCAGGGTGGTAGCTGTGGAGGTGGTAAATTCTCAGCTTACAGATATATTTTGGTGAAGGCCAACAGGAATGCTGAGGTGAAATCTGAAAGAAGTTAAAAATAATCCCTGAAGAAGGGGAAACTATCCTGTATGACACTATAATTAGGAATACAAAATATTAAGCATTTGTCAAAACCCAAAAATCTTGACAGCACAAAGAGTAAAGTTTAATGTATGCAAATATTTTTAAAAAGACATAGGAAGGCCATCACAGTGGCTCACACCCATAATCCCAGAACTGTGAGAGGCCAAGGCAGGAGGATTGCTTGAGCCCGGCAGTTTGCGACCAGCTTGGGCAACATAGTGAGACCCAGTTTTTAAAACACACCAACATACACACGCATGAAGTCAGGGTGTTCCAGGATGGAATGCAGAATGTGACATTCTGAATCCAAATGTATTAAACAACTTCACTGAAAGGGTAGTGGGGGAATAGGGTGCTGACCTAAGTAACTTTGAAAACGAGTGGAGCCTGTAAGACTGAAGGCAAAAGGAACTGCACGTACACACTGTACTCTAGCTGATAAGTTGTTTCCCACAGGGGATCGGGGGAGCAATTCTAAAACCACCATACATGTATGCTAAATGGAACAATTAAGTAAATGTATGGTGAATGGTGGGAGTCGGGTTTGTCACAGGTGGAGTGGGAGGTTACAGACAAGCAAGAGAAGGAAGCTAGAACACAGGTCCCCAACCCCCAGGCCACAGACCAGTACCAGTCCATGGCCTGTTAGGAACCAGGCCGCACAGCAGGAGGTGAGCAGCAGGTGAGCAAGCGAAGTTTCTTTTATATTTACAGCCGCTCCCCATCACTCACATTACCGTCTGAGTTCCACCTCCTATCAGATCAGCGGCTGCATTAGATTCTCATAGAAACACGAACCCTATTGTGAACTGTGCATGTGAGGGATCTAGGCTGTGTGCTCCTTATGAGAATCTAATGCCTGATGATCTGTCACTGTCTCCCATCACCCCCAGACGGGACTGTCTAGTTGTAGGAAAACAAGCTCAGGGCTCCCACTGATTCTACATTATGGTGAGTTGTATGATCATTCCATTATATATTACAATGTAATAGTAACAGAAATAAAGTGCACAATAAATGTAATGCACTTGAATCATCCCAAAACCATCCCCACCCCCAGGTCTGTGGAAAAATTGTCTTCCATGAAACCGGTCCCTGGTGCCAAAAAGGTTGGGGACTGCCAAGCTAGAACAATCCATGCAGTCATGGATAAGAGTTGGACATCAGTTATGTTTAGCTGAACGTAGATACAGGTGGTTATATATGGAAATACTTCTAGATCTGTGCATATATACGTATGTCTCTTACTCTGTCCACTGCGAAGGCCTAGAAGCAAGGACACTGAGAAGCACTGAGCATACCTAGAGCCCAGATCTTGTTTTCTGGGCCATTCTCCAATAAAAGGAGCCAGGGCTCCTTGGGAAATGGCTAATTCTAGGACTGGGGCAGAAACATACCAGATGAGTCTGGAATAGAAAGAAAGTGCTCAACAAAACAAAACAAAGCAAAACATATAGAGGGGGATATGTCAAAGGGATACAGGAGCCAAGTGGAAGAGCTCCCAATGGCCAATGGAGGAACAATTTCAGCAACAAAATAAAGTAGTACTGGATTCTGGTCCAAAGTATAAAATAAACATCCATGAGTTCAGGCCCGGCATGGTGGCTCACGCCTGTAATCCCAGGAGAGGGGATTCCTGTAATCAGGAGGCCAAGGCAGGTGGATCACCTGAGGTCAAGAGTTCAAGACCAGCCTGGCCAACATGGTGAAACTCTCTCTACTAAAAATACAAAAATTAGCCAGCCATGGTGGTAGGTGCCTGTAATCCCAGCTACTCAGGAGGCTGAGGCAGGAGAATCACTTAAACCCGGGAGGTGGAGGTTGCAGTGAGCCAAGACTGCACCACTGCACTCCAGCCTGGGCGACAGCGGGAGACCCTGTCTCAAAACAAAACAAATCCATGAGTTCACACCGATACAAATATATGACTCTGTAAGCAAAAAATAGGGGAACAGACAAATTTCCCACAGAGAACTCCAAATAATTTGCATTATATACTCTGCCTTTAAGCATGGGGCATAATTCCACACTCCTTAAATGTGTGCTGTACATAATGACTTTCTCCAAAAGTACAGTGCGGAAAGTGCAGGAGGAAAAGTAACTCTACACTGGAAAAGCCTGACTACTACCTCAAGCCAGGTGGCTCAAGCTAACAGATGTCAACAATGATAACTCATATCGATAGTATGTACCCTTGATATGATGTGATGAGAATAGCACTTTACTTCTGTGGTTGGATTAGTCCATTTTCATACCACTTTGAAGAAATACCCGAGACTGGGTAATTAATAAAGAAAAAGAGGTTTAACGGACTCACGGTTCCACATGGGTGGGTAGGCCTCACAATCACGGCAAAAGGCAAAGGGGAGGCAAGGGCATGTCTTATGTGACAGCAGGCAAGAGAGTGTGTGCAGGGGAACTGCCCTTTATAAAACCATCAGATCTCCTGAGACTTATTCACTATCAGGAGAATAGCATGGGAAAGACCCACCCCCATGATTCAATTGTCTCCCACCAGGACCCTCCCACAACATGGGGGGATTATGGGAGCTACAATTCAAGATGAGATTTGGGTGGGGACACAGCCGAACCCTATCAGTGGTCCTCCTCCCCAAAAACCCATTACCCTGATCTTACTCATGTCAAAAACAGGCAAATCCTAATTAAAGGTCCTTCTGCAAAATATCTGACCAGTCAGTACTATCTTCAAAACCCTCAAGTTCATCTAAAACAAGGGAAGTCTGAGAAACGATCACAGAGATGATGAGCCTAAAGAGATATGATGACTAAATGTAATAGGGTGCCCTGGATAATACCAGGACAGAAAAAGGACATTAGGGAAAAACTAAGGAAATGTGAATAAAGTACAGATTAGAGTTAATAATAATGTATCAATATTGGTTCAGTAATTGTGACATTTCAGATATTAGTAATAGGGGAAACGTGGGCTATATGGGCACTCACTGAAGTATCTTTGCGATAACTTTGTAAATCTAAAATTATTCTAAAACAAAAAGGTTATTGGGGAAAAAAAGAATGGGTCAACATTTCAAAACAAATAAATAAAAAACCACTGAGACAAGTATAGCTCTCAAGACTTAGCAAATACTAAATCTTCTCTTAAGACTGAAAAACTCAGATTTCACGACTGCCACAGGCCTTCATCTCCCAATGTTGTGTACTGTGCTGGTAGGCCATTCTTGGCTTCTAATGAAGTAACTTTAAATTCTATTGTGAAAATTCAGCTGAAAACAGACTGGGGAATAGAAACCAGTGTCAGAAGTTACTGTTTTAGGCCAGGCACAGTGGCTCTTGCCAGTAATCCCAAACACTTTGGGAGGTCCAGGAGGAAGGATATCTTGCCTCCAGGAGTTCAAGACCAGGCAGGAAAACATAGTGAGACTCCATCTCTATTTCAACTTTTTTTTAATTAAAAAGAAAAAAAAGCCGGGTGTGGTGGCTCCCGCCTATAATCCCAACACTCTGGGAGGCCGAGGCGGGTGGATCACCTGAGGTCGGGAGTTTGAGACCAGCCTGGCCAACATGGTGAAACCCTGTCTTTACTAAAGATACAAAAATTAGCCGGGCGTGGTGGCACACGTCTGTAATCCCAGCTATTCGGAAAGCTGAGGCAGGAGAATCGCTTGAACCCAAGAAGCGGAGGTTGCAGTGAGCCAAGATCCCGCCACTGCCCTTCAGCGTGGACGAGAGAGAGACTCCGTCTCTAAATAAATAAATAGAATGGCTTTAAAAAAAAAAAAAGGAAAGAAAAAGAAGTTACCGCTTTATGGCAATGGGTTGTACAGCCTGGCCCGTCCCATTAAAACAAATTCCTAAGAACCACGCAAAACTAGATTAGAATGCAAAGCTAAGCCACCTCTCTGGGCAAAGTCACACTGGTAGCCGGTGGGCTGAAACTGGTGTGCAGATGCCCTGCAAAATATAATTATTAATCTAAATGTGTTGTCACCATTTTAAAAATGTTTCTCATATTCATTTCTCGCTTCTCTTAGAATTCGTACAACAAACATGGACTGTGCACCTACTAAGGGCTTTACATTCACCACCTCGGTTTACCCCGCAGTACAAGCGTGTATGTCCATTTTAGAAGACGAAACTGAGGGCCAGAGAGGAACCGTGACTTGCCCACGGTAAGAGAGCCATACGGATTCGAACCCTGGCCAGATTCACTCTGGAGCTCAGGGTTCTCCTACTGCTCCACCCGTGGGAGGAAAGGCCCGGACCAGGCCATGAGGAGCCCTGGGTTCTGGCCCAGCCTCCGCACGAAAGCGCAGGGCTGCCCCAGGCGAGGCCCTCCGCCTCCCGGGGGGCTCAAATTCCCCTCCGGAAGTAACTTTCGAACAACCGCCGAGGGAACGTATTCAGGCCCTGAGCGGAGCGACAGCCGGGCCCACCAAGCGGCGCCGCTGGAGACAGGCCGGCCGGGAAAGCCAGGCCACCGCACCGAGGACGGCTCTCTCTCGGTTCCCACCCCACCGCAAAGCTGCGGCACTCACCTCCCGCGCCGCCGCGCCGCTCCCCCGGAAGTAGTTCCCTGCGACCCTGAGTCCCGGAAGTGACGCGCACTGAGCAACCAACCGGCTCTGTTCCGCCCGCGTTGCCAGGTTTCTGGGTGAGGCACCGCTGGGTTTTGTCGACTTTTGTCCCTGTTCTGTGGGTTCGAGCTGGACAAAGAGGTTTGGGGAAATGAAATCTAGAGCTTGTCAATTCTTTAAGCTCCTATATCACTCAGCTCGTTTCAGCAACATTTTTGTTTAATTAAAAAGAAAACAAAAGAAATTACTTCTCGGGGCTGGGCACGGTGGCTCACGCCTGTAATCCCAGCACTTTGGGAGGCCGAGGCGGACGGATCACTTGAGGTCAGGAGTTCGAGACCAGCCTGGTCAACATGGTGAAACCCCGTCTCTACCAAAAATACAAAAATTAGCCGGGCGTGGTGGCGGGCGCCTGTAATCCCAGCTGCTTGGGAGGCTGAGGCAAGAGAATCTCTTGAATCCCGGGAGGCAGAAGTTGCAGTGAGCCGAGATCGCGCCACTGCACTCCAGCCTGGGCGACAGAATGAGACTCTTCCTCAAAAAAAAAAAAAAAAAAAAAAAAAAGTTACTTATTCATCGCAATGGGCTGTATAGCTTGGCCCGTCTCATTGTAACAAATTCGTAAGAACTGCGCGAAACTAGATTAGAATTTTGTCCTATGCAAAGCTAAGCCATCTCCCAGAGCAGAGCACAGTCACAACTGGTAGCTGGTGAGCTAAAACGGGTGTGTAGCTGTCCTGCAAAATGTTCATCTGGATGTGTTGTCACTATTTCAAAAGTGTTTCTCACGTTCATTTCCTTAATTTTATGCCAGGTCCTGAGCTAGGAGCCTACAATGCAGAGAGGAGACAAACAGAAACACCTCTTGTAATTCAGACAGAAGCAAATCATTATAATTCATTCAAAAAGCATTCACTGAGCGCGTACTCTATGCTTTGTCCTTGTAACTGAGGACACAGTGCTAAAGCAGACACATACAGTCTCTGCCCTTGTGGTGCTTACAGTCCGTTGGAGGGAGACAGACTAATTAAATGAATGTGTAATCATATAACAGGATAAGTTTTTTGAAGGCAAAGAACAGTGTTCCATGATTAAGAAGGGGTGGGGGGCAAGTAGTAGGAGAAAAAGAAACCTAGATGAGAGTGTGATAACCAGCCTCCACCATAAACCCTGACGATTCTTGGCTCCTGATATCCATACCCCTCTGTAGTCACCTCCCACCAAGAATAAGACTGACCTGTATAACCCATAGGATATTGCGGAAATCTTGGAGCACGAGTTCCAAGATAAAGTCATAAAAGACATTGCAACTTCCTCTTTCCTCTGTCTTGATTGCTCATGGGGAATCCATGTTGTGAAGACACTCAAGCAGTCCTATGGAGAGGCTCGCATGGGGAGTAACTGAGCTGCCTGCCAACAACCAGCTCCAACTTGCCAGCCATGTGTATGAGCCAAGTGGCTCCAGCAGTCCTAGTCAAGCTTTCAAATGACTGTGGCCTGGCCAAAATCTTCAGTGTAAACTCAAGAGCAACCTTGAGCCAGAAATACCTTGCAATGCCACTTGAATGCCTGCCTCACAGAAATTGTGAAATACTAAATGTTATTGTTTTAAGCTCCTAAGTTTTAGGATAATTGGTTATGCAGCCTAGATAACATACATAGAGGATCAAGGAACAGAGGTTAGATACCAGAGACTCCAAAAAAAAAAAAGAGAGAGAGAGAGACCTATCTTGCCCTAAAGGAATTCAGTCTCTTAGAAGACAAATAATACACTCAACATTCACTAATCCCATACTATGTGAGGTGGCATGGGGGACCCAAAATGCATAATTTATTCATTTAAAAAATATTTATGGAGTTTCTACTCTGGATCATGCACTATGAAACTGGGAAGACAATGGTGAGTAGGTGGGATCCTACCCTGACTGTGCTTATAGACTAGGGGTCAATGTCTGTCACCCCCACTAATCAATCACACAGATAAATGTACACTTAAAAACCATGAGATGTGTTGGGAAGGAAGAAGGGGGAGCCATGAGAGAAGCAATAACATGGGAGATACAATCAAAAGAGAGGTGATGAGGGAAGACGTCCATGAGATCACATTTCTGGTAAGAAATGAAGAGTGGTGGCTCACGTCTATAATCCCAGCACTTTGGGAAGCTAAGGTGGACAGATTGCTTGAGCCCAGGAGTTTGAGATCAGCCTGGGCAACATGGCGAAACCCCGTCTCTACAAAAAATACCCAAAAAATTAGCCAGGCATGGTGGTGTGCACCTGTAGTCTCAGCTACTTGAGAGGCTGAGGCAGGACAATTGCTTGAACCTAGGAGGCAGAGGTTGCAGTGAGCCGAGGTCGCACCACTGCATTCCAGCCTGGGCAACAAAGCAATACTCCATCTCAAAAAAAGAAATGAAGAATGAGGAGGACTTTGCCAGGCAAAGAGAAGGAGGAAAAAGCACGATGGGTGGTGGAAAGGCTGGGTAGTGAGAAACGGCTTGGAGCCTAAGAATAGCTGAGGGGGTGACACTGAGGCCTGCAGGGTGCAGATGTTTAGGACAGGACTTACTACTTGCCCTGGAGAGACACACTGCAGGGTGTGAGTGAGGAGAGTGTTTTCTGGGTTGAATTGTGTCCCTCCAAAAAGCTGTGTTTGAGCCGTAACCCCCAGTACCTCACAATGGGATCTTATTTGGAGATAGGAGCTTTACAAAGGTAATCAAGTTAAAATGAGAGTGTTAGGGTAGTCCCTAATCCAGTATGACTGCTGTACTTATAAAAAGGGGAAATTTTGACAGGGCGCGATGGCTCTTGCCTGTAGTCCCAGCACTTTAGGAGGCTGAGATGAGAGGATCGCTTGAGCTCAGGAGTTGGAGGCTGAAGTGAGTTATGATCGCACCTCTGCACTCCAGCCTGGGTGGTAGAGCAAGACCCTGTCTCTAAAAAAGGAAATAGTTTATTTTAAATGAGGGGGAACATGGACACAGATGCACACATAGAGAGAACGTCATGTGAAGATGAAGGCAGATATCGGGACGATGCCTCTACAGCCAAGGAACACCACAGATTGCCAGCAGGCCACCAGAAGCTAGTCAAGAGGCATGGGACAGGCTCCTCACAGCCCTCAGAAGGTGCCACTGACGCTTTGATTTCAGATTCCTAGTCCCTAGAACTGGGAAAAAGTAAATATCTGTTGTTTAAACCATTCAGTTTGTGGTCCTTTGTTAGAGCAGCCCCAGCATACTAATCCAGGTGTGCAGGTGCTTTGAAACCTGTTACTCTCTGTATCCAAATGTAAAAGATCGCCCAAGTGACTGCTGCAGGCACAATGACAGGCACAGCTACTTGCTCACTCTCTAGAAGCTCTTAGAGGCCTCCAGCTGAGTTTTGCTGTCTCTGTGCCCTGCATGGCTCCATGAGCACCACAGCACGGAGGAGAGCTTTGTGGCAGGCTTATTTCTATGCCTAATATCTATGCAAGGCACAGTGATTGCACAATGAAGAAGAAAAAGCCAAAAAAGCCGTAGCCTCTTCTCTGAAAAATATTTTCTTGGAGTCACACTTGACTGAGTGAGCCAGTTTTGTATTAATTGTAGCTGCTGTTTATTGCATATTCATATGTGTAAAGGTGCCAAGCACTTTACACGTATCAATATTCTCCCCCAGCACCCTATAAAGTAGGCATTACAGGTGAAGAAACCTAAGGCTGGAAAAGTTAAGCAGCTTCCCTAAGGCCTCGCAGAGTCTGCATGCATAACCTTTGCACTACCCAGCTGACCTGTGCATGTCAGATGAGTGTACACACATGAAAGCTCTAGGAAGAGGGGCAGGATCAGCACGCGCCGAAGTATCTAGGAAGGCCTCGTGAGGGAGGCAGCTCAATGTGGGTCCCGAATGATGGGCTGGATTTGGATGTGGAAAAGGGAAAGTAGAGGTACGACATTTGCTTTTCCACCTTCAAACCATTGCCTTTGTCGGTCTCTCTGTCTAGAATGCTGTCTTCTGGCTCTCCACAAGACAGGTTCATTCTCTTTCCATAGGGCTCAGCCCCAATACCACCCATCCTGCCTCCCTCCCTCCCTCCCTTCCTTCTTTCTTTCTTTCTCTCTTTTTTTTTTTTTTTTGTTTTTGTTTTTTGGTTTTTGGTTTTTTTTGAGACAAGGTCTCATTCTGTCTCCCAGGCTGGAGTGCAGTGGCATGATCTCAGCTCACTGCAACCTTCACCTCCCCAGCTCAAGCAATCCTTCCACCTCAGCCTCCTGAGTAGCTGGCACCACAGGCATGTGCCACCACACCCAGCTAATTTTCATATTTTTGGTAGAGATGGGGTTTTGTCACGTTAGCTAGGCTGGTCTCTAACTCCTGAGCTCAAGCGATCCACCTGCCTTGGCCTCGCAAAGTTCTGGAATTACAGGCATAAGCCACCGCACCGAGCCCCAATATCACCTTTTCAAGGCTCCACTGACCACCCTTTGCAGCTGACTGTTTATCCTAAGTGGCTGGTATTCCCCATCCCACATGCTCTTCTACCCAGTGACTGCTTTGAGCAATAGACAATTGTGGAAGAGATGCTGTGTCAGTTTCAAGCATGGTGTTGAACTGGCCTGGAAATCAGCCACCATGCAGAAAGAACAACTATCCCGAGACCACCGAGCTGTGAGAAGCTCAGGCCACATAGGGAGAAAGAGTGCAGGGAGCATCAGGCATCAGACCCAAGAGTGAAGAAGCTACCTCAGAGCGGTGGAGAGATGGATGCATGTGTGTTAAAGTAAATGTGGCAGAATGAAAGTTAAGCATAGAATCTGTTAGGTTAAGGAATGGCAAAAACCGCAATTACTTTTGTTCCAACCTAATAGATGATGGGTATAGCATTTTTTGAACAATTCTTTTGGCTTTTTTGTATGTTTTAATTTTTCGTTTTAAAATTTTGGGCCAGGCACAGTGGCTCACGCCTGTAATCCCAGCACTTTGGAAAGCCAAGGCAGGCAGATCACAAGGTCAGGAGTTCAAGACCAGCCTGGCCAACATGGTGAAACCCCGTCTCTACTAAAATACAAAAATTAGCTGGGTATGGTGGCATGTGCCTGTAATCCCAGCTACTCAGGAGGCTGAAACAGGAGAACTGTTTGAACTAGGGAGTCGGAGT
Organism: Homo sapiens; assembly: GCF_000001405.40. Classification (NCBI taxonomy): domain Eukaryota; kingdom Metazoa; phylum Chordata; class Mammalia; order Primates; family Hominidae; genus Homo; species Homo sapiens. Next base: position 37,284,501 of record NC_000020.11, on the reverse strand, counting down.
TTGCAGTAAACCAATATTGCGCCACTGCACTCCAGCCTGGGTGACAGAGCAAGACTCCATCTCAAATAAAAATAAAAAAATAAAAAAAAACATTTTTTGAACAAAGAAACTATCTTGGAAGTGGATTCTCTAGACCCAGGCACCTCAGCAGACACCACATGGGGCAGAGATGGGCCCAGGAGATGGAGCCCTCCGAGAGAGAATATCAAGTTCATAGAATGGGAACCCAGCTAGTATTTGTCACTTGGGCTGCCCAGCATCTGAGACCCCATTTGTGGGAATCCCAAGAAGCAGGGAGATAATGGCAGACGAATGGGAGGGACACGCTCCCCTCAATTCCTGCTGGAGCATGGACACTGGACCTAACCATGACCAGCCAGAAGCCTGACTCCAGACTCCGAATCTGGAGGTAGAAAGGCCAGCTGGAAGGGTTGGTCAGAGACAGTGGTAAGTCCAGAGTCCAGGGCCTTGTTCAGAGCAGGTGGCTGTCAGTCCAAGATCTGATCATGCCTGACTTGGGTGGTTCCTGCCTGAGCCAGGTATCACAGTGTTCCCAGCAACTCCTTCTCACCTTACGCTCAGCTCCAGCATGAAGCCAAGAATGCTGAGTGCGGTGGATCCCACTGAGTCCAGAATGCAGGACCACAAGGAGAGGCCTCTCTTCTCCGGGCAGTGGGGACATTCTCCATGTGCCAGAAAGGTCAGCGATAAGTTCATCTTAGAGGCAACAGGGCCCAGGCAGCAGTGGAGACTCGCCACATTCTGGATTCTTTATTTGGGCCTCCAGGAGGCTCATAGCAGATAAGCAACTTCAGTTGTTCAAGGCCTGCTCTCCTCCTGCTTTCTACAAGGTGTGGACTCAGGGCTGGATTCCACACTCAGATATCTGTAAATCTACAGGGCTCAGGTCTGCTGCAAAGGAGGATAGGCTCACGTTGCCACCCTGGCCTCACTAGGGAGGGCATCAAACAGAATTTCCATCAGAAGAGGGATCACTTGCCAGAACTACACAGGGTCTACCCTTCCCAGGAAAATCAAACACCTTGATCTGTTCTTGAGACCCAAGATTTCCCATGGTTGTGAAACCTGAAAAGCTTCATTCAGCAGACACTTATTGAGCACTAACTGTATGTCAGAAAAATCCTAGGGACAATATCTTGGACTCCAGTTGGGGGAGATGGGCATAGAAACAAACTAAGATAATAGGATATTGTGAGAAGTGTGTGCGGTGCCAGGAAAACCCAGAACATCAGATTCTGTCTTGGTGATCAGGGAAGGCTTCCCAGAATAGGTGGCTTTCAGTCTCCAGCAGAAGGGTACAGCAGCAGCAAAGGCCAACGCCGGGACTTACACTCCCAGTGCACCCCAAAAAGAGACTCCAGAACTTCATCTCTCTAAAGCATTTCAGTCCCAGAGGCAGCACAAAGCTCACCCACATCCAGCATCTGGATGGCTTTAATTACCTCCACATTTACTAAGTGCCCCATTACACTTAGCTCTAACTGACAGCACAGTTGACACCCTGGGTTAAATTCACACTAAATATCCAATCATACACAGCACAAGCAGAATCACTTGTCCCGGGAAGGCACTTTTCCAGTTGAATAACGATGGTGCCTTTTAATTGTATGATGTTTTTCCTCTTGAGAGACTTTAAGCCAGACCAGCGCTCCCAGAGGGAGACAGAAACTGGGTGTCATCATCTCCATTTTGTAGTTGGATGAACTCAGGAAAGAAATCTGGCCCTGGCCACATAAGCTGGAATCTTACTCCTCCTTCAGGGCCCAGCTCAAATTACCTCCGCCTTGAAGATTCTTCGGTTCCTTCATCAGAATTTCCAGGCAGCATATGATGTTGGAAGAAGCTCTGGCTTAGGAAAAATGGCTGAGGCCTCACTGCACACAGACCCTGTGATGGATACCTGACCTGCGTTTGCTCACCTGATCCAGCAATCCCAAGGGAGCGTTTCCATGTCACACCTAAGGAAATGGAGGTATTGAGAAGCTGAATGATGGGTCTAGGATTACATAGTAATAACTGTTAAACCCAGGATTCAAAGCAAGATCTCTAAGCCCACTGTCTTAACCACGCACAATCCTGATCCATTCATTCATTCATTTAACAGGTATTTATTGAGCACCTGCTATATACTTAGTACTTTCTAGGAGTATAGTCCTTGCTAGGGATGAAGGAGTGAGGAAAACATAGTCCCTGCCCTAACAAAGGTTACTGTCTAGCAAGGAAGACAGATTTAAAATACTTCCATAAATGATTATTTAATTCCATATCAGGCAACGTTAGAAGAATTTAACTGAACTAGTTAAGACACTAGTGTGGCAGAAGAGGAAATCAGGTCGCTGGATGGCTCTGTGTTTTCTCTAATTCAGGGGTCAGTCATCTCTTCCTTTTTTCTTATATTCTGTAGCTAAGCAATGCCTGAAGATGCCAACGTTTGCTTTGGGAACTTTCACAGGTCATGTCCCTCTCTGAATCACAACTTTTCTAGCTGTTAAATGAGGATGAAAATAGCAGAAGACTAGGAGCAACCCAAATATTTATCAACAGGGGACTGCTTAAATGGTGATACATCTACACTATGGAACAGACTCTTAAAAACCATAAGGCGGCTGGGTGTGGTGGCTCACGCCTATAATCCCAACACTTTGGGATCTGCCCAAGGTGAGCAGATCACTTGATGTTGGGAGTTCGAGACCAGCCTGGCCAACATGGTGAAACCCCATCTCTACTAAAAATACAAAATTAGTGCTCACCTGTGATCCCAGCTACTCAGGAGGCTGAGGCATGAGAATCACTTGAACCTAGGAGGCAGAGTTTGCTGTGAGCCAAGATCACACCACTGCACTCCAGCCTGGACAACAGAGTGAGAGTCTGTCTCAAATTTTTAAAAAATTAAATTAAAAAATAAAAAGCATAAGGCAACTCTAAACGCTGGAGAAGGATCCCTAAGACAGACTGCGTGAAGGAAGCAAGGTACTGAGCAGTGGGGATGGAACCTGCCATATGTGTAAATAACAAAGGTGAAAGGTTTAAAAAAAAACCTTTTATATGTGTAGGCTGTCTCAGCAAGTCGGTAAGGAAGCACAAGAAACAGATCACGGGACCCCGCCCCCCACCCCGGCCCAGGGAGGAGACCTGGACACAGAGTCATTCAGAGACTCACTCTGAACATGCACCATTTTGTACCTTTTGAATTTTGCCTTCTGTGCGTGTTCCTTCTCAAAACAATCAATTCAAGAAAATTTTAATACAACACTTCGATGATGATAAAAATGCAGTCAGGTCCTGGCGAGGTGGCTCACACCTGTAATCCCAGCACTTTGGGATGCCAAAGAGGGTGGATCACCTGAGGTCAGGAGTTCGAGACTAGCCTGACCAACATGGTGAGACTCTTCTAAAAACGCAAAATTAGCTGGGCATGGTGGCGCATGCCTGTAATCCCAGCTACTCGAGAGGCTGAGGCAGGAGAAGCGCTTGAACCCGGGAAGCGGAGGTTGCAGTGAGCCGAGACGGCGCCATTGCAGTCCAGCCTGGGCAACAAGAACAAAATTCCATCTAAAAACAAACAAACAAATGAACAAAAAAAACGCAGCAAAATAGCCCTGCTCATATCAGCTACCTCTTGGGGTTATTGTTAGTTTCAAAGGAGAGGTCAGATGTGGCAGCCTCTTGGAAAATCTAAAACAATTATTCTTTGCTCCTAATGAGGTGAGAGAGGAATAAGGGTCCAAACCGAAAACAGGAGAAAAAAGGGGGAAAAGACAAGAGAAACAAAGAAGCTGTTCATACGCAGAACAGCCCACAGAGCAAAAATCCACGATTACTTTAGTGCCACTGAGACCCCAAGGCAGTTGTGCTACCTGCTTCTGTCTAGTCAGGTGCCAGGTTGCCATGGTAATGTAATAACTCCGTGATAAGCTTATTTTTTATTCTGAAAACATTGTTTTAAAAAGCCAGTAGCTGCAGATGGGCAACAGCGAGCAAAGAATGTGCTATGTGAGAGGCAGGAGCCGCGTGAACCCCCCACCCCCGCCCTGAAAACTGCCAGGGTTGGCCTAAAGCAAAAGGTTGCAAACCTGAGCACGCATCTGAACCTCCTGAAGGGCTGATTAAAACATAGATGGTTGTGCCCTACCCTAATCAGTTCCTGATTCAATAGAGCTGGGGTGGGGTACGTCTACCAAGTGCCCGGGAGGTGCAGATGGTGCTGACTGGGGACCACATTTGGAAAACCACTGTCCTATCTGATCTCTAAAAGCCTGTCCAACTCAGGATTCTGTGGGCTGTGGGCCCCAGCTCTTACTTGCCCTGAGGACATCATGCCCTCCACTGGCCCCCTATGTAAACTAAGAGCTACGACATCCTAACAGGAGAGCACAACGTGGGCGGTAAGGTAGGCCAAAGCACCTGGTGGGCCAAGGGGACAGAGGGCAGTTTCCAAGGCTGAGGCCAGTGCCTCACAAAGGCAACTGCCTGGGAAGATTGGCCAGCCTTTCAGCTGCCTTTGCCAGAACTCTCTCATGGGGCCAGTTAACTGGGTGTGATGGCCAACAGGTGCCACCGAGCCAGAGGAGAGGTGGCTGCCAGTCAAGGATGTAGTTCCGGGCCAGGCACGGTGGCTCACGCCTGTAATCCTAGCACTTCGGGAGGCTGGGGCAGGCAGATCACTTGAGGTCAGGAGTTCTTGACCAGCCTGGCCAACACGATGAAACCCTATCACTACTAAAAATGCAAAAATTAGCTGGGGGTGGTGGTGCATGCCTGTAATTCCAGCTACTCAGGAGGCTGAGGCAGGAGAATCACTTAAACCCAGGAGGCAGAGGTTGCAGTGACCCAAGATCACGCCACTGTACTCCAGCCTGGGGGACAAGAGCGAAACTCCATCTCAAAAAAAAAAAAAAAAAAAAAAAAGGAATGTAGCTCGGCAAGGGTCAGAGCTGGCTGGAGAGGATTTAACAGAAATGACAGAAGCCAAAGCCACATCTTCAGGCACTGATTTACCTTGATGGGATCCTGATTCCCCACCGAGAGATGGGCGGGACAAGTCTCAACACCCAGCCCCATCCAACACGTGCAGCAGGCTGAGTGAGAAAGCTGGCCGCGGGGCAAGAACACCATATTAATGGCAAGCCCTTGGAATTCAGGAATTCTTGTACGTTCAACAAATATTTCGAGTCCCAGCTATGCACCAGGCACTATGCTAGGTGACACATACGTGGGTGAAAAAGCAAGATACCGCCGCACCCTCATGGAACCTACATTTAAGTCAAAACAGATGTTATTCCATTAATCAGATCATTTATACAACTGTGGCTGTGTAAGTGAAGATCTTATTTAGGGGTAAAGGGGCAAGATATCTGCAAATTATGCTTAAGAGGTTCAGAAAAAACAATCATATATTATATGTATATAGGTATGATTACATATAATCTATACGTATACATATAAAGAGACAGGGAGAGAGAATCACAAAGGAAATGTGACAAAATGTTAACAATTGTTGAGTCTGGGAGTTTTTACAATTTTTTGTGTTTTTTTTTTTTTTGAGACAGAGTTTCACTCTGTCGACCAGGCTGGAGTGCAGTGGTGCAATCTCGGCTCACTGCAACCTCCACCTCCTGGGCTCAAGAGACCCTCCCGCCTCAGCATCTCAAGTCTCTGGGACTACAGGTGTGCACCACCATGCCTAGTTAATTTTTTGTACTTTTTTGTAGAGATGGGGTTTTACCATGTTGGCCAGGCTGGTCTTGAACTCCTGGGCTCAAGTGATCTACCCACCTTGGCCCCCCAAAGTGCTGGGCTTAGAAGAGTGAGCCACCGCACCCAGCCAGGAGTTCTTTTTATTTTTATTTAATTTTAAAAATTAAATAAAATTTAATTTAATTAAGTTAAAGATAATTTAAGCCAGGCACGATTGCTCACACCTGTAATCCCAGCACTTTGGGAAGCCAAGGCAGGTGGATTGCTGGAGCCCAGAAGTTCGAGACTAGCTTGGGCCACATGGTGAAACTCCTTCTCTACAAAAAATATGCAAAAAATTGCTAGGCGCGGTGGCTCATGTCTGTAATCCCAGCACTTTGGGAGGCCGAAGCGGGAGGATCACGAGGTCAGGAGATTGAGACCATCCTGGCTAAAACGGTGAAACCCCGTCTCTACTAAAAATACAAAAAATTAGCCGGGCATGGTGGCGGATGCTTGTAGTCCCAGCTACTCAGGAGGCTGAGGCAGGAGAATGGAGTGAACACGGGAGGCAGAGCTTGCAGTCAGCCGAGATCACGCCACTGCACTCCAGCCTGGGCAACAGAGCGAGACTCCATCTCAAAAAAAAAAAAATATATATATATATATAAAATTAACCGGGTATGGTGGTGCATGCCTGGAGTTCCAGCCACTCAGGAGACTGAGGTGGGAGAAGCACCTGAACCCTGGAAGTTGAGGCTGCAAAGCCGAGATTGTGCCACTGCACCCCAGCCTGGGTGTCGGAGTGAGACTGTATCTCCATAAATAAATAAATAAAATTCATTTAATTTAAATTATTTAATTTTTGAAATATTATTTTTTTAGAACCAGGGTCTCGCTGTGTTGTGCAGGCTGGAATGCTGCGGCAGTCATAGCTCACTGCAGCCTTGAACTCCTAGGTCAAGCAGTCCTCCCACCTTAACCATCAAGTAGCTGGGACTACAGGCTCGTGCCATCACAGCCAGCTAATTTGCTTGCTTTGTTTTTTGTAAAGATGAGGTCTCGCTATGTTGCCCAGGCTGGTCTTGAACTCCTGGGCTCAAGCGATCCACCCACCCGGGCTTCCCAAAGTGCTGGGATTACAGGCGTGAGCCACCGCACCTGGCCTATAGAGGTTTTTGTATTATTCTTGCAACTTTTCTAAAAGCTCAATGTTGTTTCAAAATTAGACATTTTTTTAGAAACATGTAAATCACATAATACACATAAATTCATTAAATACATTAAAGAATGATAAAATCACATAAATACATTAAGAATGATAACAGTGAGGAGCACTATTTTTTAAAAGTGACTAATGACGTAAGAACTTAAAATGGAGTGGTTTGTCTTATCAGAAGGCCAAGGAGGGCTTCCTGGAGGCAACACATTTAAGCTAAGGTCTGAGTGGAAGTTGATCGGGGGAAAGAGCTGCCTTCCAGGGAGAGGACACAGCAGAGGCCATGCAGCAAGAAAGAACAGAGCACCTTGGAGGAACTGAAAAAAGAAATCAGAGCAGCTGGAGCCAAGAGCCACACAGCCCCTCCTTCCTCACGTGATGATGAGCCGGACAGAGGGCAAGGTGTCAGGAAAGGGCTTCTCTTCTGGCCCAGGATGGGGTCTGTTTTGTTTTTCCTCTGCCCTTTCGGGTTCAAGTTCTTCTGCAACTTCCTCTGGCTCCCCTCCAATCTCAAGTTCTTCAGACTCTGCTCAAATGCAGTTCCCCAGGTCAAGGTCCCAGAATCCCAGCAACATATGGCAACTGGACCTGCCGGCTTTCACAGCCCCCTCCCCTTTAGCTCCATCTCAGCCCCACATCCCTGGTCCCCATCCGTCAACCCCTTTACCTGCCATTAAAATGAAACAAAACAACAAAAAAAAACACATTGGGCTGTTGTTTCAACTTATTTCTTCAATTTGCTTCCTGAGCCTCAGGCAGCTGGCTCCATCTGTGGACGGCTCTGTGCAGTTTCCACGTGCTCTCCGTCTACCATCCATTTCCAGAGAGCTCACGTAGTGCTGCGTTTCAGATTTCCTCTGGGGCGTCAGCCAAGAGCAACGCTGGGTGATTTTGTAGCATGAACCTGCATCATCAACACATGGCATCCTTCACCGAGGTTAGCCAAGTATTCTTTTTTTTGTTTGTTTGTTTTAAGACAGAGTCTCACCTGTTGCCCAGGCTGGAGTGTAGTGGTGTGATCTCGGCTCACTGCAACCTCTGCCTCCTGGGTTCAAGCGATTCTCCTGCCTCAGCCTCCCTAGTAGCTGGGATTACAGGCACGCGCCACCACACCCTGCTAATTTTTGTATTTTTAGTAGAGACGAGGTTTTGCCATGTTGGCCAGGTTGGTCTTGAACTCCTGATCTCAAGTGATCCACCCGCCTCGGCCTCCCAAAGTGCTGGGATTGCAGGGCACGAGCCACCGCTCCCGGCCTATCCAAGCATTTTGCAGATGCAGTGTAACATTGAGCCAAATCCTAGTAACGCTTTCTAAACCCCAGGAAGTAAGCACTGTTTCACTAGGTATTCACTGAATCAGAGAACTCGACTCTTAAAGGAAATGATGAGGTCTTATGGTCTAATACCCTCACTTTACAGACAGCTCAGGTAAGTCAAGGAATTTGCCCAAGGTCACAGAGCAATTTCATGGAGGAGCTGGACCAATATATATATTTTTTTTTTTAAGAAAAAGTCTCACTTTGTTGCCCAGGCTGGAGTGCAGTGGCACGATCTCAGCTCAATGCAAACTCCACCTCCACGGCTCAAGCAATTCTCGTGCCTTGGTCCCCCAAGTAGCTGGGATTACAGTGCTTGCCAACATGCCTGGCTAATTTTTGTATTTTTAGTAGAGACCACACCTGGCTAATTTATTTTTTTTTTCTTTTGAAATGGAGTCTTGCTCTTGTCACCCAGGCTGGAGTACAGTGGCACGATCTCGGCTTACTGCAGCCTCCACCTCCCAGGTTCAAGCTATTCTCCTGCCTCAGCCTCCTGAGTAGCTGGGATTACAGGCGCACGCCACCACGCCCTGCTAATTTTTGTACTTGTAGTAGATACGGGGTTTCGCCATGTTGGCCAGGCTGGTCTCAAACTCTTGACCTCAGGTGATCCGCCTGCCTCGGCCTCCCAAAGTGCTGGGATTAAAGGCATGAGCCACCGGCTAATTTTTGTATTTTTAGTAGAGACGGGGTTTCACCAGTCTGAGTCTCAAACTTCTGACCTCAAGTGATCCACCTGCGTCGGCCCCCCAAAGTGCTGGGATTACAGATGTAAGCCACTGCACCTGGTCTAGAAATCTGATTTCTTGATGCCTAGTAGAAGGTCAGTGTCCACAATAACCAGTTAATAATCAATGGACATGACCTCTCAGGAAGCTGGGATTCTGAATAGCAGCAACTGAAGAGCCTTTATCTAAGAAGTGAGCAGTTTGCACAGCCTTGTGGGAAATAAACCCCATGCCTCTATCTCATTGCATTTAGCAATACTGTATTTGTTGTGTTATTTTTATCCATTTGGTTTCACTCTAGCCCGGGTTCCTATTTCTCATTTATGACTAAAGACCCTCGCATGAGGAAAGGGGAAGTCAGAAAGAAAGAAGAGTCTTGTCTTTTGTACTCTGTAAACCTTTCCAGTCTTTTTTTTCTTCCTTTATAACATTTCCTTTCCAGAGCCAGACAAGCTTCTCAAATCTCCTGCATTTCCAACCCCCTGTTCGCCTTGGCTGTAATTATCTTGGGAAAATTTAAATTCCTTATCATGGCTTTGTGACAGTGCTGGCTCAAGATATACAAGCCCACTTCCATTCTGAGGTCTTGTCAGATTGTCCTCGATAGGTTTCCTTAATAGGAATTATTGTTAGATTTTTTTTTTAAAGTGTGATAATGGGATTGTGACTATGTCTAAAAAAGAGCCTTATCTTTCTGAGATACATACTGAAATATTTATCGATGAAATAATATGAAGTCTGTGGTTTTCTTCAATATATTCTAGTGGGAGAAGGAATGAAAAATAGGCTCACTTAATATGCTGGTCTCCCCTGCCTCTGTCCTGCAAGTTATTCTTTTTTTGTTTTTTTAGATGGAGTATCGCTCTGTCCCCCAGGCTGGAGTGCAATGACATGATCTCAGCTCACTGCAACCTGCCTCCCGGATTCAGGTGATTCTCCGGCCTCAGCCTCCCGAGTACCTGGGATTATAGGTGCCTGCCACCACACCCGGGTAATTTTTGTATTTTTAGTAGAGATGGGGTTTCACTACTTTGGCCAGGCTGGTCTCAAACTCCTGACCTCAGGAGATCCACCTGTCTCAGCCTCCCAAAGTGCTGGGATTGCAGGCGTGAGCCACCGCGCCTGGCCTCCTGCAAGTTCTTTTTGCTGCATCTTCCTCACCTCCACCCATTCACCCCCAATCTTTGAATCTGTTTATTTTGTGTCTGGGGACAGGATTTGCCTTTGGGAGACTCAGCCAAGAGAGTATGGGCACTGGAGCCAAAGAGACTTAGGTTCAAAACTCCAGCCTTACCCTGCTAAGCATAGTGGCCATGGACAAGTTATTTAATTGTCTGAGTCCCAGTTTCCCCATCTGCAAAGTGGAGATAATAAATTAAAAAACAACCAAACAGCTACTTTTCTAGTGTGTTCTTCTTGCCTCTTTCCTTCTCCTTTCCCTCCCCTCCCCTCCCCTCCTCTCCCCTCCCCTCCCCTTCTCTTCGCTTCTGCTTTTGACATGGGGAGTGGGTGTCTTGCTTTGTTGCCCAGGTTGGTCTCAAACTCCTGGCCTCAAGCAATCCCACCTTGGCCACCCAAAGTGCTGGGCTTACAGGTGTGGCCCAGCACACCTGGCCTCTTTTTCTAATTCTGCCTCCACGTGCCCTGAAGATTCGTAAGCAGTCTACAGTCTTCTAATACCTCTTTGCTCTTCAAAGTCTCAGCCAGACGTGGTGGCTTATGCCTGTAATCCCAGCATTCTGGGAGGCCGAGGCTGGCAGATCACCTGAGGTTGGGAGTTTGAGACCAGTCTGACCAACATGGAGAAACCCTGTCTCTACTAAAAATACAAAATTAGCCAGGTATGGTGGCGCATGCCTGTAATCCCAGCTACTTGGGAGGCTGAGGCAGGAGAATCGCTTGATCCCAGGAGGCAGAGGTTGCGGTGAGCCAAGATTGCACCATTGCACTTCAGCCTGGGCAACAAGAGCAAAACTCCCTCTCAAAAAAAAAAAAAAAAAAAAAAAAAAAAAAGCTCTCCCCTCAACTTCAACCACCTTCTCCAAGCTTCGGACAAGATCCAATACCTGTTACCCACATCCTCCTGGAGGTCACATGAGTGAAAAACTCAACTCATGCAAATTGGCTCTATTGTTCCTCCCCTCAACCCACTGCCCTGGTGCATCCTGATCAGCCCTTGAGGCCCCCCAGCCCATTCTCAACAACCTCTCCTTCACCTTCCTCATCCATCTACTGCAGGCCTGCGCCCCATTTTTCAGAGCCCTCTCAAATCCAGCGCCCCCACTCCCATGCTCCTTGCCCACCGCCCCCCCAAACCCCCAGCTCAGGCCTCCAGGATGGCTGGCCTGGACAGCTGTGAAAGCTTCCTCACTGGGCTTCTTCTCTCTAGCCTCTCGGGTCTCTGTTCCTCCCACCAGGCTGCTGGCAACATTTTCCTTCCAAAACCACCACTCCAGGGCTTGAAAGCCTCCAATGGACTCTCTCCATTGAGAACAAGACAGGTCCAAATTCCTTAGCATGGCATTTAACACCCTGCACAGCTTGGCCCTAATGCATTGTTCCAGATTCATCCACATTTCTTGCCGCTGAAGCCACAGGCCCGAGTTTCCCAGTCTGTGGGACCTCGCACCTGTACCAGAATCACTTGAGGCCCTAGTTAAAAATTCAGAACCCTGGGCCCTACCCTGGACAACTGAATCTGGGGTCCAGGTCCGAAGCCCAGAAAGATGTGAGGACCCTCACTCCAGCCACACCAAATAATTTGTTGTTCACTAACCAGGCCTCCAAGCCTTTGCTCAGGCTGGATTAATTTTTCCTCTTTCTTCAAGATCCAGCTTAAAAGTCACATCCTGGCCGGGCACAGTGACTCACGTCTATAATCCCGGCACTTTGGGTGGCTGAGGCAGGTGGATTGCTTGACCCCACAGGTTCTAGACCAGCCTGGGCAACATGGAGGAACCCCGTTTCTGCAAAAAATACAAAAGTAGCCTGGCATGGTGGCACGTGCCTGTAGCCCCAGCTACTCAGGAGGCTGAGGTGGGGGAATCACCCAAGCCCAGGAGGCAGAGGTTGCAGTGAGCCCAGATCATGCCACTGCACTCCAGCCTGGGTGACAGAGTGAGACCTTGTTTCCAAAAAAAAGGAGCCAGACGAGGTGGCTCACACCTGTAATCCCAACACTTTGGGAGGCTGAGGGGGGTGGATTATTTGAGGTCAGGCATTCAAGACCAGCCTGGCCAACATGGTGAAACCCCATCTCTGCTAAAAATACAAAAATTAGCCGGGCGGTAGTGACGCGCACCTGTAATCCACTACTCCGGAGGCTGAGGCAGGAGAATCGCTTGAGCCCGGGAGGCGGAGCTTGCAGTGAGCCAAGATCGTGCCACTGCACTCCAGTCTGTGCGACAGAGTGAGAGCTTGTGCCCCCCTCCCAAAAAAAAGTTACATCCTAGGCAAAGCCTTTCCTGCTCCTTAGCAGGGTGAAGGCCACACCCACTCTGCTCCCACAGCTCCTTGTATGCACCTCGATTATAGACTGTGTATATCACACTGTGTAATTATCTGTTTGCCCACTTGTCTAGCTAGGATGAAAATTGCACCAAAGCAAGTCCACAGAATGCCTGGAGCCCCCAACTCGGTGAATGGCACATAGCGGCACTTGATAAATATCAGTTCATTTGAATTGTGCTTTACACTTCCTTGGCTCCTGGACACCAAACACAGCACTTAGCACCTGATGGGTATTATTACATCGATATCTGATGGATAAATTATCAAAGGATGGAAGGAGGCAGGAATAAAAGACAAAATATGCCAATAAATTAATGATGACTTTTCATCATCAATTAATATCCTGGAATGTTTGTGCATGCCTGGGACCATCTCTCACCTGAAGGACGTGGCAATTGGGTCAGAGATCAGATGGATCCTGGGACTTCTGGCTCCAAGTTCACGGGTGAAATCAGCAGACCAAAGTTCTGATGTTAATCAGAAATGTCACTATCACCATGACAAGTGCAAATGTAAAGTGCAGTGCCATCTTCCATTGCAGTGTCCTCACTTGTCACCTTTATCACTCCACCTCGCAGGACCCACATGGACCCTGCTGATACCAATCCATGGGAAATCAAGCTGGCAGAAATTAGCCCTGGGCTGCTGAGGCAGGGTCAGGGATAGCACTGTTCCGGGGCAGGCGAGCTTGTCTGGAGGCAGGCAAGCCCCACTCCTAACCCCGGCCTCTCCATGTACCGTCTGTATGAGATTGGACGAGTTACCCAATATCTCCAAGACTCAGCTTCTTCCACCATGAAATGAGAGCACTATGTGTTCCTAAGGCTCAAGGTTGTTGAATGAGATGAGATCACGTATGTTACGTGACTGGCATGTAGATGTTACTGCTAGACTGCGGAAATCCAGGACAGCTAGACTCCGTGAGTCATTGGGTGGTGGTGACTGGGGCTGACCCCAGGGGGACAGGAGCTAGGCAGGGAGCCAGGTCTCACTCAGCCATGGATTCCAGGTTCTGGGCCTTAGAAGAGGTTCCAGCTTCAACAGGGCCCAGCCACTGGGGAGTCAGGAGCTGGGGGCCTGGGTGTGGAGGCTGCTCTTCCTTCTGCTCTGTGGCCTGGGTGTTCAGGGACTAAACCAGGCAGGGTGGGAAAGGCCCAGAGAGTGGGAGCTCCAGACCCTAGAGGGAAACCCCAATGACTCTGCTTCTAGTCTGGAGTGAGGGCCGTTTGGCCCTGACTCAAACCTGAGTTTGCTGCAGTCGAGGCTATTAGGGTTCCTTTAACTGCACTGTAACCACAGAGGGGAAGTAAGACCGTGAGATAACCTGGCTCTGACATGGGAAGTAGAAACTGGAAGCTGAAGTCCCAAGCAGGCCTTGACTTTTGCCTGTGGACACTCAAATCATGGGAATTCTTCTCACTGTGTCTGCAGGTCCTGTTGTCACTAAGATCCCCCAACTCAGAGATTCCAAGCGAGGGCGGTCCTCCCTGTAGACACCCCCTCCTTGCTGGTCTGAGCTCTTCTTGCCTGATGAGCCAGGCTGAGGGAGACTCTGTAGGATGCACTTCCTTTTTTTTTTTTTTTTGAGACAGAGTCTTGCTCTGTTGTCCTAACTGGAGTGCAGTGGCATGATCTCGGCTTACTGCAAACTCCGCCTCCCAAGTTCAAGTGATTCTTCTGCTTTAGCCTCCCACGTAGCTGGGATTACAGGCGCATGCCACCAAGCTCAGCTAATTTTTGTATTTTTCGTAGAGATGGGGTTTCACCATGTCGCCGAGGTCGGTCTTGAACTCCTGGCCTCAAGTGATCCACCCACCTCAACCTCCCAAAGTGCTGGTATTATAGGCATGAGCCATTGCGCCTGGCCAGATGCCCTTTCTCCTGTGGGCTTTCTCCTGAGATCCTGGGGCAGGGCTGGGCTTGGGGCAGGGCTGGGCTTGGGGATCACACAGTCTTCCCTATCTGGAAACATAGCTGAGAACCCAGGGCAGCAACGGTCAGGGAAAGATGGGAGGAGGCGCAGGTTGAGTGGCCGATGAAAAGGTGGCATGACAAACTTGACCTGACCCTTTCGTAGTCCTGGGATTTCACAGCGAACAAAGCCCCACAGGCGGGGCCTCTGGCATTTGGTAGCAAAACCTGACAACTCCAATGACTGGGGAACAGCGACATCTCCCGGCTGTCTGAGGCCATGGCCCTCCTACCTGATCAGAATCCCGGGCATTTAGACACCAGGGTGCCTAATGCCTTTAGAATCCTCACAGATTTTAGCCTTTGATTCAATTGGTCCAGAGTGGAGCCTGACATTCTGCATTCCTAACAAGCCCCCAGGTGCTGTCAATACTGCTGGTCTATGGACCACACTTTGATTAGAAAGCTTTAGAGGGCTCAAAGATTTGGTCCCAGGCATCCCAAGGGTCTCAGGAAAGGAGACAATTTTCTGCATATAAAATTATAAAATCACTCAACCACAGGCAAGGCCAGGGAGGGAGGATGCTTCTTGAAGAGATGGCCTCCAAGGGGGCTTTTGAAGTATGGTCATATCTTCACCAGGGAAAGGTTACCCGAGGATCAGCTGGGGACAGCCTCCTATGCAGCAGGCGTGGCACCTGCACCAAGTCTACCAACTCAAAAAACAACCTGGTTAGTGTGCCTAATTGACTTGTGGCAGGCCCAAAGATTCCAAGCAAGGTGAATGTTTAAAATACTCATGGGCCAGGTGCAGTGGCTCACGCCTGTAATCCCAGCGCTTTGGGAGGCCGAGGCAGGCAAATCACTTGAGGTCAGGAGTTCAAGACCAGCCTGGCCAACATGGTGAAACCCTGTCTCTACTAAAAATACAAAAATTAGCTGGGCATGGTGGCTTGTGCCCATAGTCTCAGCTACTTGGGAGGCTGAGGCAGGATAATTGCTTGAACCTGGAAGGCGGAGGTTACAGTGGGCAGAGATCGCGCCACTGCACTCCAGCCTGGGTGACAGAACGAGACTGTCTTAAAAAAAAAAAAAATTAGTGCCGGGTGCGGTGGCTCACGCCTGTAATCCCAGCACTTTGGGAGGCTGAGGTGGGTGGATCACCTGAGGTTGGGAGTTCGAGACCAGCCTGGCCAACATGGTGAAATCCCATCTCTACTAAAAACACAAAATTAGTCTGGCATGGTGGTGCACGCCTGCAATCCCAGCTACTGGGGAGGCTGAGGCAGGAGAATCGCTTGAACTCGGGAGGTGGAGGTTGCTGTGAGCTGAGATCATGCCATTGCACTCCAGCCTGGGCAACAAGAGCTAAACTCCATCTCAAAAGAAAAAAAAAATTAAAATACTCGTGGGAGTAACATTTCCAAGGAACCCAGAGTTGCTTCATTGATTTGCTAAGTACAATCAACCTCATCTCTTCATTAAAAGAGCTCTTCTAATGACTTTCCCAGATGCAGACTTTTTGAGAAAGAAATGAAGCTCTGAGCTGCCATCCAATCACAGGCCCTTCTGTTTGGGTAGGACCCTGTGAAGCAGGGGAAAGGACCACATCATCTCCATTTTACAGAAGAGGAAACTGACACTCAGGGAGGTTAAGTGACTTTGCCTGAAGCCACCTAGCAAGCCCACACCACTTAAACCTGGTCTCCTCTGACACAGTACCCTGGAGCACTCAGACACCTGCTGCTGCTGATGCCACAAAAACAGGCCTAGAAGGGCAAGTGGGGAGGGTCAAGAGAATCTGGGAGTCTGGGGTCCAGGCCTCTGGATCCTTGCACAGTGGCCTTGGACTGGGAACACTGCCATCAACCAGGGAGGGGGATGAAAGCAGCTTTTACAAAGCAGGGTCTGAGGTCCTCAGACAGGCCCCCTTTGTGGACTTCCTTTCCCTCCCCACCCCCATGCCGGCTGCCAGTAGCATCGCCCTCATTGAATGGCTGGCTTGCACACACTGGAAATTTGCAACACAAATGCACGGCTTGTCTCCCTCTCCACAGAGCCTCACTGCCCCAGCCTTTTGGGGCCTTTTAAAGTCTGCCTTTCTCTGGGGTACTTTCTTTCTTCAGCTCAAGCCCCCAGCCCTAGATGCAGCCACAATCACTAATTAACGCTGGGTTAAAACACGTCCTGGGAAAGTGAGCTGGGCGGCCACCGAGGCGTTCTCATCATCACTCAGAGGACAAGGACAAGGCGGCGGTGGGAATCGGTGGAAGGGGCTGGGTTTTCATTCTCCGGGTTCTTTCTGGCTCCCCATCCTCCCCCACCCCCCGCCCCACTATGCTCTTTCTCAGTGGGTTTGAGAATTTACTGCAAATAAAGCCTGTCACCAAGATGGCTCCCAGCCCTCCCCGCCACCAGGCTGCCACCAAGCAGCCCGTTTTTTCAGAGCTCAGCTCTGAAAAACTACAATAACTGCTACCATTTGCCAAGACACTTACATATCAGACACCAACATGCATATTTCTTTTTCTTTCTTTCTTTTTGTGGAGACGGGGGTCTCACTGTGTTGCCCAAGCTGGTCTCGAACTCCTGGGCTCAAGCAACCTGCCTGCCTCTGCCTCCAAGTGTTGGGATTACAGGTGTGAGCCACCGCATCCGGCCAAGCATATTTCTGGTTCTCACAACAACCTGGAGTGGTAGTTCTTATCACCTCCATTGTACAGATGTAGTAACTGAGGCTCAGAGAGATTAAGGGATTGACCTTGCCTAGAATCTCACATGGGGCAAATGGCAGAGTTGGTTTCAAATCCAAATCCATTTGCTCCCATTTTAAGCTTCTCCCTACTCCTGTCTGACGATGAACTCCTGGGTTTACATGACTTCTCCCTTCTCTCGATTCTTGGAACATTTATACTGATACTGTGTCCCTCTCTGCATTTATACTGATACTGTGTCCCTCTCTGGATCTACCTGCCCAGGGTAATGACTCAGCTTCCTCCTGTAGCTCTTTGAAGACAAGCACTGTGTCCAAACACTCTGCGTTCCTCATAGCACCCAGAAGATGCTATGCAGAGGGGAGAGAGCCACCCCACTCCCCTAACTGCAGAAAAGGGACTAAGCCCCTCGGAGATGGACAGCTAATCCAGCAAGCTCTACGTGGGCCTAATTAGTTGCTTAAGAGGGGTTTGTGGGATGAGGAAATAAATGCTCATTTAAGAAATTCGGGGGCAGACCCCCATCGCTGCTGGGGGGAAAGTCAATGGTACAGCCATTGTGGAAAAGACTGGCAGTTTCTTAAAAAGCTAAACCCTCATTATATGACCCAGTGATTCCCCTCCTAGGTACCCACCCAAGATTAATGAAAACATGTTCACACAAGGTCTCCTACTGAAATATTCATAGCAGTTCAGGCAGGGTGACTCACACCTGTAATCTCAACACTTTGGGAGGCCGAGGTGGGAGGATCACTTGAACCCAAGAGTTTGATAGAGAGAGACCCTGGGCAATATAGAGAGACCCCATTGCTACAAAAAAATTTTTTTTAATTAGCTGGGCGCAGCGGATCACGCCTGTGGTCCCAGCTACTCAGGAGGCTGAGGTGGGAGGATCACTTGAGCACAGGAAGTCAAAGCTGCAGCGAGCTGAGATTGTGCCACTGCACTCCAGCCTATGTGACAGCAAGACCCTGTCTCAAAAAAAAAAAAAGTTCGTAGCAGCATAATTCATACTAGCCCCAAACTGGAATCAACCCAAATGTCCATCAAGGTGAATGGGTAAACAAACAGTCATACATCCATACAATGGAATAAAAAGGAACAAACTATTAATACCTGGATCAACATGGATGAAGGTCAAACATTATGCTGAGTGAAAGAAGCCTGACACCAAAAAGTGCGTATTTTATTTGATTTATTATGATTTACTCATCATATAAAAGATTCCATTTATAGGAATTTCCTAGCAAAGGAAAAACTGTAAGACAGCAGATTAGGGGTTGCCTAGGGCAGGGGGCAAGAGTGGAGACTGAGAGCAAATGGGCTAGAGGGAATTTTTGGAGGGACAGAAGCATTCCAAAACAGGATTGTGGCAATGGTGGCACCACCGTATAAATGTATGAAAGCTCATGGAGCCATAGACTTAAAACCAGTGAGCTTTATGATATGTTAACTCTTTTTTGTTTGTTTATTTGTTTTTTAGATGGAGTCTCCCTCTGTCGCCCAAGATGGAGCACAGTGGCGCGATCTTGGCTCCCTGCAACCTCCACCTCCCTGGTTCAAGCAATTCCCCTGCCTCAGCCTCCCGAGTAGCTGGGATTACAGGCGCATGCCACCACGCCCGCCTAATTTTTTTGTATTTTTAGTAGAGACAGGGTCTCACCATGTTGGCCAGATTGGTCTCGAACTCCTGACCTCAGGCAATCCGCCTGCCTCGGCCTCCCAAAGTGCTGAGATTACAGGTGTAAGCCACCACGCCCGGCCAAACTGTTGAAGTTCTTTTTAAAAAAAAAAAAAAAAAAATTAGAACTGGTAGGCCCAGGAAGGGCCTTAGTGTGGGGCAAACAAATTGGAAATCAGAAAACTTTTTTTTCCTTTTTTTTTCAATAGAGACAAGGTGTCACTCCATTGCCCAGGCTGGAGTACGGAAGCACGAACATAGCTCACTGCAGCCTCTAACTCCTGGGCTCAAGTGATCCTCCTGCCTCAGCCTCCTGAGTAGCTGGGGCTGTAAGGAAGTCAGAAAACATGTTTGAGTCATAGCTCTTCCAGCTACTGACTAGCTCTGTGGCTGTGGCTGAGCACGTAACCTTTCATGCCTGTTTCCTCATTTACCGCAATGACAAGAACAGCAATTATCAAAGCTAAATTGTGAGCTCTGCCCTATGCCAGGTCTGCCCTTTATGCAATGTCACAATAATTCTCACCCAAGAGCCTCATAAGTTGAGCTCTATCACTCCCATTTTACAAATAAGAAAACTGAGATAGGGCGTGAAGTCTGTAGCACAATGCCTGGCACAGAGTTTCAACCGAGGCTGGATTCTGAGCCCCATGGCTTCTCCGGCCAACTCCATGTAACCTGCATCTGTGCCCTGGACCAGCGTCCACTCTGGGTGCCCAGCTCTGCATGGTCCCCACTTTGCATTTCCAGGAGTTACCCCACACTTCCTGACTGTGCGAGAGCCCATAGCCCTGGGGCTCCCAACTGCTTCGTCTGCTCCCTGCTGCTGTGACCTGCACTTTTTTTTTTTAAATAATATTTGAGTTCTGGCCAGGACAACATAGTGAGATCTCATCTCTACTAAAAATAAACAAAATTAGCTGGGCATGGTGGCGTGCAACTGCAGTCCCAGCTACTCAGGAGGCTGAGGTTGGGGACTGCTTGAGCCTAGGAGGTCAAGGCTGCAGTGAGCTGAGATCTCACCACTACACTCTAGCCTGAGCGAGACCCTGTCTCCAAAAAATTAAGTAAATAAAATAATAATAATAATAATTAATTTAAAGCTATCAACCCATTTATTTTTATTTTTATTTTTATTTATTTATTTATTTTATTTATTTTTTTGAGACGGAGTCTCACTCTGTCACCCAGGCTGGAGTGCAGTGGCACCATCTTGGTTCACTGCAAGCTCCGCCTCCTGGGTCCTGAGCCATTCTTCTGCCTCAGCCTCCCGAGTAGCTGGGACCACAGGCACCCACCACCACGCCCGGCTAATTTTTTGTATTTTTAATAGAGACGGGATTTCACCATGTTAGCCAGAATGATCTCGATCTCCTGACCTCGTGAGCCGCCCGCCTCAGCCTCCCAAGGTGCTGGGATTACAGACGTGAACCACCACGCCCTGTTTTTATTTATTTTTTTTTTTGAGACAGAGTCTCACTCTGTTGTTCAAGCTGAAGTGCAGCGGCGCCATCTCGGCTCACACCAACCTCTGCCTCTGGGGCTTAAGCTATTCTTGTGCCTCAGCCTCCCCAGTAGCTGGGATTACAGGCACATGCCACTACACCCAGCTAATTTTTTTGTATTTTAGTAGAGACGGGGTTTCACCATGTTGCCCAGAGTGGTCACGAACTCCTGAGCTCAGGCAGTCCGCCTGCCTCGGCCTCCCAAAGTGCTGGGGTTACAGGCATGAGCCACCGCACCTGGCCACTATCAGCCCATTCTTAATCCTTGGGGATCTGGCCTGACCTGACCACTTCGTATCCTGGCCAGCAAGGTGACATACCACTCAAGCCTTGCTTCTATGAGAAACATCTCATATTTGCTAGATGCCAAGAACATGGCTCAGTGCAGGCTAAGAAGGAGAACCACAAAATAGTGTTGCTAAGGGGACTCTTGGAAATTACTGGCTTGTAATTGTGACCCATCGAGGTACCTCAGGGATAGGCAAGGGGGTCTCCACTTCCCCCTCTTCAACCAGAGTAGCCCCATATTAAAAACCTGTCTCTGTAGGTTTCCAAAGAAAGAGTTTTGCTACTTTTTAAAAAATGTTTGGGCTGGGTGTGGTGGCTCACACCTGTCATCCCAGTGCTTTGGGAGGCAGAAGCACGTGGATCACCTGAGGTCAGAAGTTTGAGACCAACCTGGCCAACATGGTGAAATCCCATCTCTACTAAAATACAAAACTTAGCCAGGCGTGGTGGTACGCACCTGTAATCCCAGCTACTCTGGAGGCTAAGGCAGGAGAATCATTTGAACCCGGGAGGTGGAGGTTGCAATGAGTCGAGATTATGCCACTGCACTCCAACCTGGGTGGCAAAGATAGGATCCCTCTCAAAAAAATAGTTTGAAAGTTGCTGTTCTATGTCAACTCTCAAGTTTCCAGGTAGAAACTGAGGCCCGGAGGGTAGAAGTTTTTTTTCTTTTTTTGAGACAGAGTCTCGCTCTGTCGCCCAGGCTGGAGTGCAGTGGCACGATCTCGGCTCACTGCAACCTCCACCTCCCGGGTTCAAGCAATTCTCCTGCCTCAGCCTCCTGAGTAGCTGGGATTACAGGTGCCCACTACCACACCCAGCTAATTTTTGTATTTTTAGTAGAGACGGGGTTTCACCATGTTGGTCAGGCTGGTCTCGAACCCCTGACCTCATGATCCACCCGCCTCAGCCTCCCAAAGTGCTGGGATTACAGGTGTGAGCCACTGCACCCAGCCAGGTAGAAGTAACTTCCTAAGGGTCACAGAGGTCATGATTGACAGGCTTGGGAGAGGCAGCAGGTCCCTAGACTCGAGGCTTGGAGCTCTTTCCACACCTCCACGACGGCCGCCTGGGAAACCAGAGCTTCTGCCTCCTGTGCTTTTATGTCATTCCTGAGGATTTCTTAGCTATAGGCTAGAGAAATCTGGAAACACAACAACTCTCCCAAGGTTTTCCATCTCTTCCCTCTCATTTCACACTTCTCTGAGGCAACTGCCAATGTCTGGCTGCCTTGACAGGTGACGACGGATGCCCCCAGGCTAGCTGTTGAAATCAGCCTGTGACCAAGCAGGTGTAAATCAAATAGTGCAGAATTCTGATAATTGGACGACAAGGGAGATAGGGAACAAATTCCCCACTAAGGAGAGAATAACGCTTATTCATAATGTTGTCTACCCAAAAGTGAAATAAAATTACACAGGGACAAAGCTAAATTATATGAACTTTTGAAAAGGCACATTTATCTTGGAGAATCAATAAACTCTTGGTGTTTCACTGTTATGAGTTCTCCAATTATTTTTAACACATATTTTTTCTTTTTTTAAAAAATATATATTTTGAGATAGAGTCGTGCTCTGTCACCCAGGCTGGAGTGCCATAGCGTGGTCTTGGCTCACTGCAACCTCCGCCTCCCAGGCTCAGGTGACACTCTTGCCTCAGCCACCTGAGTAGCTGGGACTATACCCATGTGCCAACATGCCCAGCTAATTTTTAATTTTTTTCTAGAGACAGGGTCTCATTATGTTGCCCAGGTTGGTCTCAAACTTCTGAGCTCAGGCAATCCACCCGCCTCAGCCTCCCAAAGTGCTAGGATGGCAGGTGTGAGCCACCGCGCCCAGCCGAGTTCTCCAATCACTATTATAGCAGTATATATTCTCTATATCCTCTTGGAATAATGTTACACCTTTGTACTATGTCCACTGTGCCAAAGATAAAAGGAGACTTTACCAGGAGTCTAAGTCTGCAAGGGGCCAAACCTCTTTCACCAACAGGGTTTGTCAGTGTGATATGATGCTAAAAACAGTCCTTTGGTTGACTTGTGGGTAATTGATTCTCTGACGCTGACAACGCTTAGGAAAATGAAGAGATAAATGATGGGAACGCCAGGCGGCTGCCAGAGCAAACACCCAGCCCAGGGCCCCTGGATTTGAGCAGTGCCTCGGAGCAGAGGGATATCTGCCGCATCAGGTGAGAGGGGTGGCCCTGGGGGGGCTAGGCTGGGTGGGGGTAAGAAAAGTTAACCTTCTCACCAACTTAGAAACACTGAGTCCAAGAGGCCCACCGCCATCCTCTTTGCCCATGGACTGGTGAGTACATTTGAGCCCCTCTCTGGATAAAATCACCCCTCAATAGGGGCTCTGGAATAGGCTTTTGATGGTGCTGTTTGGGGCTTGTCTTAACTTGGGCGCGTGGCGGACTGGCTCCAGGTGTCTGTCGCAGGTGGTGAGGTCTCAGTGCTCCTTCGAGGATGCGTGGGCAGGCTTCGGGGGCAAACGTGAGTTGGCTCGATTTTCCTGTCAGCGATGGGATTCTGCCATGGATCAGAGATGAGCCAAGTGGCTGTGCAAATCAATACTGCTCATTGATCACTCAGAACTGATTCAATGTAATTGCCGGGAAATTGATAACATTTTGCTTTCTTGCTCAATTGCAGCCACACTCTTTACTCCAGGTTTTAGACACAATTATCTGCCTTTGGAGTCCTCCGCTACCCCACGCCTGTCTCCTGATCCTTGCTTTAATGGTCCTGAAGTATTTGTGTCTTTCACCATAGACTGCCTCAAACCCCTTCTGGAAGGAGGTGGAGTGTCACTCTTTTGAATGACAGTTCAAGATGCTTCCTCATTAAAAACTTAGATTTCTTTTAACTTGGAATGCTGTCACTGAAACAGTTTATAAACCAGATCAGGAAGTCTATGCTTTGGGGTGCTCAAATTTCAAAGGGGGATATTCAAGGAAGGTTAAAGATGTTCTTTCCCTGGGTTTTCAAAAATGGCCTTGCGAATTTGGGTGCTTGAGACCTGACCTCTGTCAGCTGCAGGTGAATCTGCAGAATTCTCCTGGCATTCCTGGCATGAAAGCTGGCAAAAGGTGCCAACGGATGTAGATCAAGTGCCCGTTTATCCTGAATCCAGGCAATCTCAAGTACATCTAATCCCAGAATCAGTAAGCACTGCAGGAAGCTAACCGATGATCATAATGATAGATTATAAACTCTGGAGTGCCTTCAGTCATCAGGGTTGCCAGCAATGCTGTTGGGCTCGGCTACACTTCATTCAGTGAATTTTGACTCCTTAAGTTGTCATGTGGAATGTGTCTGTTGACAGCTATTTTATTTTATTCTTTGAGATGGGGTCTTGCTCTGACATTTAGGCTACTGTGCAGTGGCACTATCATGGATCACTGCAGCCTTAACCTCCCGGGCTCAAGCAATCCTCCCACATCAGCCTCCAGAGTAGCTGGGACTACAGGCATGCGCCACCATGCCTAGATAAGTTTTTTTTTGTTTTGTTTTGTGTGTTTTTTTTTTTGTAGAGATGGGGTCTCGCCATGTTGCTCAGGCTGGAGCTATTTTATCCTTAGTGACATAACCTCTATTCTTCTTATCTTACCCTACACTGGATAATTCTTGTTTCCCATTTTCATCCAGTGGGATCTGCAAACCCATGGATTCGGTTCTCATAGCTCAGAGGTTGCTGTGGGGTCTTGACCTATGCCTGGGGCACAGGATTTGTGGCAAATGTTGAGCCTCTTGGTTAACTTGTGCAGTTGCTGAGCCTTATCTTGAATGAGCGGGGTATTGTGTTTACTATGACTTGCCCTCCCCACCAAAGTCTGCCCTCCTATGAGGTTGTTTCAACTCCCTGAAACTACTGGGTGTGCATAGGGAGGGGCCAATCAAGCAGGTGTTCCTGTTTGTCCCTGTTCTTTCTTCCCCAGAGGCCCAACAACAAAGAGCAAGAAGCTTTCCTTTTTTTCAGACCCTTTCCCACGTGCAGGTGATGGAGGCTGAGGATCCCTGTGAATGGGGAATACTGTGAATAGAGCATTGTACCTGGGAGGCTGCTGCATGGAGCGGAAGGAAGTCTGCCGGCCTGGGAATGAGGAGGCCCACTCTGAAGTGCCCACTCCAAAACTAATTTGATGGAGGATCATGGAAAATGTCCTTGTCCTCTCTAGGCTCTTTTCCTTGGCTGTAAGAGGAGCATGGGGATGCCTGCTCCAGAGGGAGAGTGCAAGGATGGGTTGTGGAGCCTGATAGGGCACAGGGGCTGGGAATCACTTGTGCCAGCCCTTGGGAGAAGGGGCAGGCAGAGGGAGAGCTTAAGCCAAGAGAAGGGGTTTGAGCTTTATTCTGGAAGGAGTGGGGAGCCAAGGGCTTCTGAGCAGGGGAGGGAGGTGATTGGGGACCTAGATCTGCCTGAATCTTTAAAAGATCAGCAGCAAAGAAGGCAAGAAAGCCAGGCTGCAGCTGGGAGACAGAAAAGGCAGTGGTTTCTGTCAAGGGGCCCTGCTTGCATCCAGAGATCTCTCGGCTTAGGAAATTCCACTTCTGGAGAGGCAGCCTGGACCAGGTGGGGAGAAGGGGGACCAGACGTGGTATGGTGCGATGAGGAGGACGGAAGCCTGCCGAGCCTTGGTCTGAGGAACAAAAGCTTAAGTCAGACATGCGGAACATATCTAAAGGACCAGTCGTGTGGCTGTAGGTGCAGAGGCTCCAGCCCAGCAGGCGGATGTTACACAGCCAGCCCTCGGGGTAGATCCCGTGTTCTCATCTTTTCTCTAGCCCCAGTCCTTACCGGAACAGTAGAGGCTTAACAAACATTTGCAGGAGAAGGAGATTTGGGCTTGACATGGTGAGACAAACTTCCTAACAATAAGAACTGCCTGGGCCTGGCATTGTGGCTCATGCCTATAAGCTCAACTCTTTGGGAGGCTGAGGCGGGGGGATCACTTAAGCCCGGGGGTTTGAAACCAGCCTCGGCAATATAGTGAGACTTTATCTTTACAAAAAATTTCAAAATTAGCTGGGCATGATGGCACATGCCTGCTGTCCCAGCTACTCAGGAGGCTGAGGCAGGAGGATTGCTTGAGCCCAGGAGTTTGAGGCTGTAGTGAGCTATGATTGCACCACTGCACCTCAGCCTGGGCCACAGAGTGAGACCCGCTCTCAAAATAAATAAATAAAGAACCATCTGGAAATAAGCTCCCGGGCCTGGGGGTAGTGAGATCCCTGTCATTCGCTGGCAGCAAGTGCTCACTCGAGCAGGAAGTGGAGGACAGCCAGTGTGCGTGTTGTGGGGATGCTCATGTCATGGAGGGAGGGGCTGACCACTGAGGCCTGGGCTGCTGCTCCCTCCAGCTCTGCAGGTACAGGGTCTCAGGCTGCAGTAAGCAGACCCCCTGAGTGCTGCCTGGGGGCCCAAGGCATCCCTGGGTTAGAGGAGACTTCAGTGCCTTCAGAAAGGAGGGTGATACCCTGAGAGGGCCGGGAGAGCAAGGTGGGTTCTGCCAGTGCTGGCCCTGCCTGCCAGAACTCCTCAGCAGGACCCAGGAGTGGGAGAGAAGGAAGCCATGTGAGGAGATTGTGGGAAAGGCGGGGGTGCTGGCCACCTCCGGGGCTGGCTGGGCTTCTGGATGGATCTACACCCCCATGGAGTAGACATCCTGCTGAGAGAGGGAGAAACCCATGGGAGATGGGAGGACCCAATTCCTAGGTGGCCAAGTCCCCCGAGGCCAGCCGTGTTTCCATGCTTGGGCAGGTCTGGGCTGACAGCAGTGGCACTTGCCCCAGCGGAGGCGGGCTCTGTCCCCTGCTGGCTGTTTTTCCCCTAATTGCAGAGCATGCTGTCCGCAGGCCCCAATTAAGGGTAGTTACAGGACCTATGAGATGACTGCGCCACACTGGATCCCCCGGCTCTTCAGTCTCTTCCAGGACTAAAACTCTTCAGCAAAATCTAAGCATCTGGAGCAAGACTTAGAGCCCTTCTCCCCTCTCTCCAACTCCAAACAAAATTAAAACAGGAAGAGCCTGCCCTCTGAGAGGGTTGGTCTTAGGTAGACACAGCAAAGGTTTCTAGAGAATTCCCTATTGGTTCAGGCACTTACCTCACCAGATCCTTCCAGGAGCCGAAGTAGGAGGTCTAGTTACTATCTTGGTTTTATGGCCGGGGAAAATAAGGCTCAGAGAGGTGAAGCCACTTGTCCTGGGACACACAGCTAATGACAGCAGAGCCAGGATTTGAACTTCCAGTTTGTCTGACTCAGAGCTGAGCAGTTACCCTTGCTGCCTGCTTTCACTGCCACACTGGATGGGGTTGAATGAGGGGCACTGAGAGAAGGTTCTTTGACCTTCCCCATTCCTTGCTAAGGGATCCCATTTATTCTATTTATTTAAATTTTTTTTTTTTTTTTTTGAGACAGGGTCTCACTTTGTCACCCAGCGTGGAGTGCATGGGACGATCTTGGCTCACTGCAACTTCCACCTCCTGGGTTCAAGGGATTCTCGTGCCTCAACCTCCTGAGTAGCTGGGATTACAGGCACACGCCACCACTCCTGTCTTATTTTTGTAATGTTAGTAGAGATGGGATTTCACCAGGTTGGCCAGGCTGGTCTCAAACTCCTGGCCTCAGGTGATCCGCCCACCTCAGCCTCCCAAAGTGCTGGGATTACAGGCGTGAGTCACTGTGCCTGAGCCCAAATCCTACTTCTAATACCTTATGGCAAGGGGAAATTTCCCTACTATCACTGGTTTTTGGTTCAACCCTATGTGGTTGGCAGGGGAGCTCCATCACGCCCATTCTACAGATGGAGAAAATGAAGTCAGAGCAGGTGGCTGGCAGAGGCAGAACATGAACTCAGGTCTGTCTGACTTCCAGTGTCTGGGTTCTTTTTCCCATCCCACAGCTTCCAAAAACCAAGGACCAAGGCTTGCCATGGAGCCAAGCCCAGGGCTGGGCCAGTGAAGGCCATCCCAATGGCTGTGGCTGTACCTGACCTTCCCCTCCTGTCACTCTGCAGGTGCCACCCCGGGTGAAGGATGCCACTCTGGGTGTTCTTCTTTGTGATCCTCACCCTCAGCAACAGCTCCCACTGCTCCCCACCTCCCCCTTTGACCCTCAGGTAAGCAGACCCTGGGGAAAGTTCCCACCACTCCCAAGCCATCCCTGCCATGGGGCAGGCGTTAGTGAATGCAGACTCAGCCCATCAGCTGGGCCCTGGCTATGTCTCCAGGCAGCACCCACTGCCCGTCCTTGCAGAGGAGGCAGACACAGCTTCACAGAGGTCACTCAGAGGGGTCTGAGTCTCTCTTGGGGTGAGTGGGACAGATGGCAACAGAAGGATCTTGCAGAGACATGGCGAGTGCAGCCACGACTGTCCTCTCGCCTGGCCTCCACCCCGCCCTCTGACCCCTGACTCCTTCCGCACAGGATGCGGCGGTATGCAGATGCCATCTTCACCAACAGCTACCGGAAGGTGCTGGGCCAGCTGTCCGCCCGCAAGCTGCTCCAGGACATCATGAGCAGGCAGCAGGGGTAAGCAGGAGTTCTAGTGATTTCTTCCCACACCCTGCAGCAGAGTCTGCAGGAGCTTGTTCCCTACAGGGGACCAGGGACCAATTCAGATCTCTTCCTTGGCACAGCAAGTGTCATTTCTGGACTTCCCATAGCAAAAGGGTTCCAGCGTTAAACCTCAACTTACCTCCATGCCTACCACGTGTCTCTTCAGGCTAGGCTCCGACAGTAACAACACTGGTAGTAGTTACCATTTAATCATGACTCCATGCCAAAAACAAAGGCTCTGCCCTAGGACATTTACAGACACTTGGCACAGTGCTGGGCACACAGATGCCCTTGGTAGTGTCAGCTACTATTATTCTTAGTTTCTTGCTTTCTTTTTTTTAGAGACAGGGTCTCATTCTGTTGCCCAGGCTGGAGTACAGTGGAATGATCATGCCTCATTGTAACCTCAAATGCCTGGACTCAAGCGACCCTCCCATCTTAGCCTACCAAGTAGCTAGGACTACCAGTGTGCACCACCACAACTGACTATTTTATTTTTTGTAGAGATGGGGTCTCACTATTTTGCCCAGGCTGGTCTCGAACTCCTGGCCTCAAGTGATCCTCCCACCTTGGCCTCCCAAAGCATTGGGATTATAGTTGTGAGCCACCTTGCCCAGCTTTTAGTTTCTTCTTTAATCTTCATAACAACCCTTATCCCCATTGTACAGGGTTAATAGCTCTTTTTTTTTTTTTTTTTTTTTTTTTTGAGATGGAGTCTCTCTCTGTCCCCCAGGCTGGAGTGCAGTGGCACAATCTCGGCTCACTGCAAGCTCCCCCTCCCGGGTTCACACCATTCTCCTGCCCCAGCCTCCCGAGTAGCTGAGACTACAGGTGCCCGCCACCATGCCCAGCTAATTTTTTGTATATTTTAGTAGAGACGGGGTTTCACCATGTTAGCCAGGACGGTCTCGATCTCCTGACCTCGTGATCTGCCCGCCTCGGCCTCCCAAAGTGCTGGGATTACAGGTGTGAGCCATTGCGCCCTGGCCCAGGGTTAATAGCTTTTAAAGGACACACAAAGAGTGGCAGAGTTTGGAGCCAAACTGCCTGACTCTATAGCCTATACGTTTTTTAGTTTTTACTTTGAAAAAAATCTCAAACTTACAAAAAAGTTGCAACAAAAGCACAATGGACTTCCATATACACTTCCAATTCCTAACATTTTATCACATTTGCTTACTCTATATCTATAGCTAGATATAGATACATACACACAGAAACACATATGCACATTAAGTATTCTTATCATTTTTGTTGAACCATTGGAGAGTAAATTGCAGTCATCATGACCCTTTACCCTTAGGTACTTCTATATGTGTTTCCTAATACCTAACCAAAGGACATCCCCTTACATAATCATAATATAATTATCAATTATAATCCATATTCAAATTTTACCAGTTGTCCCAAAATGTCCTTTATAACAATTATTTCTTTTTCTGATCTGGGACCCAATCCAGGATCATGGATACCATTTAGTTGTCATGTCCCTTCAGTTTCTTTTAATCTGGAATCGTTCCTCAGTCTTTCATGACATTGACAGTTTTGATTAGTAAAGGCTAATGATTTATAGAATGTCCCTCATGTTGAATTTGCCAGACATATCCCCATGATTAGAGGATGCGTTCCTCTAATGATGATTAGAGGAATCAGGTGATGCATTCACAGAAGTAGTGTTGTGTCCTTCTCAGTGCCTGGTATCAGGAGGCACAGGATGGCAATTTGTGCCATTATTGGTGGATTATTGGTAGATGGTAACTTTGATCAGTTGGTTAACATGGTGTCTGCTAGGTTTCTCCTCTATAAAGTTATTTTTCCCTCTATCATTAATAATCTGTGGGGAGACGTTTTGCAACTGTGTACACTTGTACTTCTGTGCTCTTCATTACTATATATACTGCCTCCCTAAGTGTGGCTGAATCTAATTCAGTTGGGTAGAAGAGTCCACACCAGATATTGAAATAGGCATAGGGATATACCCCTGCCTTTCCACATCCTACCCAAATAGCAACTAGTTCTCTTTTTCTAACCACACAGAGAGAGCAACCAAGAGCGAGGAGCAAGGGCACGGCTTGGTCGTCAGGTAGACAGCATGTGGGCAGAACAAAAGCAAATGGAATTGGAGAGCATCCTGGTGGCCCTGCTGCAGAAGCACAGGTATGGGTGTGTGTGCATGGGTGCATCTAGGGACTTCAGGGCTTCCTACCCCGTGGTTTGCCAGGAAAAGGAAAAAATCCACTCCTCTCTGAAGGTATGGGGCTCTGCCAAACAAACCAAGAACAAGGACCCTCCTGACAGACATTAAGAACTAGGAGAGTGGCTGGGTATGGTGGCTCACCTGTAATCCCAACACTTTGGGAGGCCAAGGTGGGTGGATCATCTGAGGTCGGGAGTTCAAGACCAACCTGGCCAACATGGCAAAACCCTGTCTCTATTACAAATACAAAAATGAGCCAGGTGTAGTGGCTCACGCCTGTAATCCCAGCCACTCGGGAGGCTGAGGCAGGAGAATCGCTTGAAGCTGGGAGGCGGAGGTTGCAGTGAGCTGAGATCGCACCATTACACTCCAGCCTGGGTGACAGAGCAAGACTCTGTCTAAAATAAAAAAAGAAGAAGAACTAGGGGAGTGCCCAGGTGCAGTGGCTCATGCCTATAATCCCAGCACTTTGGGAGGCTGATGGGGAAGGATCACTGGAGGCCAGGAGTTTGAGACCAGCTTGCCCAATATAGTGAGATCCCGTCTCAATCAGTCAATCAATCAATCAATATTAGGAGAGTTCTTTAGTCATGAAGGGTGGAAAGTGTCTGATGGAGACCGCATCTTATCCATGGCTGTATCCCAGTGCGGAGCCAGAGGCCAGGCTCAGTGTCCATGCCCAAAAATGTTACTCACCAAATGGTTCCGTGATACGACCCAGAAATCTGAATTTTAACAGGTGTTCCCAAGGATTCGGCTGCAGGTGAACTGACAGGCATGCTCTGGTTCCCTTGCCAAGTTCAAAAAACTATCAAGCCAAAGACAGACCAGCCCTCCCACACCCTGTGGTAGATGAGTGTGCGCAGACACACGATCAGCAGACGAGAGACGTGATGACTGTCGTTCCCCAGCTCACTGGCCCTCACGTTTCTCCTGGGAGTCTACAGAGGAGGAAAAGTGAGGCAAAGACGGGGCGGCAGCTGGCCCCAAGTCAGGGAATGGCAGGCCCAGACCTGTTTTGCCTCCCTGGAACTTCTTTGCACAAAGCCCCCACTTCATGGGCAAAGTTTCCCAAAAATGTCGTGGTTGTTTGGAGAAACTCTGCTGGGGTTTAGAGCCTGATTTGTTGTTGTTGTTGAGATGGAGTTTCACTCTCATCACCCAGGCTAGAGTGCAGTGGCGTGATCTCGGCTCACTGCAGCCTCTGCCTCCAGGGTTCAAGTGATTCTCAGCCTCCCGAGTAGCTGGGATTACAGGCGCCTGCCACCATGCCTGGCTGATTTTTGTACTTTTAGTAGAGACAGGGTTTCACCATGTTGGCCAGGCTGGTCTTGAACTCCTGACCTCAGGTGATCCACCCTCCTTGGCCTCCCCAAGTGCTGGGATTACAGGCACCCGCCACCACGCCCGGCTAATTTTTTGTACTTTTAGTAGAGATGGGGTTTCACCATGCTGGCCAAGTTTGTCTCGAACTCCTGACCTCAGGTGATCCACCTGCCATGGCCTCCCAAAGTGCTGGGATTACAGGCACCCGCCACCACGCCCGGCTAATTTTTTGTACTTTTAGTAGAGATGGGGTTTCACCATGCTGGCCAAGCTTGTCTCGAACTCCTGACCTCAGGTGATCCACCTGCCATGGCCTCCCTAAGTGCTGGGATTACAGGCATGAGCCACCGCACCCGGCCTAGAGCCTGATTTAACTGCGAGCACAAGCAGGTCCCAGTGTGGCTCTGCTGGGCACTTCTGGTCCAAGCTATTAAGCAAATCCAGTTCCCAGCAGAGCGCTCCATGGCCTCTCTCACCTTCTTCCCAACCCGATTAGACACCACCAGCCCAGAGATTTCACCACCTACAAGCAGCACCAGGCCTACGGCAGATGACAGGAGAGGCGACAACCAGTCTGGGAGGCGGGAAGAACACCTGGGCCCCAGGCCTGTTTCTGCAACTAGCGGCACAGCAACACACTTCTTCGTTTCGACTCTGTGAAAGGAGGGGTTAGCTCTTACCATCTCTAGGGTCCGCAAGACAAGAGTTCAAAAATAATGTCTCTAAGAAGAAGGCCTCCTCTGTGCCTTGCAGGCTGGGATTAAGTAATTGTTCACCTGCTATGGCTCTCATCAGGCCCCAGTAGGGTGGATGGCTCCATGGAGGGCTAATCCTAAGAATGCAGGCTTTGTTCCCGCGAGTTAAAAGCCAGAGGCTTCACGGAGATTGAAATCACAGAGCCCGCAGAGCTGGCAGGAAGGGCCCCGAAGGCTGCTATAGCCATTGTTCCCCCTCCAGCTCAACTGCTGCAAATACCAGGATATCACTGGTGAGCAGGAATAAGTTCCTGCTTTAGAGTGCAGAGTAGAGCCATGTGACAGATGGCACACTTTTGCAGCCATCATACATTGTGTCCACGTAACAGCCCTGTAAGGAAACTGAGGCTCGGGTTTAGCCATCTTCCCACCCCTGTAAAGACCATCCAGTGACTATGACATGCCACACTCTGGACCAGAGGCATAGCAGGGTACAGGACAGCAGCGACCCCTGCTCTCATGGAATTCATAACACACCGAAGCAGCAAGGAACTAGACACGTTCTTGTACAGTCAATTACTTCATTGTGATGAATGGGAAGAGATGCTGGGGAGTGGTGATGGTGAGGCTGGGAGAACGCTGAGCCTGTCTGGGGATTAGAGGAAGCTTCTTCAAGGCGAAGTGACTGGCCCAGGGTCTCGGTGGGAGTTGGCTGGCAGAGCAGAGAGCAGGGGCTAAGCCTGGGACTCGCCTTGCTGGCATGCTTGCGCATCCTTCCCTCCACCCCACACTGCCTCTTTTGGAATCCAAAAGGCCAGCTCCTGTCACGGGAGCACCCGTCACCCTGGTTCCATGCATCCCACTCTAGCCACCCTTACTTCAATTCCCCGGATTGAGCTTGATCTTTCTTTCTGCAGCAGGAACTCCCAGGGATGAAGATTCCTCCTGTGACCCGGGCTACCTGTAGCCAAAATGCAACTGGATCCAGTTAATCCTCTCATTTCTGACCCACTTTTTCCTTTGAAAATACAATAAAATTCCCCCATACCGGTGTGCATTTAAATGTTCTTTTCTCTTCAGCCTAATTTTTTATGTGTTTTACATAGTTACATTTCCCAAAGTGGTATTACGAGGTGTAATTTTTTTTAAAGCTAACATTTACCAAGCACGCAGAGTGCAAACCAGGCAGCTTCATGCATAGGATCTCATATGCTCCTTACACAGGCTGATGGAGGGTACTGGTATCCTCCTCCTTTCACAGACAAGGAATTGAGGCTCAGAAAGTGTAACCAAATTGCCCACAGTCACACCGTGCAAATGAGAGCGCTGGGATTCAAATCCAGGCAAGTCCAACTCAGAACCAGCTCTTAACCACATTCAACTAACTTCGATCAAAGTCATCCTTCACCCACGTGTGATTTGCTCTTCTATAAGCAATACCACTTATTGATTCAACAAACTTTTTTTTTTTTTTTTGAGACAGAGTTTCACTCTTGTTGCCCAGCCTGAAGTGCAATGGCATGATCTTGGCTCACCACAACCTCCGCCTCCCAGGTTCCAGTGTTTCTCCTGCCCTCGCCTCCTGAGTAGCTGGGATTACAGGCATGTGCCACCACGCCCAGCTAATTTTGTATTTTTAGTAGAGATGGGGTTTCTCCATGTTGGTCAGGCTGGTCTCAAACTCCTGACCTCAGGTGATCTGCCTGCCTCAGCCTCCCAAAGTGTTAGGATTACAGGCGTGAGCCACTGCACCCGGCCTTCATTCAGCAAACATTTATAGAATACCCACTCTGTGCCAGGTACTGTTCTGGGCACTGGAGAGATAGTCATGAAC
This sequence comes from Homo sapiens, assembly GCF_000001405.40. Classification (NCBI taxonomy): domain Eukaryota; kingdom Metazoa; phylum Chordata; class Mammalia; order Primates; family Hominidae; genus Homo; species Homo sapiens. Next base: position 37,250,314 of record NC_000020.11, on the reverse strand, counting down.
AAAGTCCCTGACCTTATAGAGCTTATATTCCAATGCGTGTGTGGTGGGGGAGAGAATAATAAACACAAGTCAATATAGAATATGTCAGATGTTGGCAAGTGCAAAGGATAAAGCTTTAAAGGGCCAGGGAGTGCTGGGGGTATAATTTGATCTACACTGTGTATATGTGAAGGCCTCACTGATGATGTGACATTTGAGTAAAGACCTGAGGAAGAGAGGGAGTTGGCTTTGTAAATATCAGAGTAAAGAACATTTCAGGCAGAGTGAAAACTCAACAAAGGCTTAGAGGCAGCAGTGTGGAAGGACTAGCAAGGGGATCAATGTGGCTACCTGGGCCAGAGCAAGGATGTCAGTGGAAAGAAAAGAGTCCTGGAGGAGCAGGAGGCCGGCTCATGGGGACACTTGGAGGTGTTAAAAAAAAAAAAAGGAACAAATTGACTCTTTAGTGTTTTTTTTGTTTGTTTGTTTGTTTGTTTTTTGAGATGGAGTCTCACTCTGTTTCCCAGGCTGGAGTGCACTGGCACGATCTCGGCTCACTGCAACCTCCACCGCCAGGGTTCAAATGATTCTCCTGCCTCAGCCTCCCGAGTAGCTGGGATTACAGGCGTGTGCCACCACACCCAGCTAATTTTTGTATTTTTTTAAGTAGAGACAGGTTTACGCCAGGTTGGCCAGGCTGGTCTTGAACTCCTGACCTCAGGTGATCCACCTGCCTCAGACTCCCAAAGTGCTGGGATTACAGGTGTGAGCCACCACCCCCAACCCAAATAGAGTTTTAAAGATTGAATTGGCTTTTGTTAGCAGTTCATGAACTGGGCAGCATCCTGAGGGGGACTCTGATAAGCTGAGTGGGAGTGGGCCTTACAGGCAAAAAGGGGCTAAAGAAGCAGAAACAGGGCACGAAAAGCAGATTGGTCATTTCAAAGTTACCTTCCTTCTGGGGTTAAAGCAGAGGGGACTTCCTGATTATGCAAGCTAAAGTAGACTGGACCCCTTCCTTTTTTTTTTTTTTTTTTTTTTTTTGAGACAGAGTCTTGCTTTGTCACCCAGGCTGGAGTGTGGTGGCATGATCTCAGCTCACTGCAACCTCTGCCTCCTGGGTTCAAGTAATTCTCCTGCCTCAGCCTCCCGAGTAGCTGGGATTACAGACATCTGCCACCACGCCTGGCTAATTTTTGTATTTTTAGTCGAGACAGGGTTTCACCATGTTGGCCAGCCTGGTCTCGTACTCCTGACCTCAGGTGATCCACCCGCCTCAGCCTCCCAAAGTGCTGGGATTACAGGCGTGAGCCACTGTGCCTGTCCCAACTGGACCCCTTCTGATTGGCTGCTGTGAATCTCATATTTCAGAAAACTGGACCATTTTAAAGTTCTGTTTGATGACATGGCACTTAGTATGTCATGGGTGACTCTATTCTGGTTGGGTCTGGTTTGTTGGGGCCCGCCTAGTGCAAGAGCTCAGTTCAAAACAGCGGCCTCCCATAAATGTTCTTTAACAAGGTCACAGTAAGGATTTGGATCCCAAACTTGGTGAGATGAAAGCCATGGTGGAGTTTAAGCAGAAGAATGACATGCTGTGACCTATGCTGAAAATCACTCTGAGAAATGGTCAAACTCTAGATACATTCTTAGGGCGGAAGCCATTTGCTGATAGACAGGGTGTAGGGATTGGAGAGAAGTCAAGAATGACTCCTGAGTTTTTGGCCCAAGGATGGAGGATGGGAGGATGGAGTTGCCACTTAGCAGCTTTGGGGGTTGGGGGAATATTAAGAGTTTAGGTTTGAATGTTGAGTGTGAGGTGCCTATGAAAGGTCCAAGTGAGGAAGTTGAGTAGGCACATGGCTGTACAGGTCCTAGTTCAGGAGAGAGTCCCCTGAGTTCAGGGGAGAGGTCTGGACAGCTGGTTTGGCTGGTAGTTGTCACCATTTAGACGGTCGGTCTTTAAAGTCAAAAGACTAGTTAGATTACTAAGGAAGAATATAGGAAGAGTAAAGTCCAGGGACTGATCCCCTGGAAACCCTACATTTAAAGTTTAGAAGAAGGCCGGGTGCAGTGGCTCACGCCTGTAATCCCAGCACTTTGGGAGGCCAAGGCAGGTGGATCACTTGAGGCCAGGAGTTCAAGACCAGCCTGGCCAACATGACGAAATCCTGTCTCTAGACTAAAAATACAAAAATTAGCCAGGCATGGTGGTGCACGCTTGTAATCCCAGCTACTCAGGAGGCTGAGGCAGGAGAATCACTTGAACCTGGGAGGCGGAGCTTGCAGTGAGCCAAAATCACACCACTGCACTCCAGCCTGGGCGACAGAGCAAGACTGTCTGAAAAAAAAAAAAAAAAAAAAGTTTTGAGGAAAGATGAGGAACCAGCAAAGGAGGCTGAGAAGTAGCAGGCAGTGAAGTAACAGGAAAACTCCTTCAAAGAAGAATCCCAGAAGCCAATGAAGAGTGTTTCTAGAAGAAAGGGGTGATCTGCTCTGCTAAATGCTGCTGATGGGACAAGTCAGTTTAGAACTGACCATGGAAGTGACCATGGAAGCCACTGATGACCTTGGCAAAGAGAAATCAGGTGTAGTGAAGGCCAAAGTCTGATTTGAGTGGGAGAAATGGGAGAAGAGGAATCAGAGCTGGTGAGTATAGATTTGGCTGTGCAATAGGGTGGCCCCTAGACATATGTGGCTAACGAACACTTGAAATGTAGCTGGTACAAACTGAGATGTACTTTAAGTATAAAATAAACACTGGATTTAGGCTGGGGCATGGTGGCTCATGCCTGCAATCCCAGCATTCTTGGGAAGCCAAGGAGGGAGGATCACTTGAGGATAGGAGCTCAAGACTAGCCTGGGCAACATAGCTCGACTCTGCCTCTACAAATAAAAATTCAAAAAAAATTAGCCAGGCGTGGTGACACACACCTGCAGTCCCAGCTACCTGGGAGGCTGAGGTGGGAGAATTGTTGAGCCCAGGAGTTTGAGGCTGCAGTGAACTATTATTGTACCACTGCACTCCAGCCTGGGCAACAGAGTGAGACTCTGTCTCCAAAAAAAGAATAAATAAAACAAAACACCCCACAGATTAAAGGTCCAAGTAGGAATCACTCAGATTTAATATGAAAAAATACAAAATACCTCAGTATTTTTATACTGATCACATATTAAAATGATATTTTAGATATATGGGTTAAATAAAATATATTAAAATTAATTTCACTTGTTTCTTTTTAACTTTTTTATCTTGGTTTCCAGAAAATGTAAAATCACCTATGTAGCTTGCTTTGTATTTCTATTGGACAGCGCTGGTAGAGATTATTTTTTTGAGAAATTTTGCTATAAAGGGAAGCAGAGAACTGGAGCCACTGACCCGAGGCTCCCGCATCAGTGATTACCCAACTCTTGCTATTCATGAGCCATTTTATCTGGGCCAAATATCGCCACACATCACCTGCCCTCTGCGTGCCTCTGATCAGAATCTGTGAACTTACTGGGGTGACTGAAATGTTCTATATTTCAATTTGGGTGGTGGTTATACCAGTGTTGTCACATATAAAAAATCATTGGGTTGTTCACTTAGGATCTGTGCATTTTGCTGTACGTAAATTAAACCTAAAAAAAACCTGACAACTGTGAAAAGTCTAGATGATGGGATGTCTGTTTTGATTTAAAAAGTGCAAAAAGAGGGGCCAGGTGCAGTGGCTCAAGTCTGTAATCCCAGCACTTTGGGAGGCCGAGGCGGGCGGATCATTTGAGGTCAGGAGTTTGAGAGAAGCCTGGGTAACATGGTGAAACCCCACCTCTACTAAAAATACAAACATTGGCTGGGTGTGGTGGCATGGGCCTGTAATCCCAGCTACTAGGGAGGCTGAGGCAAGAGAATCAACGTGAACCCAGGAGGTGGAGGTTGCAGTGAGCCAAGATGACGCCACTGTACTCCAGCCTGGGTGACCGAGCAAGACTCTGTCTCAAAAAAAAAAAAAAAAAAGTGCGAAAAGAATCACAGCATCTTAACATTGATGGAGTGAACAATCCCACCTCTCCATTTTGTAGCCTAAGACAGTGTCGTCAGGGAAGGAATGACCCAAGCTCGAAGGGCCTGGCAGCCAGGTCTCTGGTCTCCCAGCACCAGAACTATATAACCAACTCAGTTCCTTCCAGGGTAAAGACCACCTGCTCTCCCTGGGCGCCTGAGAAAAAAAACGTGAAGCCTGGGAAACCGTCTGCAGGGGGCCACTGAGGCGGCTCCACGGAGGAGACAATCAGAACAATGGGAGACAAAAGCCCCCTCGGAGGAAAAGGCTGGCCTTAGAGGGCAGGTGGCCCACTTCAACCAAGAGAGGCAGGCACAAAGGAAGGGGCTGTGAATGGGAGGCGCGCCCGGCCTGCCCCAAGACCCCCTCCTTCCTCCCAGACCCACCTGCTCATCTCTTTCCTTGGCCTATCCTGACAAAAGCAAAAGCCGAGGGCTCTTTCAACTTCCAATTAGTTTTTCAAATAAAATAACGACTGCTGGGACCTGCTGCTACTTGTGGTTTTGGAGGTGAATGCAATTATAGGGGAAAAACCACCATAGCAACAACTCCAGTGCTCCATACCATTAACCACGGCACGAATGGCGTCGGAGAGACTCCACTTGCCCCGCAGAGGAGCTGGGAGCTTCCCACTCCGGGGAGGGTCCTACTTAAGACGGAGTGCTATTTTTCTCCCTAAAGAAATGCTCTAATCAACGGGGGACTTGTCGCTTTTAATGATAATCTCTTCTGTTTGTATTAACTTAGAGTTCACAAAGAGGCTTCCCATCCATTACTTCATTTGTTCTCTACAACAGGCCCCTGAGGAAGGCAGGGCAGGGCACATTGGCCCAGCTGGATCCAACTAGAGGTCAGATTCAACTAGAGTCGCTCCAGGTTGGCAGGACGGGACTGATGGGGCGGGGAGGGAAGGCAACACTCTCTCGAAAAGGTTGCTTTAAGACTCCAGGCCCCTCAGGAAATGCTGGGGAGGAAATGAGGGAGCTGGGGTGTCGAGTAACTTGAACTAACAGGTGAATGTAGACCTGGTACAAACTGTTGACTGGGCTCCTGTTAACACCACCTGGGAAATAATAATGATGACAATATCTGCGCTATTGGGAGCAAACACTGACTCAATGCTAAGTGTCAGGCACTGTGGTATGTGTTGTGGCTGTGGCCTCCTCTAATCCCTATAAAACCCTCAGAGGTATGATCCCCATTTTTACTGATGGGAAACCAAGGCCCAGAGAGGTAAAGGTACAAAAGGACACACAGCTAATGGGGGAACTCGAAGCAGCTCTGACTCTAAAGCTGGCATGTCTTGTACTCCTCAGAGAAGGCCAGGCCCAGGCGCTACTGCAGCGAATCATTTGAGTGATGAATCCAGTGGATTTCATGAATTATAAGAGAGAGGCCTGCTGTCAGCTCTGGACTCCCAGACTGTCTTGGCTATAGCAACCAGGTTATTCCCCTGCAGCACTGCTCCAGCACTGAGAGCCGAGTCCCTTTAAGAGGCTTTGAGGCCAGGTGCAGTGGCTCCTGCCTGTAATCCTAGAACCTTGGGAGGTCGGGGAGATTGCTTGTGCTCAGGAGTATGAGACCAGCCTGGGCAACATTGCAAAATCCCATCTCTACCAAAAATACAAAAATTAGCCCAGTGTGGTGGCACGCGCCTGTAGTCCCAGCTACTCCAGAGGCTGAGGTGGGGGGATCACCTGAGCCTGGGAGGTTGAGGCTGCAGTGAGTCGTGATTGCACCACTGCATTCTGGCCTGAGCAACAGAGCAAGACCCTGTCTCAAATAAAATAAAAAATAAAAAATAAAAAAAAAGGCTTTGCCCAGTGGGCAGGGTCAGACAGACAGCATCTGCCTCTGCTATACCCCAAAATAAAACTCAGGCTGGCCAGGCGTGATGGTGCATGCTTGTAGTCCCAGCTACTCAGGAGGCTGAGGCAAGAGGATCCCTTGAGTTCAAGGTCAGCCTGGGCAACATAGCAAGACCCCATCTCTTTGTTTGTTTTGTTTTAAAAAAGGTCCTAAGAGAAAAATCAGTCCCCTTTACCACAGCCCCTAAAAGCCAAGTTTGTTCTGGCTTCTATCCCAGCGAGGATGCCGTTCCTGCCAGTGACACCCTGGCTGCTTGGCCTGCTTCCAGTCAGAATGTGCCGTGCTCTTGCCCCAGAGCCTCCATGCTGGCTGATTCTCTGGCCGGAGTGCTCTTCCTCAGCTTGGCATAGGCGCCTTCTCATTCTTCAGGTCTCAGCTGAGACCTCCCAAGCCATCAAGGTAAGAACTGCTTCCTCTGAGGCCCTTCTCACATGTGTGATCACTGCTTCCTTTCTCCCTCAGCTGGGTGCCCGTGGGCTGTACCTGGACCAAGGGAAGGGACTGGATCTGTCTTGCTCCCTGTGGTAGCTCTGGACACAGAACACAGCCTGGCACATGGCAATGTTTACTGGGCTCTGTTCTCCAGCTCCCATCTGAGTCTGCAGGCCAGCCCCAAACCAGCCCGGGAACCCCTTACTTAGCTGTGCCAGCCGTTTCTCCAAAAAGCTGTTTCCCGACTTCCTTCCTTCCAGCCACTGGCTGTCCTTTGTTCCCAGTGACCAGGACACCCAGCAGCCTTTGTACTTCCACCCTCAGGCCCTACTACCCCTGCTCCACACCACTGTCCACCAGCCCCGCACCCAGTCTGTCTTCCAGGCCCGCACAGGTCTGGTGATAGGTGGCAAGTGTCCCTGCTCTCATCCCACACGCTGCTGGGGCTCTCTTTCCTCTCCAGTCTGAGCGGCTGAGGTCCCAGCACACCTAAGTAGGAACACTAGGAGCCGCCCAAGAGCAACAGGAAACCACCATCACCCCTTCCCCTCCGAGTGGGATAAGAAACTAAAAAGTGGAGGATCCCAAAGGTATATGCCTATGGGAGCCAGGCAGGTATCAGAGAAGCACAGTCGCCAGGTGGACTGGCGCAAGTGTCCTGTATGTGGACACCTGTGCGGGGAGGGGCTGACAAGCTGGAGCTTGCAGGCTCCATCCAAAGGGACGAGCTGCTATTCAGTGTCAGCTGACTGCTGCCGTTCAGGAATCAGGCCCGCCGTGGACAGCTCTAGTTTTCTCTTTCAGGAGAATCCAGAATCCAAAACCAAGATTTTTATATAAAATCTGTCTTCAAATGTTGGCAACTTACTCAATTTTTAAAAAAACACTACAGATCACAAGTTTGCAACCTCTGGGAAGGAGAAGCCTCCTTCCCATCTTAGAGGCATCCCTGTAACTGCCCACATCATCCTCTTACCTATAGGATCCCATTCAGAACGGCATAGAGTTCTAGAATCTTCTTTCCCTTTTTCCCAATCAAAATCCCAATTTCTTCACTGTAGTAAGGTCCAGCTAGTTGGGAAGCAATCTGATTAAAATAAAACAACTTCCAGACCCCCAATTCAATAAATACTATGAGGATTACCATATTTCACAAGTTAACTAAACTTATTATGTTTCAATTAATATTAGGTTGGTGCAAAAGTAATTGCAGTTTTTGCCATTCTAGAACTAGAGGCAATGGGCCAAGGCACATAACCGTAGGTCAATCAGGAAAGATGCCAAGTGCTAAGCTGCGTCAGCATTCAACTCCTTTAATCCTATGAGGTAGGTAGTTATCATCTCTCTTTTACAGAAACACAAAAGGAGGTTTACGGAGGTTAAACTACTTGCCCAAGGTCCCTCACCCTAGTAAGTGGCAACACTAGGTTTGCCTGGAACCAAAGTCTACGCAGTCAACCATGCTATGCAGTATTACTTCTCTCTGTGCTATTATATAACCTCATGTAATGGGCACAACTTCAGAGGGGGCATTCTTGAGATGTGGCCTTCTAGACTAAAGTCACTCAAGTGGTCAGTGCTATGGTTTGAATTTGTGTCCCTTGAAAATTCATGTTGCAACAAATCTCCATGCAAGTCTTTTTTTTTTTTTTTTTTTTTGGAGATGGAGTCTGGCTCTGTGGCCCAGGCTGGAGTGCAATGGCTCACCGCAACCTCCGCCTCCCAAGTTCAAGCTGTTCTCCTGCCTCAGCCTCCCAAGTAGCTGGGATTACAGGCATGCACCACCATGCCCACCCCTTGGCTAATTTTGGTTTTTTAGTAGAGACAGGGTTTCACCATGTTGGCCAGGCTGGTCTCAAAACTCCTGACTTCAAGTGATCCCCCTGCCTCGGCCTTCCAAAGTGCTGGGATTACGGACGTGAGCCTCCATGCCTGGCCCCAAGACAAGAGCCTTGAGCAGAGGTCCTAGCTGCAGTCCACCTGCACATTCCTGTTGTTTAGCTGTGTTCTTGCCAAGTCACACTCAGTATCTAACCTAACACAGAAAGATTCTCAAAAATGGGACTCAGCTCACAGAAAATGTTAAAGGGGATAAAAACCTATCCCCTTGGACCCCTAGAGGTCCAAATGGGGCCTTCAGATACCAACAGGGCTCCTATGCAGACAGCTGGTGCTCACTGCTGGAGAAGAAAAAAGGAAGCTGGCCTTTCCAGGCAGTTCTCAGTTCTGTTAGGAGCAAGGGGCAAGAAGGACCAAGAAAGGCCTGGAGAAATATGCTGGCATCAACAGCATTTCCAACTAAGTCCTCATGTCATATACCCAAGGACCCCACCACCCAAAAGTATGAGAATAAGCTCTCAATCAGGCCTTTGTTCCTATTGTTACCCTCTTTATTCCAAAACAATTACACATTTCAACTTTTCAAAAGCAACATCTGGGTAAGTTAGGAATATTCACAGCTTCTTACACAGTGTCAGAGAAAGAGACTATCTGAGCTCACCAGGTATCTGCTGTGTGTTGGGGAAACTGAAAAACAAGCAAAAGTATAACTACAATCTGGACTTTTTTCTTTTTTAAATAAAGTTTTTTTTTTCCATTTTTCTTCTCATACTGTGAATTGTTCTTGACTCCTTTTCTTGACATTCAGTTTTCAGAATTTCCATCTTTCTTCTGGAACTAATGTGCTGTTCTGAAAGAAAATGGAGACAAACACAGAATTACTGAAGGTTTCAGTTCACAGTTACAGTTCCTAACTGGTGACAACAGAGAGACTAAGGTACTCTCCCGCTCTAAGATCCCATTTATAAGGGAATAATCATTTATCTCCCAAGTCTATTTATGTATGCCCCATCTCATTTTACAAAAGAATGTGAGACAGCTAGTTCATAATTAAGCTGATGACAACTTAAATACAAATAACAAAACAAACTCAATAATAACTAAGAAAGTGGTATGTGACAACATAAGGAGATGAGGTAATTCCAGGCACACCTCTCACAGTGCAAGGCCAAAAACACAGTGTAAATTTCAATTAGATGAACAAAGAGCAAAGTTTAAATAATGCTCATCATCAATCTCCCAGACTCCAGCTCTGCCAACCAACACTTGGCCCTTCTGTAGCTTAGAACATGACATCCTGACCATTCATTACAGAAACCTGCACATTCCTGCCGTGTGGCCGTGTTCTTGCCAAGTCACACTCAGCATCTAACCTAACACAGAAAGATTCTCAAAAATGGGACTCAGCTCACAGAAAGTGTTAAAGGGGATAAGAACCTATCTCCTGTACTCTTTGTTTCCCCTCCGCTGCCTTTCCCTAGACTCTAAGGAGGGATGGGGAAGCACAATGAATGAAAATGACAATCTAGACAGACTGTGAAGCTGAGGAGGTGACTGCAGTGAGTAACTGATCCCAGCAGGCTCCAGCAAGCAGAGGCAGGGTTGCTGACACACACACACCATCCTTCAGTGGCAGCTCTTCCCAGGGGTGAGGACTAAGGTGATAATGATCCAGTCTTGCAGAATGGCAGACTCCAAACCCATTAATAAAGCAGTTCCAAAAGACATGCACAGGCATGGAATTAATCTTGAGGGCTGGGGTGTGCACCCCTAATTCCTTGCCAGTATTCAGAGGTTCTTAGGTACACTAATATGTGGGCATTCAGAAATGTTCATGCAGAAAGGATGGCATGAGTATGAAATAAGAACAGCCGAAGGGTAGTGGCCCACAACTCTTGACTGCGGCTAGAACTTACGTCCCACATTATGTCTGCTCAAATCAATGTCTGCCCTCAGATCAAGAACACTTTGCTACCAGGGGGTTTCCTTTCAAATGCTAGGAAATGCCAAATGTCCAAATGATCAAGTGACTTTCCTCTTCCTCAAGCAATGATTTGGGGATAGCAGGGTGGGAACGGACTTTAAAACTCAAGAGACTGAGTAAGGTGGCTCACGTCTATAATCCCAGCACTTTTAGGGGCCAAAGCAGGAGGATTGCTTGAGCCCAGGAGCTTGAGACCAGCTTGGGCAACATAATGAGACCCCATCTCTATAAAAAAAGTTCTTTTTAATCAAGAAAAGAAATCGACTTATTTAAAGAATTAAAGAACTCAACATGTAGCAGCAAGGACAGTTGCTGAAAGCAAATCTCAGACAGAGTGACTATAATGTAGGATGAAACCAAACGGGCATAGCCAGGGAGTGGGGGTGGGAGAAGGGTCGGACTCTAAAAGGGGCACCGGGGAGCTCTCTGGAGAGTGGCAATACCTATATCTTGACTGAGGTGGTGGCTACATGACTACAGAGGTTTTTCAGGATTCACAGAATTGTACACTAAAAAGGGTACATTTTTCTGCAGATAAATTACAACTCCATTAAACCTGGAAACAAACAAACAAACAAACAAACAAACAAACAAATGCAGTTCCCTTCTGTGTTGAGGACTAGGTGACCCAGCTTATGCTCACACATCCATGGAAAGGCTCCAAATACTATGCTTTTGTTGATCTCTCCTATTTTCAGAGGATTAGAAATTAGATGGTTTTGTGGCTTTGGCAGGGAAAGCCATTTCCAAGGCAAAGGATAAAGGAGAACATGACTTGAAAATTCAAATACCTCCCCTCCCTTTGTTGGTCTAGGGCAGGGGTCAGCAAACTGTGCCACTCAGGCCAAATCCAGCCCACCACCTGTCTTGGTGAATAAAGTTTTGTTGGAACACAGCCACACCCATTTGTTTATACAGTCTATGGCTGCTTTCACATGACAGTGACAGAGTTGAGTAGTTGGTGCCAAGAGACCATATGGCCAGTTAAGCCTAAAATACTGTCTGGCTCTTTACAGAAAACTTTTGCCAGACCCTGGTCTAGCGGAGCAGATCAGTGAAGCATCAGACTCTCCTTCTCCTTCCCTCCACTTCCCTCCCATCCTAGGACTGATATGCAGAAGGAGAATGAGTGGAATCTCACTTCACATTTTAGTCACATGGGGAGCAGCCCTTTTAACATACCCTGAGTGCTAGGAACCTGGATTCTGATGCTGGCTTTGATCTGTGGCCATCAGTCCTTCATAAATTACAGTCTCCCCAGACCACAATGTTTAGCCCAACTAGAGATCGGTGTTACAGAAAAGTCTAGAAACAGTGACAAGGTGTGCCAGGATTTGCCATGGGACCGTCATTTAATGAATTTTGGATTTGTCTTATCCTCATCTCAGCTGTCCTGGAAACAGAGAGAGAGGCTTGTCTATAAATAAGTAAGTACCCCACGGGATATAAGGGAGAATGAAGTCTTATACAGTCAAAGCCAGGCCAAAGCTGCTCACTGCAAAGTTATCCCATCAGCTGGGCTAACTCAGGAAGCTTTTGCCCTGGTCCAGTCACAACCTCATCTAGCAAGTTGAAAAGCAGCCTCAGAATTCAGCTGTGGCTTAGGGAGGGGTGGGAGGAGCAAGTGGGCTGAAAACTAGAGAGATAACTGACATGCATGAGGCGGGCAAGACGGGGAAGGGACCCTGCTTCTGGGATGAGTCCGCCCTTCATCTTTACCGTAGTGTCCTATATTTTGCCAATCTACTGCTCTGCTCTGCAGCGATCCTGCCAAAGGAAAGAGGGTTTGAGAATCAAGAAAGGACAGTGAGGGGAGAAATCAGCTGAGGAAAGAAATGACAAACACCCAACCAGAGCTTCCATTAGGGTCACTGATTTTTCCAGGGTAGAGTTCATTCTAGGACTCACAAAGAGGGCCACAGAAGAGTGGGCTTTAAGTTTTTGAATCGAATACATGAGCAGGGGAGAGGGAGGAGTTACTGATCCTTCTGGGATTCTGATAAAAACCATAGTCTCTCTCCCCATAAAATGCATACAACTTTAGGATTCCAGATTAGGAACTCCTGCTAAGCAGAACATAAACCAAATGGTTTCTACTCAATTCTTGTCTTGATTTTTTTCTTAATTTTTATTAATTTTTTGAGAGACGAGGTCTCACTATGTTGCCCAGGCTGGTCTCCAACTCCTGAGCTCAAGCGATCCTCCCGCCTTAGCCTCCCAAAGTGCTGGGATTATAGGCATAAGCCACCATGGCGGGCAGATTTCATTCTTCTCGAGTGAGCAACTTCCAGAAAAGAGAGAACTTAGCAGAGCAGTCTTTTGGCTCCCTGGGGGCCCAGGCAGGTGCTGCAAGGGAACAGGGTTCTGCTTTGCAAAAGCAACTGAGTCCTGGCTCTTTCTCAGGTACAATGCAGAACCACCAGGAAAAGGCTACTGGAGGGTGGCAAAATGAACCAGCTGCCACTGCTGGTGCTAAGGGAAGCTCTGGTGGGCCCTGGATTCCTACAGGAAAGCCAAGGAACACGTCTGTGCCGAGTCTCCATGGTGAAATGCTCAGAAAGCTCACAATGGAGACTCGGGCGGAGATGAGACATCTTCTCCCACCCACTGATGGTCTCCCTGAAAAAGCCTCTCTCTGATCCCAGCACCCTAACTGGCAGCCACGTTGAGGGTACACTATTGAGTTACATTCTTCCAGCAAACGTCCTGGATAGAAGAAAGCGGCACATCTGAAAACGATTTCCAGAGGTGAAAGCAATTCTGTTCTTACTGGCCTTTGCGTGTCTGAAATCACTCAGGTTCTAATAAAGTCAAATCAATGAGAAACACCTTTGTGACATTTAAATTTGCCTCCAATTCTGTTTAGAAAGTCAAGCTGCCAGCAAGCTGCCCTCATGTCAAGGTCTGTCTGACCATCCATGTGACTCTAAGGTTGTCTGGGTCCCGGGGAGATGGTGTAGGCTACTGAGGAGATACTCCTTGCTGGGAGCCTCTGCAAAACCTGCTGCAGCTTCTGTGGGAAATAACACAGACCTCGTGCTTCCGGGACAAGCTCCTGGAGCTGTGAGGGTTACAGAGGAGCAGCTCTCGGGGACATGTTGAGGGTGGGGAGGGCAGGGCAGGATTCTCTGTAGCAGCAGAGAATTTTTACACAGCTAACAAATTAATCTTCTGCCACATCTATGAATGCATTTTCATCTTCATAAAGCTAATAATTTTCCTCTCTCATTCTATTGTATTGGGGCATCAATTACAATGGTTGTAATACATTCAAAGCTGACCACTAAGGCTCTTTTCTGACTTCAAAGTGCTTCTGGCTTCTGTACTGGGCTAGATTAGGGTGTCAGACTTGCCCCTAAGAACACAAATCATTTTGCCACCTACCCTTCAAAGAGCTAGGCCGGCAGAGCTGAGTATTTCTAACCCTACTCTAGATCCCTGGCTCATGTCTGGCCTTACCTCTTGACTGCCTGCTGGGCCAGCATCCGATTGCCAGCCAGAAACGTCACACTGCCCAGGATGGCCAGGTACTTCAAGGTCTGGAACATGTTGAGCTGAGTCCAGTAGACATACATGAGTCCCAGCATAGCTGCAAGAAGAGGTGTCATGACATCCAATTAAATGAAACATAATGATGCCCTGCGGTTGAGGAAAGTTAGACATAGCAACTGTTGGATCATGAAAAGGTCTGTACTCCTATACCAGCTTGTTTTATTCCTTTGCTCTGATGCCAAAAAGTAGCTAACTCAATATATTCGCCTCTCAGCTGTGGCCAAGTGTGTGGCCAGGCACAGTGGCTCACACCTGTAATCCCAACATTTTGGGAGGCTGAGGCAGGAGGATTGCTCAGGAGTTCGAGACCACCCTGGGCAACACAGTGAGACCTCGTGTCTATTAAAATTCAAAAAATTAGTCAGGCGTAATGGTCCATGTCTGTAGTCCTAGCTACTTAGGAGGCTGAGGTAGGAAGATCGCTTGAGCCTGGGAGGTCAAGGATGCAGTGAGCTTGATCACACCACTGTACTTCAGCCTGGGTGACAGTGATACCTCGTCTCAAAACACACACACACCCACAAACAGGGGTAACAATTGGACTTCAGCGACCTGTGCCATGTTCCTGCTTACAACTATTTCTCTGCTTTTGTTTAAAACTCCTCTGTCATGTTATACTTGGCATTCATTTTTCAAATTCTTAACAAAAATACACAGGATATAAATAGGCTGGGTGCGGGAGCTCACACCTGTAATCCCAGCACTTTGGGAGGCCGAGGCAGAAGGATCACTTGAGGTCAGGCATTCGAGACCACCCTGGCCAACATGGTGAAACCCTCTCTCTACTAAAAATATAAAATTAGCCAGGTGTGGTGGCGCAGGCCTATAATCCCAGCTACTTGGGAGGCTGAGGTGGGAGAATCGCCTGAACCTGGGAGGCAGAGGCTGCAGTGAGCCAAGATCGCACCGTTGCACTCCAGCCTGGGCGAGACAGAGCAAGACTCCATCTCAAAAAAATAAAAAATAAAAATAAAAAATAAACAGGATATAAATAAATGAATAATTTCTTTTTTTATGGGGGGAAACAAACTGTAAGGATAATTTGCCACTGTGACTAGGAAGGGAGCAAGGAGGACTCAGGAAGAAGGCTGAGTGAAAAGGGCTCAGAGCTGGGAACGGAGAGCCCTGGGGCCTGGTCCAGGCCCTGCCCTTACCAGCCACTTAACTTCTCTGAGCCCAGATTCTCCCACCTTGTCAAAAGGGATCATAATTCCTGCCCCAGTCACCCTCATCAGGGCTATGATGATAATCAAATGAGAAAACGTGCACAAAAAGCACAATGGCAGGAAAAGCCACGGCTCTCAACAGATTTATATTCAGGTTTTCTTCTCGGTCTGACCCCAGAGGGCTATCATACATATCCAGGAACTGAGCCAGAGAGAAAGGTCATCCTGTCAGTTTTGCCCAGACAGATGACGGATGAACTACAGCGGGGCTCTTAACCACTTCTGAGGTCACGGACCACTGCACCATAATAATCTGATCAAAGTCACAACTCTCTCTTTCCCCAGAAAAATACAGACATTTGCCTAGAATTTCAAGAGACTTATCTATGCACCCCTACAGAATCTGTTTACTATGGGCGCACAGATAGTGACTCCTGAAAGAGGCAAAGAATTTTAAAAATATTAAGGTCAGGCCAGGCGTGGTGGCTCACACCTATAATCCTAGCACTCTGGGAGGCCAAAGGCGGGAAGACTGCTTGAGCCTAGGAGTTCAAGACCAGCTCTGAACACAGCAAGACCCCGTCTCTACAAAAAATACAAATACTAGCTAAATGTGGTGACACAAGCCTGGAGTCCCAGCTGCTCTGGAGGCTGAGGTGGGAGGATCACCTGAGTCTGGGAGGTCAAGGCTGCAGTGAGCCATGAATGCACCACTGCACTCCAGCCTGGGTGACAGAGTAAGACCCTGTCTCAAAAAAAAAAAAACAACGAACAAAAAATTAAAGTCACAGTGAAATGCAAGGCACCCCTGATCCAATAGCATCAAAAGCCTCAGAAATGCTTAAGTGATTTGTGAATTTACTGTCTTGTTATGTTTAGGCTGTTGAAGTCCTAAGGTCTCCAGAGAACGATGCAGGATAGCATGTCTGACTGTGGAAAGGACTGTTTTCTATTACTACACAGACAGAGCCGGCAGCAAATGTGAAGATCGATAGCGTGGGGAAAGATAACCTTTGGAAACTGCATTAATGCTCTTCATCCAGGAAGATTGCTCAATGTAAAGATACGATAAGTGAGTAATCTCTGGAAATAAACAGGGTTATTAACTGAGGGTAAATGGTCTGCCAACAGTGGCACAGTACAACAAAGCCCAATATAATGACAGCTGTTCTAAGTGATGGACCAAACAGGTTTATCTTCGTATTAACTGTCCTAAAAGGCCAGGAGGAAGAGGGAAATGTAATGCTATTAAGTCATTATAGGTAATAGGTTGTGGGTCTACTTAACAGGGCTTTTGCGTGGGCAGGCTAAATGTCAGAGGACGTTACAGGTAATTAGCAGCCTGGGGCACTTACCAGCATGTCCCAGGTGAAATATAATCGTGCTAGGAGCAAAAGTGAAGTTGGAGACATTGGCACCAATCCGGATCCACTGAATGATGGGGAGAAATAAATTAAAAAGGCATTAGAACTTAAAAGGGAAGCAACACAAGCCATGCCAATGCTAATCCCATCAACAGCCCCAAGGCTTCAAAGTTCATGCATCCTAGAAGGACAGGCAATTCTTCCAAGTGACAACCACCCTATTATAAGCCCTCGGGGAAACTTGTTCCCTTTTTCTTTAGAAAGGCATTCAGCACCTGCTCTCAAATGGGCTCGTGTAACTCAAACCTGAACATCATTTTTAATGATGACAAACCCTACTATTTTAAAACAGGTGAGACCATGAAGCTGAAAGGTCAGAAACTGCATTTATAAGGTAACTGACACCCCCACTAAGTTCTCTAAGAATTGGTAAGATAAACCCACCGGCAGCTGGTGGCATTCACGCTCTTGCCGTGGGTTCCATGTCATTTGAAATTCTCATCACTGAAATGTAAGGACAGGTGCCCATACCCTAGGTCTGGTTTCTGAAAACCTGTAGCAAGGCTTCTAGATTTATCTAGATTTAAACAGTAATTCTTTTGTTAAAAGCAACAATTAGGAACACAGGCAACTTTCCAAAAGTAAGATCTAATGAGTGTTTTCTCAAAATTCTCTGAGCTTTGAGGATATGCATTCATGTTTGTTTATAATTTGAAAAAAGAGAAAAACACAATTGGCTAAAAAAAAAAATTCAAATGGTACTGAAAAGGAGAAAAGGTAAAAGTTACTTCCTCTACATTCTCCAGAATGTCCACTCCTCAGAGATGACCAACACTAACACATATCGCCTTTTAAAACTTATTTTTATTTTTTTTTTAGACAGGGTCTCACTCTGTCACCCAGGTTAGAATGCATGGCTCACTGCAGACTTGACTTCCTGGGCTCATGTGATCTTCCCACCTCAGCTCCTCAAGTAGCCGGGACTACAGGCATACGTCACCATTAATTTTTTTTTTTCTAATTTTCTGATTTTAGTAGAGATGGGGTCTTGCTATGTTGCCCAGGCTGATCTCAAACACCTGAGCTTCAAGCAATCCTCCCACCTCGGCCTCCCAAAGTGCTGGGATTACAGGCATGAGCCACCACACCCAGCCACCTTTTAAAACTTTACAGAGGATCATACTAAACACACTACCCTACCCCTTGCCTTTTTCACTCAGTAACACATCTTGGCAATCTTGTCCTATCAGCATATAAATCTATCCATTCTTTGAAAAGCTGCATATTATTCCATCTTATGAACTTTAGGTTGTTTCTGGTTTTCTGCCCCAAGCAGTGCTGAAATCCACAGCCTTTGTGCTGTTTTTTATAGCTACCAGCATCGGATCTCGCTCTGTTCACACTAGATCTCATCTGAACCCTCCTACGGCATCACAGTCCATCCACTTTTGTCATTCTTAGTGGCTGTTAGGTACTTTCTCATGCCCACTTGTTAATGCGGCAGTTTATTTGGCCACTCCTCCACAGTGGGAACTTTTGGTCATTCTAAAATGTCTTGAGCATCAATTCAGGTCACAGCTGCTGGACCCCTCTGGAGCTTTACTGAGGCCAGACAACACAGCCTCCTTTGGAAGGAATGCATCTGCTGGGTCTGGCGCCAGACGCATGCTGCCCACGCTAATTACAGCCACTCACCAGAGCGAAGAGCAGAAGCAACGGCGAGAGGATCAGGGCAGTGAATGTATTGGACACCACGGTGGGGGGCCTCTTCTCAGGCTCGCGGAACAGGTGCTGCCGAAAGACACACCAAGAAGACTTAAGAATGTGCCCTTCCCAGTAGGGGCAGCCATGTATACCGGGGACCAAAGCATCAATGTCAGTCATGAAGAGGATATGCCGCCCAGAGGCTAAAACCTCTTGGCAACAAGTGGGCATGGGGCCTTTTGCCTCTTCTCAATGCTGGCTTTTGATCCCAGAGGTCTCCCTTCCACAGAGACTACATTAACCCCAGCTCACTGCTTGGCCAACCCTTTATTCCCTTCAAAGACTCACTGCCATTCAGAGGCCAGAGAATGCAATCCATCAAGTGGCATTTGGCTAGTGCCAAAGAGGGTGCCCAGGTATATGGATGGCTTGAGTGACAGGACTGAGGCAGGACGCTGGACTCGCAATGTTTCTGGGTTCCTAGGGTGGCCCTGGCAAATGCTGCTGCCCCACTTAATTGGCTAATGGTGGTAACACTATACCTTTTTAAAAGGTAACAGAGCCTCCCTACAGATCTTTCCACCCATAATTCATCCCTCTCTCCCTGAGCCATGGCTCTAAGGAAGCCCTAAACGAACTTCCCGCTCTCATTTCTTTTTCTTTTTTTTAAAGAGACAGGACCTCACTGTGTCACCCAGGTTGAAGTGCAGTAGCACCATCATAGCTTGCTGTAACCTCATACACCTGGGCTCAAAAGATCCTCCTGCCTTAGCCTCCTGAGTAGTTGGGACTACAGGTACGCGCCACCACACCCAGCTTAATTTTTAAATTCTTTGTAGAGACAGAGTCTCACTAGATCTCCAACTCCTGACCTCAAGTGATCCTCCCTCCTTGGCCCTGCAAAGCAAGATTCGCGTGAGCCACCATGCCTGGCCCAACTTTGATTTCCAGAGTTAAACCAGAAGGCTCGACAAGCATTCTGATGGTATTTCTTGGTTTTTTTTTTGTTTTTTGTTTTTTCCTGAGCAATTCTACATGAATTCTCTTTACGAAGCTCACCTAGATAGTGTGACCTAGCAGAAGCAGCAATGGTGTGGGATTCTGGAGACCTCCGTTTAGGCCCAAACTGAAACGTATGGCTGTGTGACCAGAAGGGAAGTCACTTTCCCACTCTTCACCTCACTTTCCAGCTGGAAAATTGGGGGTGGGGAGGGCCATGACCACCCTGCTAGGCTTGTAAAGATACTCTAAAGACCAAATGAAATAGTGCATTTGATTATGCTTTGTAAGCTGTAACTCATTATGCAAATAGAACTTTTTAAAAAAGATTTTTCCTCCAACGTATCAACTTGTGCCTGCCTTTTCTGCTTGTCAATGCCCAGCCAAACCAGCTCCATGATGACACAGCCCCACTTGAGCCTCCTGTTCCTAAATTTTGACCTCTGCTCTTCTTTGCTGCCGCTGCCATTAAAGGATTTCTAACACTATAGCAGCTGCTGCCACCTACTTCAGCCAGCACCCTTCATCATCACAATTACACCTACCAGTTAGCTGCATTTTACATTCTTAAATAATGCTGTATCAATATGAAAAGGAGTTTTGAAAACAATCCTACTACTCTACCCTTTGAGCACTTGTTTTTTAAAGTGGAATGACAGCAGGTAGTCTGTTTTTGACACTTCAACATTAATTCGTATGCAAGTTTCCAAGTACGATCATTTCTCAAGATTGCAAAATAGTCCACTGAGTGGATCCACCTCAGTTTCCTTAACCAGTATCCAAAGTGTTTAACAATTATTGTGTTTATTTTGGAAAGGGCTTTAGAAACATTTCAAAGCCTTTCTTCACTCATCTGTTATCAACTTTGATTCTCACAACAGTCCTGCGTGCAGGACAGGACCAGGCTTGCTTATCCAAGGACTTGCCTAAGGAAGTAGAGCCCTGTTCTCCCAGGTGAGTTTTCCCACCTGTCGCCCCATCAGCCCTGATTTACACAGGAGCAGGGAGGATAAACGCTAGAACCATCTGCGCTCATAGCTAATAAGCTGTGGTCTGAGGGTTGAACCTGCCGGATGTCAGGAAAACCAGACTCAGGTTCTGATTTCATCTTCAACTCTCTGCTTTCTGGGGGTTAGTCACCGGACTCTTTAAACCTGTTTTCTCAGTTCAAGGATGGGGCTGCCATTTACCCTGCCTAATCCACAGGGTGTGAGGATCAAACTATAAAACATCACAAAACAAGTTAAAGGGAGCAGAGCCACTGTCCAGGGCTTTGTTGCCCTCTCTTCTCCCACGTTTAGTGGATAGGCCCTTTGGGATATACCTGAATTTCCTGTTTTGGAGTGAAAAGGTTCTGGGACAAGACAGTCGAGGGAGCTTCTTCCTCAGGGAACTTGATGACCACATCAGCCTAGAAAAATAAGGACAGTCTGTAAAAGCACAGGGGCAGAGAAGTGGGTGAAACTCAATAGATAATATTCTCTGACTCACATCTAAGACCATAACTGAAAAAAGCTCCAGGCAGTCCCAATCACTTCTGATCCATTAGCTGACAAATTGAGGCAGTAAAAACTTTAAGAACAAAACAAGTATTTGCTGAAAATGCTTTTTAGAGCAAGACTTCTAATTTTCTGCTGGTATAGTAGCCCCATAGAGCTGCTTAATACAAAAATCCCAGCTGGTACACAGGCTGTTACAGTTGCAATCAGAAACAGCTTGGTGTCCCTGGGAAGTGTGATTTAGTCACATTTGAAAAAGAGAGAAAGAAATGAGTATGCGCTCTTGTACAAAAACAGCCTGAAGTCCAGGAGAAGAAAAGAAGTCTTGAATACCACACGAGAAAACGCAGCTGCCCCTTTGTCTTGCAAAGTGAGTCAACCACCATTCAAAGCCTGCAATTTGGCCTCTGCTACCTTTCCAAGCTCATCACCTCCTGCTTTTGACAGGATTCAGGTGCTCTGGCAAAACACAACCGCTCCCATTGCACTGAAAGCACCTTGAGCTCTTCTGCAAGCCCTTCCCCAATGATCACCCCACAGCCCCAGATCTGATAAACCCTTGCCATTCTTCAACCCCTTGCTCAAATGCCCTGTCTTGCAAGACGTTTACTCTCATCACGCCAATCCAAAGTGAGGCATGCAGGAAGGCACTATGTAAACAACAACATGCTACACAAATGTTGGTTATTAGTTAATTAGCATTTTGCACATTGTACAATTCACTTTTCTACATCATCCTGAATTGTTATCAGAATTCAGATCTCATCCCTCCCATGAGCTATGCCATATCTCAAAGGCCAGGGCCTTAACTTTCACATCTACGTAACCCCAATAGTGCCTGCTATAATATGAAAACGGCCTTCCTGTATAATGTTTATAGAAATTCACAGATACTAGCACTCACAAAGTTTATACTTCCTTCACTCACTTAATATTTATTAAGCACGTACCATGTTGCCAAGCCCCGTGCATGACCCCAGGACTATTTATGGAGACTGCACACAGTGCCTCACCTCCCAAGCTTATTTATAGGAGGCACAGGCAAGGCGAAGGTGAAGAGCCCCATGCCCCTGAAAAAGAGCCACCAGTGCCTGGGGCACAGCCACTCTCACCTGGGTCGGGGTACATTCAGGCACATACCACATTCCAGAGGATTGGGTTCTTCAAAGTGGCATCTCCAATGATTAAGTAGAGAGTGTAGGTGCCAGAGGCAGAGTCAAATTCAATCTTTCTTTCAGAGGTATCCAGTTCAAACTTGTACACGTTCTTGTTGTCTGGCTCGGCAACAAACACCACTTCCTGGCCAGTCTTCTGGTTATGGAGTCGGACAAATGTCTAGATGGAAGAATAATACAATCTTTCATCTGATAATTTCAAGATTCTCCCTGGGCCTAACATTGAATCCACCGGGCAGCAGACGGTTATTAGCGCTTTGTCACAGTGAGAGCTCTGGGATCTGCCAGACCTGCCCCAGAGAGTAGAAGGAGTGGCCATGCCACCCTAGTTCCCAGCTCAGAGATAACTTTTTGCTGGTACAAGGAAGGAAATTTAACTTACGGGTCCAGCCAATTCTCGACTAGTTGGAGGCTGACTGCCCAGTTTGCAGATGATTTAAGCCCTTTGCTATTGCTGCAATTTCTTTTTCCCGCCAGCCTTTTGGTCACTTTGCTGCCCAATTAACTGCTTCACCAGAGGGTGAAAAGAAAGGAAATGAGGTGGAACTGTAAGAGGCCCATTTTCAATTTCCTTGTGCCTCCAGCTAAAGATTTAGTAGAGGAGGCTTGGGTATTGATGGTAAGGCAGAGTTCTAATCAAGCAGAGCAGCCCAGTGTCATGGAGAGAGCCTCGGCTTGGAAGACAGATTTGCTTCCACTACTTATTAGCTGAGCAAGTTACTTAACTTCCTTGTGCTTTGATTTCTTCAACTTTAAGGCAGAAAAATTAACTTCCAGATGTGGCATATCTGTGTGAAGATTTGCAATACCATATGCTAAGCATTAGTGCAGGGAACGGTATATGCTAGCTAGTCAACAAATAGTAGTTAATAGCAATACGATGGTACTGAGTCTAATCACTTTATCCCCACTAATGGCACAAGAAACCAAGGTGTCTGCACATTAGAACTGGACCAAAACTTGATAACTACCCAGAGCTTTTCTTTCAGGTGTTTCAAAATAAAGAATTCAACAAGGCAGGTAGGTTTACAGATCCAATTTACAGATCACAAGGCACAAGCATTAAATGAGTTGGCAGGGTGACAGAGCCAGCACTGTATCTACAGAAAATCTACATCTCATGTGTTAATCTATACCTGAACAACAAAGAACCACCACCAAAGCATTTAGGGAAAGAGGCCCAGAGATATGAAGCATCCCAACTACAGCAATTAGTCTTGGCCAGGAATGGAATGGGGAGACCGGATGCCAGATCTCCTTCCTATCACAATCAAGTGCAGGCAGCTGCCAAGTTCATCACCAAAATGCCACCTCCACCTGGAAGGTCTCTAGGCCATGATTCTACAGCAGAATTCTGGATGAGACAAGTATTCAGTGAAAGTTACACTTCCTCACTAACTCTCCTTGCTCTAATCCTAATCCTACTAGTTTAGTCTTTTACTTTCTTCTCTTTGTACTCTTCCTTCCCTTGTGCTATTTGGTTGGCAAATGTCATTCTGGGAAGAAGCTGGGAAATGCTAAGAGGCTGAAGTACTCAAAGGTCAGTTAGGCTTGGCTAAGGGCCCTAACCAAGCTGTCTGGAGTTTGGGAGTAGGGAGGAGAGAGGAGCAGAGGACTCCCAGGACTGTGGCCATAGAGGAACGTGCTCCTGGGGCACAAGTCCAACAGCTGCAGCTGCAAGAAACAGAAAGCAAGAAGGTTCTCAAGTAAATCCAGTTGCCTCTGAGGTCTGCCCTGAAGCTGCCTCAAGGCAACAAGTCTGCTGGTCCTTGCTAAAGCATCGGTACAGGGTACCCCATACCAAACTAGGTCCCGCATTCCTGTCTTTCAGCATTCAAAGTATTTATCTGAATCTTCCTTCACGTAACACTAAAGGCAGGTTATTCTCCATCAAGGGGGATGACAGGCAGTGTGGGAGTGGGGGTATCTGAGTGGACATGGGGCCATATTAGGTTCTCAGGGGAAAGAGTATATGGTTTGAAAATCTTTTAAATAATAATTTTCATTACTCTATGAAAAAAATAAAGCCTATTGCTTTCATAATACAAAGTAAGCACAAGTTAAAAGGGCTATTCTTCAGAGTCCCACAAATACAAAATCTGCTTTGGCTAGAATAAAAAAATGCTTTGGGTCTTCTTTTGAAATTATTTCAGTATATTCCCTTATTTATTTATACATACATACATACACACAAATGAGGTCTCACCATATTGCCCAAGCTGGTCTCCAACTCCTGGGCTCAAGTGATCCTCCTACCTCTGCCTCCAAAGTGTTGGGATTACAGGCGTGAGCCACCATGCCTGGCCAGCACATTCCCTTTTTTAAATCAGAAAGAAAAAGCCTCGAGTCTAGTGCCATGCTTATAATCCCACCACTTTGGGAGGCTGAGGCAGGCGGATCACCTGAGGTCAGGAGATGAGAACAGCCTGGCCAACATGGTGAAACCCTGTCTCTGCTAAAAATACAAAAATTAGCTGGGCATGGTAATGCATGCCTGTATCCCAGCTACTTGGGAGGCTGAGGTAGGAGAATCGCTTGAACCTAGGAGGCAGAGGTTGCAGTGAGCTGAGATCACACCACTGCACTCCATCCTGGGTGACAGAGCAAGAGTCCATCTGAGGGAGGGAGGGAGGAAGGAATGACCTTAATTAAGTGCAAATCTGCCTTAAGTACCTCTCCTCAATACCAGCTAACTTTTTAGAAAGAAGGGTGTATCCCAGGTAAAGGACTACAACCAGTAGAAGGGTGAGAGTGTCATGTGGGAGAACCTGATGGACTGTCAGGGTTCGGTCAAAACCTGAAAGCAGGAACGTGGAATTCTCTCTAGTCCATGTTATAGACCACATTGTAAACTCTAGTATCCATTCACATTTCAGGTTAAGAGAACTGTCTAGGTGTCTTCCTGACCTGGTGAGGAGTGAGTTCAGCACCAGTGTTCACATCTACCAGCTGGAAGAACAAGGCGAAGTTCTGGTGGCTGTCTGCGATGAATGTGCCCTTGGCTTTGGCTGGGTATGTCACCCTGAAAGAGGCATATAGAGTTAGTCTTCAGAGAGGATCAGTATATCTCTGAGAACAGGCAGAAAATATATACTTCACTTCATTGCCTCAACCACCCTCTCCCATAGTAACACTTCTGTTGTGGACAGACAGATGTGGAGAACTGTCTGCAACCTGGGGGCAAATTGGACTGATAAAGCCTGGACTGAGAAAAGTGCAGAATAAACTTCCAGCAGGATCTGGGGAAATGCTGTGTACAGATGCTTGTACCTCTGGGCTTTCACTTCAAGGACCTAAGGCTCTCAACTCCAACAAAGTCAGGCACCAGAGGAGCTCACGTGTGGCCTCTGCAGGCACACAGGAGAGCCGGGCTGGCAGAACCGCAAGGAGAAATAATTACAGGATTGATGCCAGCAGCACACGTGAGCAAAATCGAGACAAGGCAGGTAGGAGACACAAAAGAAAGAAGGGTACTTTCAGCTTTGTCTTTTTTTAATGCTATATTTTTTTCCTGGACACTGTTTCAATTTAGTTTTCTGCCCTGAAACTGGGTTTTAAAAAGTCATTTTCCCAAAAGGCAGACTTGATGAGGAAAACTTCTTTTCACAGCTATCTCCTGGGATTTTAGGGTAAGATGGCCAGGGGATAAACCAGCCAAATGGTTACAGAGCTCAGACCTGGCTTTATTTTATACTCACATTTTACATTTACTCGTAAGTAAGACCAACTCTTCATCTAGGCAGAGAATTAAACAGCAAAGCGCTCGCACAGACATTTCTTCAGTGGATTCTTAAACAGTGCTCTTATCTCCAATATCACTACAAAAATAGCCAACCCAGAGACACAAAGGCCAACTCTATGTGATTTAAAAGGAGTAGCTGCTTGGCTTCCAGCCTCTGGCTAACATCCCATCTTCAAAGAGCCTTGATGGTTCACCCTACTGTCTTCTGGCCTCTATAGCTACCCTAGTTGAGTAAAGTTGGGGTCTGGACTATACCCCAGAAATCTAGATCCCCGCTGAGCCAATAAGGATCTGGGGGAGGGCTGATGAGCAGGCTTCTTACAGCATTCTGGCCCAACTCTGTTCAATTGTTAGTGTCTACTTAGAAGATTATGTTTCAAAAAAAGATTCTGAGGCTGTGTCTGAGTTCAGTGGGAGCAAATGTTCTATGACTTCTTAGTACTGCCTCCATGGACTTGGGAGGGGGAAATGGCAGCCCTAGTGCTGGGTATCTGCCATCTCAATTTTAAGCACGTGTGAGGCTTCCAACTAATTTCAGACCCATCATAGGCCAGAGAGACTTGCCATTAGGTCACTAAAAGCAAATTCAGGACTGTGATGATAAGGAGATCGCACCAGAATGTAAATTAATACCTTGCTTCCTTCATTGAGAAGGTCTTATTATTTTAAAAATTATCATCTGAACTAAATAATATGCTTAGTGACATAGCTGACTGACTCAGACTAACATCCTGAGGTAAGCGCTTTACCTCGTTGAGGACTGGTTAATAAATAGTTTGTGCATGGACTAAACACTGGTATATACAATCTCCAAATCCACTTAGATAATTCGCAGAATCCCCGGTGCAGGACCAGTGGAACTACAGACTCTTTAATTTAGGATGTAAGCTGGATGGCTGCTGACACAGAACTGATGCCTGCAGGGCTCAGTGCCTAGGCATACTCCTCTCAGCTCTTGAGCCTCAGCTCCCTGAGTGATCAGGTGGCATCTCACCTACCGGGTAGTTTTGGGTGCAATGCTCTGATCCTTATCCACGGTGGAAAGATCAACATTTGTGATGCCAACTTCAGTGGAGATCTTGACTCTGAGCTAGAGGAAAATAGAGAAGACAGTTGCCAGGTCAATTGGTGGGTGTTCAGGAATTCACATGCAGATAT